>NC_000011.10:118990606-119293636 GCF_000001405.40 Homo sapiens | reverse complement strand
AGAGGAGGGAACAGCAGAGAAGTATACCTGAAATGCCAGCAATTTTCCCTAGAGCTATTACAAATCCCTAAACTGTTTACGCTTGGGGCTAGATTTTGAGAAAACAAGCAGAAAGCAGCAATTGAAAAGCTAAATAGATATTTTGGCTGTCTTGCCAAGCTGGACAGAGTTGGAGTTACGTATGGCCATTAAAATAATAATTTATGTGTTCAATAAAAAAAAGAAGATGGGATGGGCACGATGGCTCACGTCTGTAATCCCAGCCCTTTGGGAGGCAAAGGTGGGTGGATCACTTGAGGTCAGGAGTTCAAGACCAGCCTGGCCAACACGGTGAAACCCTGTCTCTACTAAATATACAAAAATTAGCCAGACGTGGTGGTGGCACATGCTTGTAATCCTAGCTACTCAGGAGGCTGAGGCAGGAGAATCGCTTGAACCTGGGAGACAGAGGTTGCAGAGAGCCGAGACTGCACCACTGCACTCCAACCTGGGCGACAGAGTGAGACTCTGTCTCAAAAAAGAAAAAAAAAAGGATGGAATCGATACATTTTTAAAAATCACATGGAAATACTAGAACTTAAAAATACAACACAGACATCCCCAACTTACAATTTTTCAACTTTACAATGGTGCAAAAGTAATAAACATCAAATACACTTCTCTACTTACAATGGAGTAATATTTGGAAAAACCCAGTCGAAAATACTGTAAGTCAAAATGCACTTTCAATTTACAATGGGTTTACTGGGACATAACCCCATCTTAAGTTGAGGAGCAACTGTATCGAAAAATAAAACTGGGCAACACAGCAAAACCCCGTATCTACACAAAATACAAAAATTAGCTAGGTGTGGTGGCACACATCTATAGTCTCAGTTACTAGGGAGGCTGAATAAATTTAAAAATCAAAGAAAATAGGCCGGGCGCAGTGGCTCACGCCTGTAATCCCAGCACTTTGGGAGGCCAAGGCGGGCAGATCACGGTCAGGAGATTGAGACCACCCTGGCTAACGTGGTGAAACCCCGTCTCTACTAAAAAAATACAAAAAATTAGCTGGGCTTGGTGGCGGGCGCCTGTAGTCCCAGCTACTCGGGAGGCTGAGGCAGGAGAATGGCATGAACCCGGGAGGCGGAGCTTGCAGTGAGCCAAGACTGCGCCACTGCACTCCAGCCTGGGTGACAGAGCAAGACTCCACCTCAAAAAAAGAAAAGAAAAAAAGAAAATAAAGTATGCCAAGAAAAAAATAATGGAAAAAAAAAAAAAGACATCAGCATAAGAGCTCTCGGAGACATAGTGAAAAGGTCTAACATTCCGGAAAAGGTAGTCCCAGAAGAGGAGGACAAAGAGGGACTGCAATATTCAGTCTGTTTTCAGGAAAAGTGGCTGACAATGTCCTAAAACTGATTAAACATATCACAAACTAAATAAACTTTACCAAACTTACGGAGGTTTGGTTCTAGTTAGTGTCTGAAAAAGAAAAGGAGGCCAGGGTGCAGTGGCTCATGCCTGTAATCCTAGCACTTTGAGAGGCTGAGGCAGGTGGATCATTTGACATTAGCAGTTCGAGACCAGCCTGGC
The DNA here is from genome assembly GCF_000001405.40 of Homo sapiens. Classification (NCBI taxonomy): domain Eukaryota; kingdom Metazoa; phylum Chordata; class Mammalia; order Primates; family Hominidae; genus Homo; species Homo sapiens. The sequence goes on along the minus strand of NC_000011.10, from coordinate 119,292,058 downwards.
CAAAATGGTGAAACCCCATCTCTACTAAAAATACAAAAATTAGCCAGGCATGGTGGCACATGCCTAAAATCCCAGCTACTTGGCTGAGGTGGGAGAACTGCTTGAACCTGGGAGGCAAAGGTTGCAATGAGCTGAGATCACAGCATTGCATTCCAGCCTGGGTGACAGAGTGAGACTCTGTCTCGAAAAAAAAAGTATGAAAACTTATGAAGGATTAAAAGATAAATATAAACAAAACCACAAAGGAAGATACAGTAAAACTGCTGGGACCCAGAGCAGGGGAAAACGTTTTGTAGGCAGCTAGGAAAATAAGCATTATCATTTTTTTAAAAATATATATTTTTATTTTTTGAGACACGGTCTCACTGTGTTGCCCACGCTGGAGTGCAGTGGCACAATCATGGCGCACTACAGCCTCGACCTTCTGGGCTTAGGTGATCCGCCCACTTCAGCCTCCTGAGCAGCTAGGACCACAGGTGTGCACCACCATGCCCAGCTACATTTCTGTATCTTTTTCATAGAGATAGGGTTTCGCCATGTTACTCAAACTGATCTCAAACCCGGAGTTCAGGCAATCCGCTTGCCTCGGCCTCCCAAAATGCTGAGATTACAGGCATGAGGCACTACACCTGGCCTATTTATCTGGCCTATTTATTTTTCAATTTTATTTTTTTGAGACAGGGTCGTGCTCTGTAACCCAAGCTGGACTGAAGTAGTGCCATCACAGCTCACAGCAGCCTCAACGTCCTGGGCTCCAGCAAACCTTAGCCTCCCCAGTAGCTGGGACTATAGGCGTGTGCCACCATGGTTGGCTGATATTTTTTGTAAAGATGGGAGTATTACTATGTTGCCCAGACTGGTCTCAAACTCCCAGACTCAAGTGATCCTCCTGCCTTGGCTTCCCAAAGTGTTGGGATTACAGGCGTGAGCCACCACTCACAGCCAAGAAACATTACCTTTAAAGGAGTAACATTAAGGCTGACGGCTAATTTCTCAACAGAAACAATGGAAGCCAAAAGAGAGTGGAATGATATTTTTAAACTGCTGAAAGAAAACAACTTCAGTTCAGATGCTACACTGGGCCAGGCGCAGTGGCTCACACCTATAAATCCCAGCACCTTGGGAGGCTGAGGCAGGCAGGTCACTTGAAGTCAGGAGTTCGAGACCAGCCTGGCCAACATGGTGAAACCCTGTTACTACTAAAAAATAAAAAAATAAAAAATTAGCTGGGCATGGTGGTGTGTGCCTGTAATTACTTGGGAGGCTGAGTCAGGAGATTCGCTTGAACCCAGGAGGCGGAGGTTGCAGTGAGCCAAGATCGTGCCACTGGACTCCAGCCTGGGTGACAGAGCAAGACTCTGTCTCAAAACAAAACATACTAAACAAAACAAAACAAAAATAGATGCTGTATTCAGTGAAAGTATCTCTTTTTTTTTTTTGAGACAGAGTCTCGCTCTGTCGCCCAGGCTGGAGTGCAGTGGCAAGATCTCGGCTCACTGCAACCTCCGCCTCCTGAGTAGCTGGGACTACAGGTGCCCACCACCATGCCTGGCTAATTTTTTTGTATTTTTAGTAGAGATGGGGTTTCACCGCATTAGCCAGGATGGTCTCAATCTCCTGATGTGATCCACCCGCCTTGGCCTCCCAAAGTGCTGGGATTACAGGTGTGAGCCACTGCGCCCAGCCAAGTATCTTTTTAAAAAATTAAAAGTGGGCTGGGCACAGTGGCTTTCGCCTATAATCCCTGCACTCTGGGAGGCCAAGGCGGGCAAACCTCTTGAGCCCAGAAGTTCGAGACCAGCCTGGGCAACATGGCAAAACCCCATCTCCACAAAAAATGCAAAAATTAGCTGAGTGTGGTAGTTCGCATCTGTGGTCCCAGCTACTCGGGAGGCTGAGGCAGGAGGATCACTTGAGCCTGGGAAGTTTAGGCTGCAGTGAGCCAAGACTGCGCCACTGCACTCCAGCCTGGGCAACAAACAGAGATGCTGATTTAAAATACTCTGTAGGCTGGGTGTGATGGCTAACATCTGTATTTCCCAGCATTTCAGGAAGCTGAGACAGGAGGATCTCTTGACACCAGTAGTTCAAGACCAGCCTGGTCAACACAGCTAGACCTTGTCTCTATTAAAAATAAAAAATTAAAAACCTAGCCAGGCATGGTGGCGAATGCCTGGAGCCCCAGTTACTCAGGAGACTGAGGCGGGAGGATCTCTTGAGCCCAGTATGTTGAGGCTGCAGTGAGCTATGATTGAGCCTTTGCACTCCAACCTGGGCAACAGATCAAGACCCTATCTTTAAATAAATAAATGAAACAAACTCTAGTAAGTCAAGAGTGCATGATGGAATCTCTTGATAACTATTAAAGAATAGAAGGAGTTGTGCTCACTTCAGCAGCTCATACACTACAACTGGAACGATACAGAGATGATTACCATGATTATCATGGCCTCTATGCAAGGATGACACACAAATTCATCAAGCGTTCCATATTACAAAAAAAAAAAAAAATAGAGGAGTGAAATGGTATAATACAGAGGTTATGCAAATACTAAAAGACAGGTGATGTAGCCACTTTCATATATGGCAAAGCAGACTTAAGGCAGGCAAGAAATAGAACTACAGAGTAAAAGAGGTATTTGGTTATAATAAAAACTTACTTAGTATCAAAAATTCTAAATTTCTATGTACCCCAATTACATAGGCTAAATATACAGATAACACAAATAAATATAACTAAAAGGAAAAGAAAAAAACCACAGTCATAGGTGGAGAATTTAACATTCTCCTCTCAGTTATCCAATAGCAGAGAAATTTTAAAAAAGATTCTAGGGAGATACAAGATTTAACACAATTAACAAACTTGACCTCATTAACTTATATAGAATGCTACAACCCAAAAACTGCAAAATACACATTCTTAGGAACTGAGGGTGATACAAATTACCAAATTTTACCATAAACTAGCTGACAGTATGGTTTCTGACCACATTGGAATAAAGCCAGCAGTAACAGAAGGATAACTAGAAAATTTTCAAATGTATGAAAATCAGGCAACATATGAGTAACTCATAAATTAAAGAAGAAATTACACATAGAAAAAGTATGTATTTTGAACTTAATGAAAATATGACATATCAAAATGGGTGGAATACCGTAAAACATCTGTTTGTGTTCCCCCTAAAATCATCTGTTGAAGCCCTTATTCTCAGTGTGCGCATAGATTTTCATCAATAAACACAGTCAGGCTTCTGTATCCTTGGGTTCCCTGACTGCAACCAAGTTTGGCTCAAAAATACAGTATTCATTAGAGCCCACATACAGGGAGGGCCAACTTTTCATATATGTGGTTCCACAGGGCCAAGGGTGGGACCCGACCATGTGCGTTCTGGTATATGCTGGGGTCTTGGAACTAATCCCCTGCATGCATATATACTGAGGGGTGGCTGTATTTGGAGATGGGGCCTCTAAGGATGTAATTAAGGTTGAATGAAGTCATAAGAATAGGAGGACCCAGTAGCATTGGTGTCCTTATAGGAAGAGACCCCAGAGAGCTTGTGCGTGCTCTCTCTCTCTCTCTCTGTCTGTGCAAACACTGAGGATGGCCATGTAAGGACATAGTGAGATGCAGGAAGAGAGCCCTCACCGGAAAGCCACCATGCAGGCACCCTGATCTCAGACTTCCAGCCTCCAGAACTCAGGGAAAATAAATTTCTGCTATTTAAACCACCCAATATGTGGTATTTTGTCATGGCAGCCTGAGCAGATCAACACAGCGTCCATTTCATGAAGCTAGGAAAACAGCAAATTAAACTTAAAGAAAGCTGGAAGAATAAAGAGCGCAGAGCAATGAAACAGATGGCAGATATCCAAAATTACTTCCTTGAAAATATTAATAAAATTGACAGGCCCCAGCAAAACAGATCTAGGTACACATATGCAGAAAAAGGAAAAGAAGGAAATACTCTAAAACATAAAATATAATCATTTCTACATGGTGCAGAGATTTTTATTTTCTTTTTTACACTTTTCTGGGTTTTCTCAATTTTCTGCAAGTAAGCTTTTTACAAGTAACAACTCCACTGTACAAAATATAGCTTTAGCAGACTTACCTGGCAGCCAGAGAATAAATGGCATTGGCAGATGAGGAAGGTTTGATTTTGGGGTGGTCACACTCTGGACCTACTAATGGGCTGCTATTCATACTCTGGAAAGTAAAGAAAAGTGTTGAAAAACAACTTTCTTACCACAGCTGAGCCTCTGCTCTTATTGAACCTTTTCAAAATAACAATAACAGATACAAACCTAACTCTCAATGCCATGCCCAGGGGTTATCACATCTGACCAAACGCTTAGGGGCCTTAAGGCTCCGAAGAACCTTCAAATGTAAAGTTTAGAGAGGTGGAGATCTAGAAAGAGCCAGGGAAATGAACTTTTTGGTTTAATTCTAAAAAGATTTGAGTAAATTGGCTATCTACACAAATACCATTAGTATCTTAAATAATCTATATCCAAACGCAAAATGGTCATTCTATACTGATGCTGCCAGAAAGTCAAACCTAATCCACACTCACTAATTAGGCTATCCACCCCACAGGTACCACTTGAGCATTACCCTTTCTCTGCAACCAAGAGATGCCATTCACTTAGTGCCACAACACTTCTCAACTTCACTCTTCCCATTCTGCCTCCTTGGATTTCTGACTGCCTACTTGCTGATGCTTCCATCAACTGCTCATTTCAAATGCAACAGTCAGCCAGGTAAAAGTTTCGTTTTTACGCGCATGCAGTGCACGTGTGGTACTTACCTTTTTTTCCACCCACTGACTGCTTTTCAAGCCTTAACAAGTCTTTATTTCATGCTCTCGAAAGGCTTCGACCTAATCATCTGGCTGCCCACTCTGCTCATAAACAATGATTCTCTCTCTTGCTCATTTAGTACTGGCTATATTAAACCCCTTTGTTATTCTTCAGTCTCTCCCAAACTCACTTGCTTTTTCCTTCATCCTGGAATAATCTCCCCTGGGATCAGCATGGCACATCCTCCTACTGCTACAGGTTTCTGCTCAGAATTGTACTCTATAACTTCACATACCTCCCACTCCTATGCCAGCTTTCTCTATACCCTTCTTTGGGCTATTTTTCTCCATAGCACTTGTGACTGTGAACATACTATGTTATTCAATTAACATGTTTATATTCCATCTTCCTCCCATTAGAATATAAACTTTGTGAGGGCAAGACTTTTTGTTAAGTGCATAAATGAACAAAACATCAAATATTCCTCTCCCACCTCTCAGTTCTGGACCCTTTCTTGCATATTTAGACAAAGGACCAATAACCTACCCCCTTCAAATGCTCTTCATTTCCTACCATACAAATTAAAATTCTTTTGGGAGAGGGTATTCAACTCTCTCTAATCTAGTGTGATGTTCCTTTCCAGTTCTTTCTCCTACTGACAAAATTTCTGCTCTACTTAAAATAACCTAATCATCATTCCACAATACACCTTAGGCATTTCTGTCATTGTGGCTGTTATCAATCTGAAAACCGTATCCACTTTCCAAAGAAATACTTCAGATCTCAGATGCCACTCCTTCTATAAAGTTCTCATGATTGCCCTATCTGGGAATAACCTCTTATTTCTCTAAAACTTAAGTGTTTTCTAGTTAGATTACAAATGGCATTTATGAAAGGACATTTACTGCAATATTTACAAACTGCCTCATCTGGTCTGTGAATATACACATTTTTTTTTTGAGACAAAGTTTCACTCTTGTTGCCCAGGCTGGAGTGCAATCACCTGATCTCAGCTCACTGCAACCTCTGCCTCCAGGTTCAAATGAATCTCCTGCCTCAGCCTCCTGAGTAGCTGGAATTACAGACACCCACCACCAGGCCCAGTTAATTTTTTGTATTTTTAGTAGAGACGGGGTTTCATCATGTTAGCCAGGGTGGTCTCAAACTCCTGACCTCAGGTGATCCACCCGCCTCGGCCTCCTAAAGTGCTGTGATTGCAGGTGTGAGCCACCACGCCCAGCCATATTTCTTGAGGGTAGGAATTATGTTATAGCATCTCTGAATTCCATATAAAACTTATCACAAAATTTCAACCCATAAACTTCTATCCACACATATTTCTTTTTCTTTCTTCTTTTTTTTCAAGACAGGGTCTTACTCTATTGCCTAGGCTGGAGTGCAGTGGCGCCATCATGGCTCACTGAAAGCTTGGCCTCCTGGGCCCAAGCAATATTCCCACCTCAGCCTCCCGAGTAGCTGGAATTACAGGCAAGTGCCACCACGCCCAGCTAATTTTTGTAATTTTTGTAGAGACAGGGTTTCACTACGTCCCCCAGGCTGGTCTCGAAATCCTCGGCTCAAGCGATCCACCCACCTTGGCCTCCCAAATTGCTGGGATTACAGACATGAGCCACTGTGCCTGGCCCACACATATTTCTTAACAGGTTAGATAGTTTCAAAATTAAGACTCACCATGGAGGTATCCAGACTGAACGTGCTTCCGAGCCTAGGCACATCTGGTCTGGGCTCCATTTGTGAGGGCAATGAAAATGGAAGTGAGTGCCGGTTGGTTAATTCTCTTCCTGTCCAGGGATCACTGGAACTTGGGGCAGATACTGGTACTTTGGGGATTGGCCGGGGCAGCCATGAGTCTCCAAGGCGGCTAGAGGGGACAGGGGGCAGTTTGTCTCTGGAGGGACAGTCGCCTGGTGTACAAGGCAAGGGGCGTCTTTGAGGTCGGGATTCTGCTCCAACAGAATATGGCCGGTCTGGAGGCGGTGGTGGTGGAAGATCTCGAAGTGTGGGAGGTACTGGCAATGGTTTGTCTTTATGAAGGGAGCCAGAAGCAGCCTGTGGAAGCAGGGTGAAAGCAAATCAGTAAAAACCCACTAGTACACAGCAAAGAATCCAAAAACTGCAGTAATGGAAAATGCTTTACCTTAGAAGCAGTTCCAAGAGCAGAAGCACTTGAGGGAACACATACTCGCTGCGGCAGAAGGTCAAGTCGTGGTGGCACCGGGGGAAGGGAAGCTTGTGGGGCCATGGAGAATGGAGAAGGCGGCCGTTCCACCTAGGGTACATAAAAAATTTAACAGATTACTTTCGTTTGGGGAAATGGCATCTTTCAACTCTCCTAAAGCTGTGGATGGCAAATACCATGGGAACACTTAAACTACAAATGGGCCAGACCTAGGTTTGAGGTCGCACACACCCTCTTAAAAAACTTCCAGAGACTCTAGCACTTCCTGAATAATTTTTGTGTCACCATAAGAGGGCACTCTCAATCACAGAAACACCATACCCATGGCAAGCTACAGGTAATCTATCTAGAAAGGACAGGGCTACAAAAAGTTTCCTAGTTTACAACTTTAAAAATTACAACAGTTTTCTACCCCCTCATCTTTGGAGAAAGAAAAAAATCTTTTCAAGATTAAAAATAGGAATCCATATAAAAAGTAAGGGGCAGGCCATGCACAGTGGCCCACACCTGTAATACTAACATTTTGGGAGGCAGGAGTTCGAGACCAGTATGGGCAACATAATGAGACCCCATCTCTACAAAAAATAAAATAAAAAATTAGCTGGGCCATGGTGGCACACAGCTATTTGGGAGGCTAAAACAGGAAGACTGCTTGAGCCTAGGAGTTTGAGACTGCAGTGAACCATAATCTAGCCACTGTACTCCAGCCTGGGCAACAGAGCAAGAGCCTGTCTCGACAAAAATAAAATAAAAAAAAAGGATGGCAGTGGGGCGGGGGGTGCAGATATTAACCTCTTAACAAAGTACCTGGGAAAACAATGTTTAAGGGACATAATAAAGAAAGAGATCGATGACGGTGAATTCTCTATGGGTTATTAAGGTAAGAAAGAAGATGAGAGTCGGTACAGTGGCTCACACCTGTAATCCTGCATTTGGGGAGGCAGGAGGATTGCTTGAGGCCAGGAGTTCAAGACCAGCCTTGTCAACATAGTGAGATCCCTCTAAAAAATTTTAACTAAAAATTTTTTTAAGGTGAATTTGTAAAGAAAAATGATCAAGAATATCACTAAAAAGCATCTTGAGTCCTTCCAAAGAAATAAATTATTTCAATTCAATAATTAAGGCCAGGCGTGGTGGCTCACGCCTGTAATCGCAGCACTTTGGGAGGCTGAGGCGGGTGGATCACGAGGTCAGGAGATCGAGACCATCTTGGCTAACACGGTGAAACCCCGTCTCTACTAAAAATACAAAAAATTAGCCAGGTGTGGTGGCGGGCGCCTGTAGTCCCAGCTATTCAGGAGGCTGAGGCAGGAGAATGGCATGAACCCGGGAGGCGGAGCTTGCAGTGAGCCGAGATAGCGCCACTGCACTCCAGCCTGGGCAAAAGAGCAAGACTCCATCTCAAAAAAAAAAAAAAAAAAAAAAAAAAAAAAGAAAGAATTAAAAAGGATTAATATTTTCTGTCAATTTGAGCTCTAAAAAATGAGGTACCAAATTAGAAGAAAGAACACATATATAACCTTTTCCATTTCCCTGCCTATAGCAGGCTTAGGAATAGCTGATAAGCTTGTCAAAGTAAGCTGTCAAGAGATACACAGTAATTCATTAAAAAAAAAATGCTACTCTGCATTTAAATTCCCCAACAGCAAAGCAACACTGACAGAAAAACAGCCATATTTAGTCATGTTATTAGTGCTGGGTGGTGGATGACAGAAAAGCTCTCATCTTTAACTCTTTGCTTTATCCACATGCTTAAGATAACGGGTTCCCAATTAGCTGACAATGCAGCATGAGCAGCTAAACAGCTCAATGACAAAAGTCAAAGTTACTAGTCAAGCCTCCTCTCACTTCATCATAATTATTTTGTCAGTAGCTATATCCTGCTGATTTTTCCCTAAAAGATTCTCATACCTGTATATTTCATTTCATTCTACTTACCAACCCCAGACCTTACTTATTTATGGGAGACAGGGTCTTGCTCTGTAGCCCAGGCTGGACTGCAGTGGCACAAACATGGTGCACTGCAGCCTTGACCTCCTGGGCTCAAGCCATCCTCCTGCCTCAGCCTCTCAAGTAGCTGGGACAAGCTGTGCGCCACCACATGTGGCTTTTTTTTTTTTGGGGCGCGGGGAAGGCACGGGTAGACGGGGTCTTGTCATGTTGCCCAGGGTGGACTCAAACCTCTGGGCTAAAGTGATCCTCCTTGCCTTGGCCTCCCAAAGGGCTGGCATTACAGGCGTGAGCCACCGCGGGTGGCCGTGATTTATTAAAACAACCTAGTGAACTTCCCAACTTGTAGTTTATCTCACCACATCCTTCTGCTTACCACTATCAGCTTAGCCATTCTTAAACACTCACCAACTCAAAAACCACCAGTAACTCCCAATTTGCCCTGTTACAAAATCTCACCCTCCTGCCCAGCTTTCACAAGTCTTTCTAATCTGGTCTCTGCAACCAAAGAAAGGTATTTCCCACAACTCCCTAACAAGCATCAACGCTGCTCTATTCAGGCTCATCTCCTCAGTGTTTCCTGCACATTCTAATGATTATTTCGACTTCCGTATCATTCTTTAAATCCTTTCCCCATTCTGGAAGGCCCTCTCTGCCGATCATCAATCTTTCTCTCATTCCTTAGGCACAGAGGGTTGAACTAATCATATTTTTACATTCATGTCTCAACATCATAATGGATCCTTGCAATAGTCTTTTTTTTTTTTTTTGAGATGGAGTCTCACTCTTGTTGCCCAGGCTGGAGTGAAATAGTGCGATCTCAGCTCGCTGCAACCTCTGCCTCCCAGGTTCAAGCCATTCTCTGGCCTCAGCCTCCCAAGTAACTGGGATTATAGGCATGCGCCACCATGCCTGGCTAATTTTCGTATTTTTAGTAGAGACAGGGTTTCACCACACTGGCCAGGCTGGTATGGAACTTCTGATCTCAGGTGATCTGCCCGCTTCGGCCTCCCAAAGTGCTGGGATTACACGCATGAGCCACCGCACCCGGCCGCAATATTCTTTTATCATAGCATATAAGGCTCCAGAAAAGGTGGAACCTTTATAAATTTATAAATGGAAAATAAGTGATCAGAGAAATACAAACATTTCCAAGACTTCAAGACTTAAAGGACATAAATATCCAAATAGAAAGGGTTTATTACATACCTAGCTCAATGAAAGAAAGGAAACCCACAACAAACAAACCAAAAATACCCTTACAATTTTCATCAAATCAAGGATGAGGAAAATATCTTAAAAGCTTCTGGTGGGCCAGGTGCAGTGGCTCACACCTGTAATCCCAGCACTGTGGGAGGCCGAGGCAGGCGGATCACAAGGTCAGGAGATCAAGACCATCCTGGCTAACATGGTGAAACCCTGTTTCTACTAAAAATACAAAAAAAAATTAGCCAGGCGTGGTGGCAGGCGCCTGTAGTCCCAGCTACTCAGGAGGCTGAGGCAGGAGAATGGTGTGAACCCGGGAGGCAGAGGTTGCAGTGAGCCGAGATTGCACCACTGCACTCCAGCCTGGGTGACAGAGCAAGATTCTGTCTCAAAAAAAAAAAAAAAAAAGGCTTTTGGTGACAGAGGGAAAGGAAGCGCTGAAAAGCAAAAATACATTAGAAGCTAGAAGTCAGTGAAGCCTTAACAATTTAGAGCAGAATATTTATTAATCTAGAATTCTGTAACTAGTCAATTCACGTTTGAGGGTTGAATAAAGGCATTTTAAGATACCAAAGATCTCAAGAAGTTTATCTCTCACCCTTTCACAGAAAGCTACTTTAAGGACATAAACAAAGAAGCAAAAAAGAGGAAAACATGGGAACCAAGGTACTCCAACAGAGGAGAGGCAATGAAGTCCCATGAGGATGGCGAGGGGACACCTCAGGGTGACAAGTAGTGTGGCACAGGAGTAACTGGAGCAGACTGGAGCGGAACACAGATGACTCCTATTTCCTACAAAGCAGTACACGGTATCACATACTACTATACTAACAGATTTTATTTCATAGAAACTATATTGAGAGGATGTTTGAGAGTATGATATGATTTGGTAGTGACAGGTACAAACTGAAAACTAAGAAAATAAAAATAATTATACCAGGAAAAGCAGAAAGTTGTATAAGAAAGCAAAAGTAATTATTGTATAGTATGTTACTTGGCACAGTAAGGAGTGAAATCATGTAAACACTAGTACTAAGCCAAATTCAAATAACTGTAGTGGGAGGATATGGAGTAGGGAGGAGGGAGATATAAGAGACCTAAACCCTCTCCCACAACATCTGAGGTGAAGAGATCAAGAATCCAGAAAAAGCAGTATAAGCACATGGTTAAGAAACACAGAGGTAGTAAACAGTTTCAAGAATTAAAACTCTGAACGAGGGGACAGAGAGGTGCTGGAGGGGGCAGAGGCAGGGAACCAATGTTTTTGTAAGTTTTTTTTAGCAATTCTTTTAAACCTTAAAAAAAATCCATGTGCATTCACCAACTATAAGTAGATTCAGTATATTAAAAAAAATCAAAATAAAACAACAAACAACATCTACCAGGATGTGAAGAAACAGGCATTCTCATTCTTTTCCATACCTTCAAGAGTGATTTCAAGACCAAAAAAGGGGGATAAACTTTAATAACTAACCAAAAGTTAAATATTTTCACTCAAATTATTTTACTCATACAAAATATATAATGAACTATAAAGTACAAGGAATAAAACATCCATATACTTACCTACCATCCAGCTAAAAAACAAAATACCATTATCACTGTGATATTCCCATAAGCCCCTCTGTTAATTATAACCTCCCCTCTATCACAGTTGAAATACACACTCCCTTATGCAGCAATCCCACTGCTAGCCTAGACAGACTTGTAAAAGCAGGCCAATATACGTAAGCCTGCAAACAATATGAATGTTCATTAAAAGGAAGACAAAATAAATTATGGAATGGCCAAATGACAAAATACATGAGGCTGGTTTTTTTTCTGTTTACATTTCTACATGGCTAGGGAAAGTGTGTTCCTTTACTTCTTTCCTCTAAACTCCTATCCGACTTATAGTGTACCCAACAATTTGGAACAATGTTCACTGTCTGCCTTGTGTTGAAGTGTTTCACCTGCACATATGTCCTTTTCCTAAATAAAACAATTAGCTCCTTGAAAGCCTTGTCTTAGACTTCTTATCCCATATAGCACTCAACCATCTAGCACAACAAACACTTTGAAAAAGTAATATGCATTAATTGTAAAAAATTCAAATATTCCACAGAATTTAAGTGCTCTGAATTCCTATCCTCAGAAATAACAGTGATTAGTTTGGTATGTAGTCATCCAGTTTTTCTACGTATATGCTTAAAAAAATTTTTTTACAGAAATAAGTCACACTACACATTGTATACAATTACTATTTATTTATGAGACAGGGTCTCGCTCTGTCACCCAACCTAGAGTGCAGTGGTACAATCACAACTCACTCCCGCCTTGAATTCCTGGGATCAAGCAATCCTCCCGTCTCAGTCTCCAGACTAGTTAGAACTACAGGCGTACACCATCATGCCCAGCTATTTTTTTTTTTAGGGGGGGGCATGGGGGCAGTGGTGGTAAAGATACGGTCTTGCTATGTCGAATTGCTGGGCTCAACTGATCCTCCAGCCTTGGCCTCCAGAGTAGTTAGAACTACAGGTGCACAACACCATACCCAGCTTTTTTTTGTTTTGTTTTGGAGTCAGGGGTAGAGATAGGGTCTCACTATATTGCCAAGGCTGGCCTCAAACTGGGCTCAACTGATCCTCCAGCCTCAACGTCCCAAAGTACTGGGATTATAGGCATGAGCTATGGGCATGCCCAGCCCCAACCTTCTAATGCCAAGACTCCATTAAAATAAAAAAAAAAAAAGGGAACAGAACTTATTCTAGTTGCATTAGCAAAAGAGGGTCCAGTTCTTTTATTTCTCCCTCATATTCTCCACCAACAGATATGAATAAAGTCTTAGTCCTAAAAAATACAGACAGTAAGAACATGGGCCTTAAGCTGGAATGCCTGGTCATAGATGCAGCTCACAGATGCTTCAACCTACTAGCTGTGTGGTCTTCGGCAAATTCCTTAACCTCTTTGTGCCTCAGTTTCTTCATCTGTTAAATAAGGATAATAGTAGTATGTACTCATAGGGCTGTAGTAAAGATTGAGTAAAAAACAAGTAAAGTGCTTAACACAATATCTGTCATATAGTAAATGCTCAATAAATATTAGCTATTAATACTACCTATCATTGTAGTTTGGATATCGTTAAGTGTTTTACGGCTTTAGAAGACAACTCACAATGGATTTTGCCAGTCTCCTAAACTGCCATCTTACCTTGGCACCAGCCAATTCCTTCATCATGAAGAGAGTATCATCAGCTCGTTCATCATCATCATCATCATAATTTGGGGAGGGAGCTCCCTCTGCTCCTTGCCTCAACAGGCTGCCACTCCCTCTAGGATCAAACGGATCTACCACGATGGGTTCAGTACCTTTAATTTCACATCGGCAGAAAGGACAGCCCTGACCTTCTGATTCCTGCAGAAGAAGCAAAAGATAGTAACAGATGCATCTGAAAATACTTAAAATATTAATCTACTAGAAAATACATTTCCTAGAGATCAAAAAAAAGTAAAAGTTTAAACCTAACCCCAAAAGCCAGGCCACCCCTTGTATCAGTAAAGGCTATATAATACCGAATTTTCCAAGGTTATTACATAGCTGAAAAAAGTCGCTGTTTAGATCCGTACCTGCCAGGATGTAAGACAGGATGTGCACATGAGGTGTCCACAGGGCTCAATCTTTACATCCTTATCATTTTCAGCACATATTTTACATAGTTGGAATGTGGAGCCCATCTCACAGTATAATTCATATTGTTCCTTTGATTAAAAAAAATTAAAAGACTATTAGTTGAATAAATAACTGCAATTATAAATGTTAACAGAAAAAGTGAAGACTTGTTTCCTATACAAATTTTGCTTATATAAAAATGTCACAACAGTGGTTTATTTTTTATTAAACCAGAAAGCATCTAGTCTGGGTCCTATTTTAAGCTCCAGGGTTTAAAGTGAAACCACATACACACAAATTCACTAATCTAGTCAATGGGTTCCAATGAATTCAATTATGCTGTCAGTTCTATAAAGAATATACTAAAGCTTGTGTCCAGTGATATGGTTATCATGTGAAACAAAACTCACCTGGGTCACTTTGATATGGTCTTGGGGAGTTGGTTCACATAAGCCAGTCAGATCAGGATTCTGATTTCGTCCATCAGGAAACAAATAGCTGTAAAGAGTAACCAACCCTGGGTTTTATTTAAGCCAATTTGCCAGTGCTTGCTAATATAGACAAATGGAATCTGGGAGTTTCTCCATTCTAAAAGGGCAACGTGGTGTAAGTATAAAGATCAATCTTACTTCAAAAAAAAAATACTTCCAAAAAATAATACTTCAAAAAAATAAAAAACACAGAACAGTTTAAAGATATTCTCCAAAAACTATTATTCCTTCTCCAGGTAACAATGCCATAGGCTCTATCTTTTAATCAAGGGGTTGGTTAGCAAGCTTTTCTGTAAAGGGCCAGATAGAAAATCATTTAGGATTTGTAGGCCACATTAGTCTGTGTCACATATTCTTCTCTGATTGTTTTTTTCAAAACGACTCTTAGGAAAAGCTATCTTGGCTCCCCGGGGGAACAAACAGGTGGCCCATGGGTCACAGTTTACCAACCCATTTTTAATCAATGGATGGCCACCAGATAGAAATTCTTTATGTGTGTGTGTGTGTGTGTGTGTGTGTGTGCGCGACAGATTCTTATTTTTTTTTTGAGGTTGCAGTGAGTGATCTTGGCTCACTGAAACCTCCGCCTCCTGGATTCAAGTGATTCTCCTGCCTCAGCCTCCCAAGTAGCTGGGATTACAGGCACCCACCACCACGTCCGGCTAACTTTTTGTACTTTTAGTACAGACAGGGTTTTGCCATGTTGGCCAGGCTGGTCTTGAACTCCTGACCTCAGGTGATCCACCCGTCTCGGCCTCCCAAAGTGCTGGGATCACAGGTGTGAACCACTGCACCCGGCTTAACTTCTTAGTTTAAACTGCATTTGCTTTTGATCAAAGAAGGTTTACAGGTTTAAGAAAATGAGAGACACCAATTTAAAAGCAATGTAACAATATGCAAATTAAGCTACTGAGATCATCTACCAGGGAGATCCACAGTTTCTAGCATCAAACTGTTCTGACATTTGGGGCAGCACTCCTTTCAGTCCCAATGCTATTGTAAGTAAAAGATAATGTATAATATAAAATGTATTTTCCTAATCACTTCAAAACACAAGCTAGTTTTCTGCCATCTGGTCAACTGTTAGTATTTTTAAGTGTTTACCAACTGATAATTAATTTGAATTCTCAAAGGAATAGCAATTCTGGAATAAATAAGGACTTAGTTATAAATAGCAGCATAGGTTACAGTAGCCCAAGGCCTGAAGAAATGCTGCTGAACAAAAGCGAAGTGAGGATGAAAGCAGATGAAGGCCACTGAGGCCTATGGCTATTAGGAACATTGAATCACTTGAATGCCGACTAGTTAAATAACTGGTCAAATTTCCTGCTAATTGGTATATTTTAAAACCTAACACAGGCTTGAAAATAAGTTAACATTTGGAAAAAAGAAAGATAAAGTTTATTTATGGTAATAACTGAAGTGGTAGAGAATAATTTCACTCATGGAATCCCTAAAAAAGAAAAACAAAAGTCTTCCAGGACCTGAAGGTCAAATCAATATCATCTGTTAATATTTTCCTGAATCTTAGTCTGCAGTTTAAGAAACCTGGAATAAAGTCATTAATGATGAGGTTGGACAGCCCCTAAGTTCCCAGACTCTAACAGATGGTATGCAGTAGGTACTCACAAGCCTTCCCTGAAGCCATCAATCAGTGCTTGGAAGAGAGGTTTATTGTGAGGGATTGTCTGGAGAATGTTCCCATCAGCAGTAACATACCCAATAGCCCACTGACCCAGACGAGTACAGCTCAGCCGGAAGATATAACTATGAACAGACATAAACAGAAGCTTTAGTAGATTATGCTGGTATTACGGTGGAAGGCAAGGCAAGATACAGACAAAAATCAAAAGAACCATCAAGAATAACAATAACTTTCTTCCTTTCTTTCTTTCTTTTTTTAAGATGGAGTCTGGCTCTGTCACCCAGGCTAGAGTGCAGTGGCACAATCTCAGCTCACTGCAGCCTCCACCTCCTGGGTTCAAATGATTCTCCTGCCTCAGCCTCCTGAGTAGCTGGGACTACAGTATGTGCCACCACACCTGGCTAATTTTTGTATTTTTAGTAGAGATGGGGTTTCGCCATGTTGGCCAGGCCAGTCTTAAACTTCTGATCTCAAGTATCTGCCCACCTTGGCCTCCCAAAGTGCTGGGATTACAGGTGTGAGCCACCACACCCAGCCAAGAATAACTACTTCTGAGCTTCAAGTCAGTGACAAGAAAAAAGAAAGAAAATATTTTTAAAAAGAGAGTAACTTCTTCCATGACTCCACACCAGAAGCAAAAGACACATAAACTCTATTCTTTTTTTGTTTTTGTTGTTTTTGAGATGGGGTTTCGCTCTTATTGCCCAGGCTAGAGTGCAATGACATGATCTCGGCTCACTGCAACCTCCACCTCCCAGGTTCAAGTGATTCTCCTGCCTCAGCCTCCTGAGTAGCTGGGATTACAGGCACCCGCACCACACCTGGATAATTTTTGTATTTTTAGTAGAGACAGGGTTTTACCACTTTGGCCAGGCTGGTCTCAAACTCCTGACCTCGTGATCTGCCCGCCTCGGCCTCCCAAAGTGCTGGGATGACAGGCGTGAGCCACTGTGCCCGGCCATAAATTCAATTCTTAAGTGGCCTGAAAACATTTATCAAATTATAGGATCTGAATTAAGTCAATACGTCTGATAAACAGGTATCAATCCTATTGCAGAACCTTGGCTATTGCGAAACTAATTAAGGTCATGTTTCTTCTATACTAGCAGAAGTCTCAAGATAACGAAATTCAGAAGAATAAATCTCTTTGCGTCATTGAACTGACCTGCCAGGTTTGTGAATGAATTTCTGGAGCCGAGCTTTCACTTCGTCATACGTCAAAAAAGCCATGTAGCCAGGATGAGTTACAGCAAGGCTGTTCCAATTCCTGAGCAAAGAGGACCAGGGCTAAAGAAACAAGATCAATCACAGACTATTCAGGTCAGATGTACAACCAACTCAGAGGGCAATGAGAAAAAAAAAAAACAACACCAACTCTCAGTTCATTGTCAGAAATTTTTAATTATACCATCACTCAGAGAGAAGACACATGTGTTCAGGAGATTAAAAACTCTGAAAAGCTACGAAGAAAAGAATATATGCTTATAGGGAGAAACTTGACACAAAATGAAAATTCTAGAATTTGTAAAGCAGCTCTAATTAACAGTAGTGGGGTTGAACAACAACAAACTGAAAACCAGGATAGGGCCTATAGGTGCAACTAATAAGTTCCAAATAAATGTGTATGCAAATTGGCACAGACAACACCAGAGAAAGCATTATTTTTAGAGAAAAAGAAAGGAGTTGTTTTTGAAGCATCTAAACATCTCAATATTAACAGTCAATTTCAATAAAACAGGAGAAACAGTTGCAAACATACACAAATATCCAATATCAGAAAACTAATATATTCATATTCTGGCCATTCTACAAACATTAAAATGATACAAAAGAAGAATATTCAATAACAAGGAAAGATGTGAGGAGAAGAAAGCAGTTGGTATAGCTGTCATTTTCACTATATATACATACACACACATACATATATTTTTAATATGAGATAGTTTTAATCTTTTTTTTGGCATAGTTCCTAAAATGAATTAAAATACTTTCATACAGACAAAAACCCCAAATGTTATTTAAAAAAAAAAAAAAAAAGCTTTCTCTTCACCGAAGTAGCAGTAACCAGTTTAGTCAACTTTTTTAGTGTCCTACCTGAAAGAGTCGGGTAAAGATGTCAAATTCAAAAACCGAAATATAATCATTGCAGGTCAGATCAATAGTGGATTTCAGAGCCATGGCCTCCAGCCCAGAACTGATGGGATGCACTTCATGTAGAGCCTGTCGAAAGCTCTTCCAAGGGACTATTGTCCTGGGGAGGGGGTGGAGAGGAGGCATAAAGTGAAATAACAGAGATAATTCCAGGCATCGCCATAATCAAGGAAAGGAAGGAGAGCCACATTAAGCTCTCAATACCAATTTCAATTCTCGTAATTCAAAATACAGGTCAACTTCTTTAAGAAAAGAAAGAAGGGGACCAGGAGCCATGGTGCATGCCTTTGGGAGGCCCAGCACTTTGAGAGGCCAAAGTGGGCAGACTGCTTGAGCCCAGACTGGGCAATATGGTGAAACTTTGTCTCTACAAAAACAAACAAACAAACAAAATTAGCCAGACTAATTAGTTCCAGCTACTCTGGAGGCTGAGGGGGGAAAATCACTTGAACTTTGGAGGCAGAGGTTGCAAGTGAGATCGTGCCACTGCACTACAGCCTGGGCAACAGAGTGAAACCTTGCTGCAAAACAAGAAAAGAAAAATAAAAAATAATTTACAAATAAAGACCAGGTCTTGTAATGTCATCCAGGGTAGTAGTCTCAAACTTCTGGCCTCAAGAAATCCTCCTGCCTTGGCCACCTAAAGTGCTGGGACTACAGGAGTGAGCCACTGTGCCTGGCCAAAAATGAAGGCCTTTAAAGAGAAACTTGGGCCTAACACAGTGGCTCACGCTTGTAATCCTAGTACTTTGAGAGGCCAGGGGGAAAGATTATTTGAGGCCAGGACTTCGAGACCAGCCTGGGTAACACAGCAAAATCCTGTCTCTGCAAATTAGCTGGGCCTGGCAGCACACACGTGTAGTCCCAGCTACTTGGGAGAACTGCTTGAATCCAAGAGTTTGAGGCTGCGATGAGCTATGATTGATTGTACCACTGCACACCAGACTAGGCAAGAGAGTGACATCCTGTCTCAAAAAAAAAAAAAAATAAAACGACAAAACCTAGGATATTTATATTTATACTTAAAAATACAAGCTTGATGCATAAATCAACCTATATAATATATAGAGAGACAATACAGCAAAACGGAAAAGGTAAGCCACAGACTGGGAGAAGATATTTGTAATGTAAGTATCTAACAAAGAACTAGTAACCTATAATAACAGAAAGATAAACCACTCAATAAGAAAATGGGTAAATCAGAAATAGGAACAGGCAAGTAAGAATAAGAATCTTGACTGGTCATAAAGGTGAGAAGAAGCTCAATCTCCCTTCTCATCAGGGAATATAAAGCAAAATATTACACCAATTCACATCGCCAGCGTTAGCCAAACTGTGGGGCTACTGTAAAATATGAACTGGTACACCATTTTGGAAAGAAATTGGACAATACTTAGCAAAGCAAAAGATGTAAAACCCCAAGACTTAGCAATTCCACTCCTGCGTATGTAAATAAAGACAATTTCTTGCATATGAAGACAACTTAGATATTGCTCACTGCTGATAGCAAATAATGTGAAATGTACATGTCCATTAAGAGCAGAATGGGGCTGGGCATGGTGGCTCACGCCTGTAATCCCAGCACTTTGGGATGCCGAAGCAGGTGGATCACGAGGTCAGAAGTCGAGACCATCCTGGCTGACGTGGTGAAACCCTGTCTCTATTAAAAATGCAAAAAATTAGCCGGGCGTGGTGGCAGGCACCTATAGTCCCAGCGACTCAGGAGGCTGAGGCAGGAGAATGGCATGAACCCAGGAGGCAGAGCTTGCAGTAAGTGGAGATCGCACCACTGCACTCCAGCCTGGGCAACAGAGCAAGACTCCGTCTCAAAAAGAAACCACAATGGATGGGGAGAGAAAGGGAAGAGTATTCAAAGAGCATGGGTTTCAATTTAATCTGCAAAACTATTTTTTAAAAACAATGAACAGAGCAAAAACTTAATATTTAACCAAAGCCAGGAAATACATACACATATATTACTTTTCTCAGAGTTCCCAAATTTTAAATATTTCATTAGTAAAAAAGTAAAGAAAAAACTCGTAAGCTTTAGTTTTTCATAGTTCAAATTCATTATTCTGAGACTTACTTTTCCCCAAAAGCTTTTCTCCAAAATTCCGCAGCATCTGCTTTAGTAATCCGAAATGTGTCTCCCTGAAAGAGTCCACTTGGAAAGATTCCTTTTAGTTCTGCCAGCATGTGGCTGAAGATGAGGGACAGTTTGGTTAGGTTTCGCCTACAAATGATCAGAATGCAATAATTAAACACATAAAATTATTTTTATTTTAAATGCACCAAATTCACCATACAAGATGTATAATTAACATGAATATTAAAATACATTTAGAAAGAACCTCTTCAAATATTCTTTCTGGCCAGTATTATTCAAGGATATAAAAAAGTAGAGAAGAGAAAAGAAATGCGCTGTTGAGGATGTTACATATTCAGTGATCTTGTTCTTTATTTAAAGAAGGGTTTTAGAAACTTTTTGCTGTAAGATCATATGAAAGATACAAACACAATGAAGAAATACTGTTGCATTCACTGCCTCCACTTGTATCTCCTCCATTCAAATAGATATTATGAAGTAAACAAGAGAAAAAATTTAGTCATATATCTTAAAGCTTTTAATCTTGAATTAATAAAGCTTAATAGCTAAGCATGAACATGGACAAATTTACTTTTTTAGGATGACAGGTAAGAGAATTCAACAAATAAGTGTAAGAACTTATGCACTGCTATAATCACTCTATCACGGAAGAAAAAATGTTAGGAAACCAATGTATTATTTCCTGCTTTGCAGGTGTATTTATCAAGTATATTTATCATCATATAACATATCTAAATAAAAGATAAATAAGTCTTAATTAAAAGAATTTTTAAGTATCCAGACCTAATAAATGCTTTCTTTCACTGAACCAGACCTTAAAGAGATAAATTTTACCCAAACTCCTCTTCCTTTACCAAAAATGAGATGCTAACATCCAAACCACACAAAAATTTCTACATAAGTGCATATGCTACTGTTAACAATTACTTAATTTTGTTCTCACAACCTGTTTAATGGATATGGTTATAAAGATATCACACAGGCCGAGAGTGGTGCCTCACGCCTGTAATCCCAGCACTATAGGACGCCAAAGTGGGCGATCACTTGCAGTCAGGAGTTCAAGACCAGCCTGGCCAACGTGGCGAAACCCTGTCTCTACTAAAAAATATAAAAATGGCCGGGCGCGGTGGCTCACGCCTGTAATCCCAGCACTTTGGGAGGCCGAGGCGGGCGGATCACGAGGTCAGGAGATCGAGACCATCCCGGCTAAAACGGTGAAACCCCGTCTCTACTAAAAATACAAAAAATTAGCCGGGCGTAGTGGCGGGCGCCTGTAGTCCCAGCTACTTGGGAGGCTGAGGCAGGAGAATGGCGTGAACCCGGGAGGCGGAGCTTGCAGTGAGCCGAGATCCCGCCACTGCACTCCAGCCTGGGCGACAGAGCGAGACTCCGTCTCAAAAAAAAAAAAAAAAAAAAAAAAAAAATATATATATATATATATATAAAAATTAGCTGACCATGGTGGTGTGCGCCTGTAACCTCAGCTACTTGGGAGAGCTGAGGCAGGAGAATCCCTTGAACCCAGGAGGCAGAGGTTGCAGTGAGCTGAGTTTGTGTCACTGCACTCCAGCCTGGGCAACAGAGCGAAACTCCACCTCAAAAAAAAAAAAAAAAAAAAAGATGTCACACAGTACCATTTAACATACCAGATGTAGTCTCTACTTTTCCATGTGTCCTTTGATCAGATTACCTTTGTTCTCTTTAATGCTATTGCCACAGAAACAGGATACAGATGATATAGATACTATTACACTAAACAAGCTACTGAATACGTGTCTATTTTCCTTTGACCCAATAATTTGTATTTATGTATTCAAAAGTTTATTCTTGTCATATAAATGTACTTTATTTATTTATTTATTTTGAGACGGAGTCTCGCTCTGTCGCCTGGGCTGGAGTGCAGTGGCGCGATCTCGGCTCACTGCAAGCTCCGCCTCCCGGGTTCACGCCATTCTCCTGCCTCTGCCTCCCGAGTAGCTGGGACTACAGGCGCCCGCCACCATGCCCAGCTAATTTTTTTGTTATTTTTAGCAGAGATGGGGTTTCACCGTGTTAGCCAGGATGGTCTTGATCTCCTGACCTCGTGATCTGCCTGCCTCGGCCTCCCAAAGTGCTGGGATTACAAGCGTGAGCCACCGCGCCCGGCATAAATGTACTATAAAATTTCAAGTCAAATCGTGATCAATTACTGACTGCCTAACAATCCTCTATTAGGAACAGATTTTTCTTTTTTAATGCTATACTGGAAGGTCACCATCAGTGCTATCTTTGTCTTTCGTGGATAAAATGCAGCACCAAATTATCCAAGTCTTTATATCCATGACTTGTTCGAAAAATGCTATTGAAATCTTTTTTTGGCCGGGTGCGGTGGTTCACGCCTGTAATCCCAAAATTTTCGGAGGTCGAGGCGGATGCATCACTTGAGGTCAGGAGTTTGAGACTAGCCTGGCCATTTCTACTAAAAATACAAAAATTAGGCGGGCATGGTGGTACATGCCTTTAATCCCAGCTACTGAAGAGGCTGAGGCAGAGGTTGCAGTGAGCTGAGATTGCACCACTGCACTCCAGCCTGGACGACAGAGTGAGACTCGGTCCAAAAAAAAAAAAAAAAAAAGCACTTATCCAATCTTTAAAGTCCATTAACTGTTTTTTTCCTAGCACCTTGAGATCCTTTGATTATTGTTTAATAGAATTTCTACCATGTACCAAAGAGAAAATAGACAAGATCAAGAATATATCACAAATGGAATATGAAATAGGTAACGTGAAAGAAACCCTACAAAGCACAAGTTAATCCCAATGTATTTACTTTCCAGTGTTCCGCAGGACCCTAGACTGCACAATCAGCAGCCTGTGGCTCAGACATCTACATCTACATAACATTCTGTCAAGTAGTAGTCCCTAAACTAGATTATTGAGAACCTACTATGTGTGTGAAGAACTACGCTGAACAGTATAGCAGGATAATGAATGAGATGATAGAAAAAATCCGTGTCACACTTCTGAGGTTATACCAGAGCTCTTTCTGAAGCAAACAGGTTTGAATTCTACTTCTTCCTGAACACGATCTTGCCTTGGGTTTTGCAGTGTTGTCTTCTCTTGGTTCTCCTACTTCCTTTTGTTCTTTCTTGGCTTTTCTCCCCCATCGTCTTAAGCGGTATTTCCCAAGAATCTGCTCTCTGCTATTTTCAGTTCTTTCTCCGTGTACTCTCTCCTGTTCCTTTGCAATCTCAGGGCTTTAAAAACTACTTAGCAAACAATGCCCAAATCTTAGGCCTTGGTAGTTTTTCCAACTATCTACTCTACCACATTTCCTCCACTCGAATGCTAGCACCTCAAAGCAACATGTTCAGAATTAAACTAATCTTTCTTAAATCTGCTCTTTCTTCATGTACTTTACTTCTGTATTTAATGACAACACCATCTTACTTCCCACAAGTTCAAAACCTGAAGAATCTTCTTAGCTTCTTTCATTTACCTTGTTCTCCATATCTGACTAGTCAATTTGTTGCCAATCTGTGGTCATTCCTACCTTCTATTTATGTGGTATTGGCCTAATGCAAACTCCTTGGTGATAATTAAAATTAAAATTAAAATTAAAATTCCAGCCTTGGTCTTCAGTGTCTCTTTCTATGCAGATCCAATTCTTATGACATTTAACTGCCTTTTGAAGAAGGGAAAAAATAAACAATCAATTTTCACAGCCAATGGGATAAAATCCAAACTCAGCTTGGATTTTAAGGCTTTCCATTGACCTGGATCTAACCTATCTTTCTAACTAACTTCTTAGTTCTTCACTAGTATGTTCTAGCCAAACCAAGTACTTCACCTTTTCTTACACCTGCCTCTCTTCTTTGTTTCTCGGCCTTTGCCTGTTTCTCTGGTCTGAAATAAGACCCAGTTTAAATGTCATTTCTTTAGGAGCCAGCTAGACATAATAAAATGCTCAACAATCCCAGTGTTTTCTCTGCAGTTCTCTTACATCATCTGAACCCATTTTGACTATAGCTATTTGTGTACACAATGGCTAAATCTATTTCTGACTTGTATTTATATCCCTCTGGGCCAAGCGAACGGCAAAAATTTCTAATGATCAATATACCTTCAGAAAACATTTGAGTGCCTACTATGTGCTAGGCTCGGGGTGAATATGGCAATGAACAAAATAAAATTCTTGCTTTTATGACATGTACATTCCCACGAGAGTGTTATCAGATGGTAGGAGAAAAGTGCTGTGAGGAAGAATAACACAGAGTATGAGAAGCCATGCAGGATTGCTGTTTAGGGAGGGTAGTCTCAGAGACCTTATCGAGTGTTGCTTTTTAAGCTGAGTCTGAAGTGAATACAGGGAGTGGGTCTTGGAATAACTGGACCATGCTGGTTATCTTTGGCTCTTAAAATAATTTTCTACCGAAAATCTACCAGGTACCTAGCACTATGTTGGATCAAAGATAAAATATGCATACCAAAATAACAGGACACAGAAAGCATTTTTATTTTGTGAAGTAAGCCACACAAACAAAAAGTTATTGACCACAAAGATGTAATGGCACCAGGTACCTAAGAGCAGTTCAAAGTGCTGACTGAAACTGTTACGGGAAATCAATTTAAGACATTTTCCTACTCCAGAATGCATCCCTCCAAAAAGCCTGCTTACATTTCTTAAAACCACCAGAGATATCCACTGTAAGCATCATACTTCTTAAAAGGAAATAATGAATTTACAAAAGTCCATGGGTCAGAGCATTTTGTAACCAATCTGAAGCTTATGGTTCAGTGTCTACAGTATATGGGGCAGAATTTAATCAGCAGAATCTGTCTTAACATGTAAAAAGAATGAGGTATGATACAGACATTTGAGTTTACATGGTAAGCAATACTTGAAAAAATTCTGTCAGCAGTTACCTTAACTCACACAGTGAGTTCTAACGATTCTCCAAAGATCCACAAAGGAACACAACTGTTCAACTTTTTGTAAATACCCTGAAGACAGAACTTTCCTTCCTTCAGTTCCAGCAGCAGCGAGCAGTACTGGCTTTTCTCTAACCCAGTAACACAGTGCTGAGGAAGGAGGTCATTCGCCTTCCACTCTAACCTTCGCCTTCAGCTCTAACCATCCAAATCTACGGAACTACAAATTCTACTCTACAGCTTCCGTCTTCCTCTTCTCTTTTCCTCTCACAGCTTACTCATAATCAAATGCTGATTCTGTATGCAGTATCTTTTTTTTTTAATTCAAGACTGGTGTCATTTCTTTTCTCTCTACCTCAGGGCCTACCTTCAAAGCCAACGTACCTTTGTGCCTCAGGCCCAAAGCAATGTTATGCATTTTCCTGTGTACAACTTCACATAATAAAGAACTAAGATTTACATATCACCAATACACAAGTATCTTAAAAATTAAATGAGCAACTATAGCTATTGTTTTAGCTTCAAAAGTAAAAATATAAATACAACTTCATAGGAATCACAATCACCATCTTAAGCAAGACAGGAGGTGAAAAGTGGCCTTTATATGAATGATGAGGTAAACAGAAAAATCTCTGAAACTATTTTGACCAGTACAGTCACTACTATATAGAATACTGAAAAAGTTATCTTGTAACTCTTGCTCATAAGGTACTTTGAAGAGAAAGAGGAAACAGGAAACCAAATACAGTATGAGGAGATAAATTAACTCCTTCTATTAAAGACGCATTTATTAACATTTAAGACAAGGAAACTGCAGCCTCGACCTCCCAGACTCAAGCGATCCTCTCACCTCAGCCTCCTGAATAGCTGGACCAGAGGCCACTATGCCTGGCTAATTTTTCTTTCTTTCTTTCTTTTTTTTTTTTTTTTTGAGATGGAGTCTCGCTCTGTCGCCCAGGCTGGTATGCAGTGTCACGTCTTGGCTCACTGCACCCTCTCTCCCGGGTTCAAGCAATTCTCCTGTCTCAGCCTCCCAAGTAGCTGGGACTACAGGCACACACCACCACGCCCGGTTAATTTTATATTTTTAGTAGAGACGGAGTTTCTCCATGTTGGTCAGGCTGGTCTCGAACTTCCAACCTTAGGTGATCCACCCGCCTGGACCTCCCAAAGTGTTGGGATTACAGGCGTGAGCCACTGCGCCCGGCCTAATTTTTGTATTTTTAGTAGAGACAGGGTTTCACCATATTGGTCAGGCTGGTCTCGAACTCCTGATCTCAGGTGATCCACCCACCTTGGGCTTCCCAAAGTGCTGGGATTACAGGTGTGAGCTACCGCGCCCAGCCACTTTTTCTATTTTATGTGTGATGGGGGTCTCACTATATTGCCCAGGCTGGTCTCCAACTCCTGGGCTCCTCACACCTTAGCAGAAATAATTTTTTAACGTATATTTTCTGTCTGCAGATAATTTAAATGAATTTATGTCTTAGGGAATTTAAATGAACAGTTAACTGTATAAACCCTATACAGGGCTAGAAAAAGTAATCTACTAAACTAGTATTATCTATTCTAAAACAGATTTGCCAAACCTCAGACTATTAGAATTATTTTACTTGAATATTATTGTTCTGAAGAATTAACACAGAAATATCAAAAATCATCTCACCTACTTCAAAAGTCTCTTAAAAATGGTTTAAAGACTCAAAAAAGTTTATATGGTATTTAAAAAGAGAAGGAAACAAAACTTTCATTTTAAAAACAGTAATTTAGGCTGGGCGCAGCAGCTCACACTTGTAATCCTAGCTCTTTGAGAGGCTGAGGCCGGCAGATTGCTTGAACTCAGGAATTTGAGACCAGCCTGGGCAATATAGTGAGACCCCCCATCTATACAAAAAATGCAAAAAAATTAGCCAGGTATGGTGGTGCACAGCTGTAGTCCCAGCTACTAGGGTTGCTGAGGTGGGATGATAGCTTGAACCTGGCAAGTGGAGGTTGCAGTGAGCAAAGATCGTACCACGGCACTCCAGCCTAGGCGACGAAGCAAAACTGTCTTAAAAAAATAATAATAATGAAAAACAAAGAAAAGTAATTTAGCTAATTGCAGATTGGTATATGGTGGTTATAAAATTCTTTCAACTCTTCTGTAGGACCGAAAAATTTCCTTATAGGTTGGGCATGGTGCCTTATGCCTGTAATCCCAGCACTTACGGGAGGCCAAGACAGGCAGATCACTTGAGCTCACAAGTTCGAGACCAGCCTGGGCAACATGGTGAAAGTCCGTCTCTACAAAAAAAACAAAAATCAGCTGGGCATGGTGGCATGGACCTCTAGTCTCAGCTACTAGGGATGCTGAGGTGGGAGGATGGCTTGAGCCCTGGAGGTGGAGGTACAGTCAGCAGAGATCATGCCGCTGCATTCCAGCCTGGGCAAACAGAGACAGACCCTGTCTCAAAAAAAGAAAAGAAAAGAAAAGAGAAAAGAAGAAAAGAGAAGAGAAGAGAAGAGAAAGAAGAGAAGAGAAGAGAAGAGAAGAGAAGAGAAGAGAAGAGAAGAGAAGAGAAAAGAAAAGAAAGATCATAATAAAAGACTGGAGGTCAGGCATAGGGACTCACACCTGTAATCCCAGCTCTTTGGGAGGCCAAGATGGGAGGATGGCTGAAGGCCAGGAGTTTCGTACCAGCCTGGGCAACATAGCAAGACTGTCTCTAAAAACAAACCAAAAAATCCACTGAAGAAAACCCCCAATAATTTACAGGTAAGTGTATTTTAACAATATTTGTAAATCAAATGATCCTATCGTTCTCAAGAGGAAAATTCCAAGATGATTTAATACTTTTAATACAATGATTAACAAAAAAGCTGTAAAACATTATACAATACGATTACAGGGTTGCAAAATATTCCCAAAATAAGGTTACAATTTTTTGCCATTCAGTGATGGTATAGGCTTAAGACTCATATAGATGATGATAATTATACTGCTGAAGGGTAACATGATCACTGCTTTTAAGTATTTCATTTACTGGTACTATTTCAGTGATAACTGCTGCTTTTCCTATCAGATAAACTCCAGAAACCTTATATCCAAACACTAGTGTCATCTAAAGAATGCTGAGTGAGAACATACTGAGATGACATTTATAACTCAATAGCAGCATCCTCTGCTCACAGTAATCAGCTTTAAAAATAGATACAACGGAACTGTTTTCCACAAAGCCTCACAGGAAGTCAATGAAGTACTGTTTAACTCTTATCATCGACTTAAGCTGTTAAAAAACAAAACAAAACAAAACAAAACAAAACGAAAACCATCACCTACAAAAGGAGTTCTCAGCCAATACATCTAAAAATAGCAATGGCCCTTTTTACTAAACACATATTAAGTGTATTTGATACTACATACTCATGGTCCTGCTTTTGAAATTCCCAAGTTACACAGTAACAGATTCCTACTAATCATCCAGAGCATTTCAAGCTAACTGTTTCACTGAATTCTAAAGCTAAAGGGGACACATCTAACTCACCAAGTAAATGGGAAGGCAGCAACCCACATGAGAGCCTCCAACACTCCCCTCATATTTCTATCAAATTAATCCTAAAACAGACTCAATCTCCTTACTCCCCCTACATGAAAATCTTTAATGACTTCTCAATTACCACTTAAAAAGTTCAAACTGCTGACCTGATACATGAAAGCACTCACAATGTAGTCCTAATTCACCTTTCTAATACCAGTCAATGTTCCACCAAACACTCTATCTACGCTTTCCAGGCTCTGTGCCTGTGGTATTGGTACTGCATCAACAATATATGCTTCTCTC
The DNA here is from genome assembly GCF_000001405.40 of Homo sapiens. Lineage (NCBI taxonomy): Eukaryota > Metazoa > Chordata > Mammalia > Primates > Hominidae > Homo > Homo sapiens. Next base: position 119,263,128 of record NC_000011.10, on the reverse strand, counting down.
CATCTCTAGCAGTTAACACTAAGAGTTTACTAGGGATTAGATGCTTTACTAAGCTAAATAAAGTGCATTTAATTCTCATAATGCTTTGAAATAGGAATTACTAACCGTATCTTACAAATGAGAAACAAAGACTTAGTGACATTAAATAATTTGCAAGGTCACAAAGCTAGTAAGGGGCAGCATAGGTCTATGAAATTCAAGAGCCAGGGCTCTTTGGTTATGACACATTTCCTTTCCAATGACTACGGTTACTAAATCCTGCCCATTCTTCAAAGTTCTCAAACACTGCCTCCTTGGGGAGGACTCTCCAGTCTATATTTAACGTCTACTCTCAGCTTCTGAACCCCCTACAGCAACTTGCTCATAGTTTTTCACAGGTTCCATCACGTTCTGCTTCATATTAATTGTCTTATTCCCCAATCTGGAAGACAACTCCTTAAGGGCAGAGGCAGGGAAAGTATCTCTTACACACTTTATCCCCTGCAACCCTGGTCACACTGGGCACATAACAGGCATTCAATACATTTGTAGAACTGAACTGGAAAATATTACCTACTTTTGACAAATTTTTAATTTCAGAATAATTCTACATCTACAGAAAAGTTATAAAGACCACGCAGGGAGTTCCCATAAAACCCAAATCCAGTTTCAGTTTCCCCTAATGTTACCATCTTATATTACTGTGGGACATTCTTCAAAACTAAGAAACCAACATCAGTATGGTAGTACTAACTGAATCCCAGGCTATATCCAGGCTTCACCAGTTTTTTCCACTAATGTTTTTATCTATTCCAGGATCCAATCAAGGATACCACTTTACATTTACTCACCCTATCTCCTTAGTCTCCTCTGGTCTGTAATCATTTCTTAGTCTTTCCTTGTTTTTCATGACAGTTCTGAGCGCTGTTCAAGTATTTTAAAGGATGTCTCTCAGTGTGTCTGTCTGTCTTTCTGATATTTTGACTGGAGTTACGAGTTTATGGAAAGAATAACAGAGGTGAAGTGCCCTTCTCAACACATCAAGTCATAATATCTACATGGTATCACTGAAAATGTTCAACTCGATCACTTAGTGTTTGCATGCCATGATTCTGCAGGTGAAGCTATTAGTGAAAAATATTTACTTCTCCACACCTTCTTTCTTATATCTTTTTTAAAAAAATCACTTATACAAGAGTCAATAATATTTTTAAATGACTCTAATACATTCTCATTAAAGCACAAATATTTTACATTAGTATCTTTAGTTTTCAGTGTGGTTAGAAAAAAACAAAAATGGTTCAAAACAATCATTGTGAACATTTAGCAAGTGTTCACTAGCTATGTTACTTCACGGTCCTGTTTAATCAGATTTCTCTGTATTTCAAAATAACTTTTGAGTTCACTTAACCCGAGCTCTGAAAGACAACTTTAATAAGTAGAATTACATGCACTGGAGCATTTGCCCACAATTGAAAGCATATTAACCCTCAGTACTGGTTACTACTTCTCTACACCAGTTCCTTAAAGACATATACAAACATATCAGTAAGATAATGCTGAAATCTTTAAAACTTCTCATACCCTCTCCCTCAACAAATGACAACCACCACCAAGCACCTTTTAGAAAGCTAATGCAATCAACTTAAAATATACAGATACAAATTATACTGAGACAGCACTAATAGAATCTAATCAAATATGTAGAAAGTCTATATCTAGTTACCATTAATTATTTAACTCCTGAGTATGTAACTTAGACATCGATTTCCATTTAAACATAGCATTTCCCTGAACAAATAAACAGAGTAGCTAATACTAAGCTTTGCAAAACTTGAGAAAGAACATGGAATGTTCTCTGTCCGAATATAAGACTATTAAAAGGGACAAAAACTAGAGAAATCTTCAATAAATGTTCCATGGAAAAGAATCTAGAGGCCAGGCGCGGTGGCTCACGCCTGTAATCCTAGCACTTTGGGAGGCCAAGGCAGACGGCTCACCTGAGGTCAGGAGTTCGAGACCAGCCTGGCCAACATGGCAAAACCCCATCTCTACTAAAAATACAAAAAATTAGCCAGGCGTGGTGGCGCACACCTGTAATCCCAGCTACTCGGATAGCTGAGGCATCAGAATCGCTTGAACCTGGGAAGCAGAGGTTGTAGTGTCCAGCCTGGAGACTTTGCCTCCATTAAAAAAAAAAAAAAAAAAAAGTAGAGATTTAACTGCCAAAGTGAAAGAAAATACAAATGCAGTGCAGTGGGGAGTCATTAAGGATCTGGGACTGGGGAGTGATATCTGATCATTTTAAGACCGAAAATGATAGCAATGTAGAAGGTGAATGAAAGAAGAAACTGCGAAAGCAGAGAGATCAATCAGCATAGTAGTGCAGTAGAAAAGTAATGGGAGCCTGAGATAGAAAAGTAACAGGGGCAGTAAAATAAAGACAGATTTGAGACAGACTGCAGCAGTAAAATCAAGAGTATGACTGAGTAAGAGAGGAGATAAACCTAGGGTATTACCAATAATATATTGGTAATAATGTAAAAGCTAATGTTTTTTAAGGGCTTACTAAGTACCAGGCACTTTACGTATTTTGTTATTTAACTAATTCTCACTTACAATCCCATCAGATTCCAATATTATCCCCATTTTACAGATGAGACAATTTAGGCATAAAGAAGCTGAGCCGACCAGCCTGGTCAACATGGTAAAACCCCATCTCTACTAAAAATACAAAAATTAGCCAGGCGTGATGGCACGTGCCTGTAGTCGCAGCTACTCGGGAGGCTGAGGCAGGAGAATTGATTGAACCCAGGAGGTGGAGGTTGCAGTGAGCCGAGATTGCACCACTAAATCCAGTCTGAACGACAGAGTGACACTCCATCTCAAAAAAAAAGAAAAGAAAAGAAAAAGAAAAAAAAAAAAAGAAGCTAAGCCAATAATCAATCCATGCTCATCATCACTACTCACTACATTATACAGTACTAACTCAGTAACGGGACATGAAAGAGGAAGTTGGTTTGCTGATGAAGAGGATACATTCAGTGTTCAGGTATTTTGAGTGTGGGAAGATACTAACATGAGTATAACTAGCAGGTAGCTTGGGAAAACAGATTTGTGAATAATCTGTGTAAGATTGTTGGCATCTCTGGGAATGGAACGGTCCATTTGCTAGTGCCCTTGTACAAGATAATCAAGCTGAAACTGAGTTTCCCCCTTTGAGAAGAGTGTGGAGGTAAGTGAGATAGAATCGGAAGGATACAAAAGAACAATATTACAGGTTTCTCCTACAAAAGGCAGAATAAATCCATGTGACAGGTATTTGGAAATACAATCCATGTCCCAAATGAGCTATATTTATAAGAAAACGATGCCAATTTTTTAGTTGTTCTCACCTAAGGCAGAAACTAATGCCATCTCTTTGAGACCCAATCTTTGTTTCTCAGTATCTTTTATATAAGCTTGATGAAAACACATTTAGTATCTTAGCACCTCAAAAATTATCAATTTTGGGGAGTTCTAACACCCATCCAGTGGTATCTATCATAATTCTCCCACCAGAAATATTTATATTTATATGGAACTTGAACATTAGAGCCCCTATGCAAAAGTAAATAGTATTTACTGTGTTTACTAAATTCACATAAATTTAGTAAATACTGTTTACTTTTGCATAGTGGCTCTAATATATAAGTAAATACACAAAATTTCAGTATTGTCAAATAAGCAGAGGTATATTCAATAAATGGGGAAAAACATAAGAATAAACAATACATGGGAGAAAAAAATCACAAATGTATCTTAAGCAGAATACAAGAAACTTAAAGCCACATAAGACTACCAACTTACCCAGGCACAGCAATTAGGCAAGAGAAAGAAAGGGCACCCAAATTGGAAGAGGAAGTCAAGCTATCTCTGTTTTGCCAATAATATCATCACATACCTAAAAAAAACCCCGAAGACTCCTCCAAAAGACAACTAGATTTGATAAGTGAATTCAGTTAAGTCTCAGGTTACGAAATCAACGTATACAAGTCAGCAGCACTGCTACACATCAACAATGACCAACCTGAGAATCAAATCAAGAACTCAATCCCTTTTACAATAGCTGAAAGAAAACAACACATAAAAACCTAGGAATATATTTAACCAAGGAGATGAAAGATCTCTACAAGGAGAATGACAAAACACTGCTGAAAGAAATCACAGAATACACAAACAAATGGAAACACATCTCGTGCTCAGGGACTGGAAGAATCAGTATCGTGAAAATGACCATACTGCCCAAAGCAATCGATAGATTCAATGCAATTCTTAACAAAATACCCACATCATTTTTTAAAGAATTAAAAGCAACAATCCTAAAATTCATACGGAACCAAAAAAGAGCCTGAAAAGCCAAAGCAATCCTAAACAGAAATAACAAATCTAAAGGCATGACATTACCCAACATCAAATTATACTATTAAGGCTATAGTAACCAAAACAGTATGGTACAGGTATAAAGAAAGATACATAGATCAATTGAATGGTTTGGATCTGTCCCCACCTAAATCTCATGTTGAAATGTAATCCCCCAGTGCTGGAGATGGCGCCTGGTGGGAGGTGACTGGATCATGAGGGCAGAGTTCTCATGAATGGTTTAGCACTATCCCCTCTTGGTACTATACAGTGATAGAGTTCTCAGGAGATCTGGTCCTTTGAAAGTGTGTAGCACCTCCTCCCTCATTCTTCCTCCTGCTCGGGCCATGGTGCCTGCTCTGCCTTCACCTTCCACCATGACTGTCAGTTTCCTGAGGCGTCCCCAGAAGCAGAAGCCACTATGCTTCCTGTACTGCCTGTAGAACCATGAGCCACTTAAATCTCTTTCTTTAAAAATTACAGTCTCAAGTCTTTTTGTTTTTTGTTTTGTTTTGTTTTTTTGAGACGTAGTCTCACTTGTCGCCCAGGCTGGAGTGCAATGGTGCAATCTCGGCTCACTGCAACCTCCGCCTCCCAGGTTCAAGCGATTCTCCTGCCTCAGCCTCCCGAGTAGCTGGGATTACAAGCGTGCACAACCACACCTGGCTAATTTTTCATATTTTTGGTAGACAGGGGGTTTCACCATTTTGGCCAGGGTGGTCTCGAACTCCTGACCTCAAGTGACCCGCCTGCCTCAGCCTCCAAAAGTGCTGAGATTACAGGCATGAGCCACAGCACCCGGCCACAAGTATTTTTTTATGGCAGTACAAGAATGGACTAATACACCAATGGAACAGAATAGAGAAACCAGAAATAAAGCCAAATACTTAAAACCAACTGATCTTTGACAAAGCATACAAAAACATGAATTAGGGAAAGGACACACCCTATTTAATAAATGGTGCTGGGAAAACTGCATAGCCACATGTAGAAGAATGAAAATGAATCCCTATCTTTCACCACATAGAAAAATCAACTCAAGATGTATTAAAGACTTAAATCTAAGACCTGAAACCACAAAAATTCTAGAAGAAAACCTAGGAAAAACTCTTCTGGACATTGACCTAGGCAAAGAATTTATAACTAAAACCCCAAAAGCAAATGCAACAAAAACAAAAATAAATGGAACCCACAGAATGGGAGAAAATACATGCAAGCAATGCATCCAACAAAGGTCTAATATCCAGAATCTATGAGGAACTCAAATCAGCAAGGAAAACAACAACAACAAATAATCCCATCAAAAAGTGGGCAAACAACATAAATAGGCATTTCTCTAAAGAAGATATACAAGTGGCCACAAACAAATGAAAAAATAATCAACGTCACTAATCATCATGGAAATACAAATTAAAACCACAATGAGATACCACCTTACCCCAGCCAGAGTGGCCATTATTTAAAAAATCAAAAGAACAATAGATGCTGATGTGTACATAGTGAAAGGGAATGCTTCATTTAGTTATTTGTTCATTTGAATAGGGAATGCTTATACACTGCTGGTGGTGAAGTAAATTAGCACAACCTCTGTGGAAAATAGTATGAAGATTTCTCAAAGAACTAAATGTAGGTCTGCCAATTCAATCCAGCAAGCCCACCACTGGGTATCTACCTAAAGGAAAATAAGTCACTGTATGAAAAGGACCTGCACGTATATGTTAATCACAGCACAATGCACAACTGTAAGATATGGAACCAACCTAAGTGCCTGCCAACCAATGAGTGGATAAAGAAAATGTGATACATTAATATATACACCATGGAATACTGCTCAGCCATAGAAAAAAATGAAATAATGTCTTTTCCAGCAACTTGGACGGAGCTGGAGGCCATTATTCTAAGTGAAGTAACTCAGGAATGGAAAACAAAATATCACAGGTTCTCATTTATAAGTAGGAGCTAAGCTCTGGGTACATAAAGGCATACAGATTGGTATAATGGACTTTAGAGACTCAGAAGCGGGGAGGTGGGAGGGCAGGGAGGGATTAAAAAAAAAAAAAAACAAACTACATACTGGGTACAATGTACACTACTCGGGTAATGGGTGCACCAAAATCTCAGACTTCACTATATAATTCATTCATATAATCAAAACCCACCTGTATCCCTAAAGTTACTGAAATTTTTAAAAAGAAAAATCTAAAAAAAAGAGCATCAACTTAAATCTATCATGATAAATCAGTAAAAATCTTCAAAATGTACAAATATGGTCAGGCATGGTGGCTCACACCTATAATCCCAGCACTCTGGGAGTCCAAGGTGGGTGGATCACCTGAGGTCAGGAGTTCAAGACTAGCCTGGCCAACATGATGAAACTCTATCTCTACTGAGAAAAACAAAAATTAGCTGGGCGTAGCGGCGGATGCCTGTAATCCCAGCTACTCGGGAGGCTGGGATTACTCCCAGGAGGCGGAGGTTGCAGTGAGTCGAGATCGCACCACTGCACTCCAACCTGGGCGACAGAGCGAGACTCCATCTTTAAAAAAAAAAAAAAAAGAATGTACAAATACTATCAAGTAGAATGGAGGCTTAACATATAGACGTTACTGCAACAACAAAATGCAATGGATTCTATTTCAATAACGTTCATTAATTTATTCACTCCATAAATACTGAATGCCTACTAGATGGCAGGCATTATTTTTAAATGTATCGGCCAGGTGCAGTGGCTCATGCCTGTAATCCCAGCACTGTGCAAGGCCAAGGCAGGAGGACTGCTTGAGACCAGGAGTTCAAGACCAGCCTGGGCAACACAGTAAAACCCTGCCTCTACTTTTTTTTTTTTTAAAGTATAAATTAAGGGGAAATGGGCCATTTTAAACCCTGAATAAAACAATAACCATTAAATAGAATAGGTATCAAAATCCATTCTCCATCATTCATATATAGACATACATTCATTTGTGCATAAGCACAAACATTAAGCTGTGATATATTATAGAATTTTGCTAAATGTACCCTGCAAAAGCAAACTCTTTTACAAACTGTTCACAAATACAGGAAGATAAATAACTCATTTTGATTACTTCCGTAATGAGACAAAGACCATGAAAAAATTTATATGTACTAGCTTGACTTACCAATATAGATGGAAAAAGTCCTAAATGATTACTAGAATCCAGAGAAATAGTAAAATATGTATTTTTATATAATTATAAATATATAATTACAGACTAGAATTTATGCAAGGATGGTTTAACTTTGCAAATTTATGAACAATTCACTGCAGTAACATAATACAGGGAAAAAACATATAATCATCTCACAGTGCCAACAGCTTTTTATCTCCATCTTAGTCGAGTTGTTACCTTAGTCCAAGCCATCATGATCTCACCTGGATTACCAAATTTGGCCAACTGATCTTTTTGTTCTTTCTGGATTGCTTAGCAAAGAGCTAATGAGGATCTGGGGCTCCTGGCTCCTCCCTCCCTCTGGCCAGGAGTTTCTCCAAAGCACCTTCCCGAAGCTCCACACAGTCTCTAGGTACCAGGGCACTAGTTGTCAGCAACTCCTGTAAAGTCAGTACCCAAACTCACGCTTTTTAACTTCACTTATCACGCTCAATCCCATAAAGAAGGTTAGGGGAAGGCAGGCAGAATTCTTTCATGGAGCCCAGTCTCATGGTACATCCACCTATGCCCCAATCCAAGCACGCCACTCCACAGGACACCAAGAGAATAGGAGAACTGTGTACCTGCTCCTACTTCTACCCATGAATTCCAGTCTAAATGATGTCACTGATGCTCACCATGAATCTACTGAGAACAAGTTCTCAAAAAATACTCGCAGCCAGACGTGGTGGCTCACACCTGTAATCCCAGCACTTTGGGAGGCTGAGGTGGGAGGATCACCTGAGGTCAGGAGTTTCAGACCAGCCTGGCCAACATGGCAAAACCCCGTCTCTACTAAAAATACAAAAATTAGCTGGGCGTGGTGGTGCACACCTGTAATCCCAGCTACTCAGGAGTCTGAGGCAGGAGAATTGCTTGAACCTGGGAGGCGGAGGCTGCCGTGAGCCAAGATGGCACCACTGCATTCCAGCCTGGGCGACAGGACGAGACTCTGTCTCAAAAAAAAAAAAGATAAAAAAAGATTATAATACCACATTTTTACTGCACCTTTTCTATGTTTACATGTTAAAATACATACTTACCATTGTGTTACAACTGTCTACAGTACTCAGTACAGTAACATGCTGTACAGGTTGGTAGCCTATGAGCAATAAGCTCTACCGTATAGCCTAGGTGTGTGGGCGGCTGTATCATCTAGGTTTCTGTAAGTACACTCTATGACGTTCACACAACAACTAAATCAGGCAGCAATACATTTCTCAAAATGCATCCTGTCGTTAGCAATACATGGTTGCACTTACATAAAAGAAAATTTCAATGGACTTTAAATTGTGACATTTCTTTTTTAAATATTGTGGTAAAATATACTTACCAAAATTTACTATTTTAAGCATTTTTAAGTGTATAATTCAGTGAACATGACTTTTCTTTTTTATAGAGACGAGGTCTTGCTATTACACAGGCTAGTCTCAAACTCCTGGCCTCAAGTGATCCTCTTGCCTCGATCTCCAAAAGTGCTAGAATTACAGGTGTGAGGCACCAAGACCAGCTGACTTTTGATAACACTTTCCCCTTTCTATAATTTTTCATCAATCAGTGTATGTCCTTTTTTTTTTTTTTTTTTTTTTTGAGTCAAGGTCTCACTCTGTTGACTAGGTTGTACTCAAACTCCTGGCCTCAAGTGATCTCACCTCAGTCTCCAAAAGTGCTGGGATTACTTACAAACGTGAGCCAACAAGACTGGCTGATGATATTTTTGTTTTTGTTTTTGTTTTTGTTTTTAGATGGGGTCTCACTGTGTTGCCCAGGCTAGACTCCAGTGGCATGATCACAGCTCACTGCAGCCTAAACCTCCCACACTCAAGCATCTTCCCAAATCAGCCTCCAGAACAGCTTAGACCACAGGTATGCGCCACCACACCCAGATAATTTTATTATTATTATTATTATTAAGACAGAGTTTAACTCCTGTTGCCCAGGCTGGAGTGCAATGGTACGATCTTGGTTCACTGCAACTTCCACCTCCCAGGTTCAAGCAATTCTCCTGCCTCAGCCTCCCGAGTAGGTGAGATTACAGGTGTGAGCCACATCGTCCAGCCTGGGTGACTTTTATTAACACTTTCTCCTTTACATAATTTTTCATCAATGACTTTTTTTTTTTTTTTTTGAGATGAGGTCTTGCTATATTGAGCAGGCTGGATCGAACTCCTGGGCTCAAGTGATCCTCCCATCTCAGCCTCCTGAATAGCTGGGACTACAGGCATATGCCACGGTGCATGGCTCTAATTTTCTTTTAATCAAATACCATGTCCTGTTTTCTGTGAACCAGGCATTATTCTAAGTACTTTGTAACAATCTTATGAGAATACTTAAAAAAATTTTTTTTTCAAATGACAAATAATTGTCTATATTCATGGGGTACAATGTGATGTTTTGATAACGTTTATACTTTGAAATGATTAAACTATGAGAACACTTGAAATGAGAAATCTGAGTTTTTAAAAGCAACTTGTTTCCAGCTCCATGATATGTGCATGTAACCTTATTCTACACTGCCTTCATCTCACTGCTAAACACTTTGTATCTACTGACACGTAAGTGTGCCAACTGGTAAAATGACTAAGAAACTATGCTACCAACAATATGTTAATCATTTAGGATCTGCAAGGAAGATAATTTATAAAACCTCAACCTAGTGATTTTATTTTTTTTTAATCTTTTTTTTTTTTTTTTCTTGAGATGGAGTTTCACTTTTACTGCCCAGGCTAGAGTGTAATGGCATGACCTCGGCTGACTGCAACCTCCGCCTCTTGTGTTGAAGCAATTCTCCTGCCCTCAGCCCTCCCAAGTAGCTGAGATTACAGGCGCCTACCACCACGCCCAGCTAAGTTTTTTTGTTTGTTTGTTTGTTTGTTTGTATTTTTGGTAGAGATGGGGTTTCACCATGTTGGCCAGGCTGGTCTCGAACTCCTGACCTCAGGTGATCCACCCGCCTCGGCCTCCCAAAGTGCTGGGATTATAGGCGTGAGCCACCGCACCTGGCCTCAATCTAGTGATTTTAAGAGTATCTAATATTTAGTCATACATAGGCCTAAAAAGCCCTGCACAATGGTTGATGTCAATAGCACTTAGATTGCTATTTAACAGAAAGCACAATGGAAGATTTTCTTTCCCTAAGTGGCTTTTTAATCATACTCAATGAAGTAAAAGAACAGGAGGAAAGGAATCACTATTATCTGGTTCAACTTTAGAAAGAAAATATTCAACTGATTATTTTAAATGTAAATACCCTGAAAAAAATACCATAAATATAAGGAAACAAGTTAAGAAACACTAAATCTAAATACTTAACTTGGATTTCAACCACCTAGATATATTAGACACTAGACTGGATGAGTGTTCTGCATGTAAATGGAGTAGGGGGAGGGTTTATGGAAAGAGAGAAAAGAAAAATGTTAACAAAAGGTTTTTTTTTTTTTCCATTTCTGTAACAAATTTAACACACAGGATTTAAGCTTTCTGAAGAAAATGTATTATTAAATTCAAATCACAACAAATAAGAGTAAAAAAAACTAAGCTGCCAGGATTGAAGTTTACAATGCTGCTAACATTTTCACACTACTAGGTATCTCTAGCAGGCATTTGTTGGCTTTGTATACTAAAGCCTGGCAGGAAAGACGTTCTTGTAGCCAGTTTTGGGGCTTGTTCTTTAAGATGTCCTAATTTAAATGCAGTTGTAGACTTCACAAGTATTATGGTTTTAGAGCAAGTCTTGGTTGGCAATATTAGAGTAAAGTGATTGGAAAAAGCTTCTGCACTTTCTACTTGACATTCACAGCCTACTTCTCTATAATACCGTAGTTTTACAAAAGTTATCACTGATTCTTGGGGGTGGGTGCAGGAGGGTTTCTTTGTAATTCCTCTCTCTGCATCATCTAGCCTATGTTCCATTAGAAATTTCAGGAGTGAAACTCTCGTTATGTGAACATATAATCCTGCTGTAAATCACACTACTGAATATTTTTGTGTCCAAAAGGCATGGTTATTAGGTTATTAAGACATGTGTAACTTCTCTTAAATTTATGTAGTTTACTACTTTATATGATGTTTGAAGTATGGCCTCCAAAGAATCACTTCTGTAATATGAAATGAAACAGTCACCATTCCTTTACATTCAAACAAAACAGAACTGCTCATTAACATTTTGAAAACCTTGGGTAAAGGCAGACTTATCTTATCTTTTTTTTGGGTTGAACCATTGTGTGTTTCTAAGGAAGAGAGGCTGGTAAACGTATGTTAATCTAACTCTCTGAGCCTCGGTGTCCACAACTCTAAAGAGAAAAATACTGTCCTTACATAAAGGCAAAGGCCAGGTTATTTAGCTCCACAATGAATACAGAATACCTGACACAGAGAAAGTGCTCAACTAACGTGTATAGTGAGGTAGGGAGTAAGGGAAGAAGGATAGGTTGAGTTTTGAATATATCAGGCACACAGCAAGCACATGATAAATATTAATTGCACCAGAATTTGGAAGTACCCCAAATTAAATTTTAGACTGGGACAACTTCTTTCATCCAAGATGGAACTACAAGGACTGGATTTACTCTCTCACCTGAAAGAACTAAAAAAATTAGACAAAATATTTAAAATATTTTTTTATTTTTGAGACAGAGTCTTGCTCTGTTACCCAGGCTGTAGTGCAGTGGTGTGATCTTGGCTACCTGTAACCTTTGCCTCCCAAGTTCAAGTGATACTCCTGCCTCAGCCCCTTGAGTAGCTGGAATTACAGGCGCGCACCTCCACACCCGGCTAATTTTTGTATTTTTAGTAGAGACGGGGTTTTACCATGTTGGCCAGGCTGGTCTCAAAGTCCTGGCCTCAAGGAATACACCCACCTCCAGCCTCTGAAAGTGCTGAGATTACAGACATGAGCTGGTGCACCTGAAATAATTTTCACAAACTGGACACCAGGCAATAGCGGACAGGGACCCCCTGAAAAAGGAAAACAAATAAGGCAAGCCCTGTGATTGATCTAACTTACTGCCTGGAGAGTTTTCATGTCTCAGCACTAGAAAGGGAATTCAGGCAGACTTGACGGTCACTCTGGGTTGAGAAGACAGAATTTGGGGCCTGGGAAAGCCAAGGCATCTGGAGTTCACAGTGCAAAATACAAGAGAGGAGAGAGATGCATAAAGAAAGCCCAGCTTTGAAGAGCTACAGAGGGGACCTTCTAAGTCTTCAGCTAAGCACTGATCAACACAGGAAAATACCTGAAGCTAGGGAAAGAACCACCTGAAAGGGGTAGAGGGAATAATCCCTAGATCTCACACAAGGACAAGAGAGGAAAAAAATCTTACAATTCAATGGACATCAGGGGAAATTTACCCTAGATTAAAGGTCATTTTGGTCCTGCCTCACAAGGTTTAAAAGGATCAAACTATTCCATGTAACATAGCTGTGTCCCAGAACACAGCTTAGGAGTATTTATAATATAAAAGAATCCAGTGTAGAACAAGGTAAGATTAACGATGTCTGGCATCCACTCAAAAATTGCCCAGCATGGACTGAAACAGAAAAATATGACTCTTACTGAGGATAAAAATAAACCAATAGAATTAAATCTATGAGTGACAAAGATGACAGAATTAGCAGACAAAAGCCAGGCACAGTGGCTCACATCTAAAATCCCAGCACTCTAGGAAGCTGAGTAAGGTAGGAGGATCACTTGAGCCCAGGAGTTTGAGACCAGCCTGGGCAACATAATGAGGCTGTATCTGTACAAAAAAATAAGTTAGTCTGTATGGTAGTGTGTGCCTGTATTCTCAGCAACTTGGGAAGCTTAGGTGGGAGGATCGATACTTGAGCCCAGGAGGCTGAGACTGCAGTGAGTCATGATCATACCACCTGGGAGATAAAGGGAGACCCTGTCTCAATTAAAAAAAAAAAAAGAAAGAAAGAAAGAAACTGTACCAAAATAATAGCAATATTAGTCACTTTCCTTTCCCTTTTGTTATTTGATTTCAATTCTCTATAATGTGCCCACAGCATTTTTTTTTTTTTTTTGAGACCGAGTCTCACTCTGTCACCCACGCTGGAGTGCAGTGGCGTCTCACCTCACTGCGAACCCTGCTTCCTGGGTTCAAGCGGTTCTCCTGCCTCAGCCTCCCAACTAGCTGGGATTACAGGCGTGTGCCACCATGCCCAGCTAATTTTTGTATTTCAGTAGAGATGGGGTTTTTCCATGTTGGCCAGGCTGGTCTCAAACTCCTGACTTCAAGTGTTCTGCCCTGCTTGGCCTCCCAAAGTGCTGGGATTACAGGCATGAACCTCCACGCCCAGTCGAAAATTTCATTTTTTATGAGTGAATAATATTCCACCATATGGCTATAACACATTTGCTTCACCCACTCATCTGCTGAACACTTGAACTGCTTCTACTTTTTGGCTGTTGTGAAAACTGCTGCTATGAACATGGGTGTACAAATATCTGTTCAAGTCCTTGCTTTCAATTCTTTGGGGTATGTACCTAGAAGAACTGCTAGATCCTATGGTAATTCTATGTTCAGCTTTCTAAAGAACTGCCAAACTGTTTCCCACAGTGGCTGTACCATTTTCTATTCCTATCACCAATGCATGAGGGTTTTATTCTTAAAATAATATCCACCTAACAGCTGTGAAGTGGTATCTCATTGTGGTTTTGATTTGCATTTCCTTAATGATTTAATGATGTTGAGCATCCTTTCATGAGCTTATTGGACAGCTGTATATCTTCTCTGAAGAAAAATCTATTCAAAACTTTTGAGCATTTTTGAATTGGTTTGTTTTGTTGTTGTTTTGAAGTTCTTTACATGTTCTGGATGTTGATCCCTTATCAAATATATAACTTGTAAATATTTTGACCCATTCTGTGTGCTGCCTTTTCACTTCCTTAATATGTCCTTTGATGAACAAAGTTCTTAATTTTCATGAAGTCTGATTTATCTATCTTTATGCTTTTGGTGTCATACTTAAGAAATCATTGCCTAATCCAAGATTCATGAAGATTTTCACTTATGTTTCTTCTACAAATTTTGTATTTTAGTTCTTAAATTTAGGTCTTTGATACATTTTGAGAGTTGTTTGTTTTCATTTTTTTGGCCCATCCTTCTGCAGGATTTTTATATGCAACATAAGGAAAGGATCCAACTTCATTCTTTTGAATGTGATAATTTAGTTTTCCCAGCACCATTTGTTGAAAAGACTGTTGTTTCTCCATTGAGAAGCTTGTCAAAAAAGTATCGATTGACCATATGTATGAGGGTTTATTTCTGGGCTCTCAATTCTAGTCTACTGGTCTGTATGTCTATCCTTATACCAGTACCACAATGTTTTGATTATTGCAGCTTTGCAGTAAAGCTTTGAAATCAGAAATACAAGTCTTCCAACTTTATTCTTGTTCAAGATTGTTTTGGCTATTTGAGGTCCCTTAAGATTTTTTATGACTTTTAAAATCCACTAGTCAGCTTCTGAAAAAAGTGCTACTGGAATTTTGATAGGTATTGCAATGACTGTGTATCAACATGGGGAATACTGCAACCTTAACAATTCTAAGTTATAATCCATGAACACAGAATGTCTCTCCATTTATTTAGGTCTTCTTTAGTTTCTTTCAGCAATGTTTTGTAGTTTCCAGTGTACAAGTCTTTTGCCTCCTTAATTTTATTCCTAAGTATTTTATTATTTTTGATACTACTGCAAATGGAATTTTCTTAATTTTATTTTTGGATTGTTCATTCCTTATGTATAAAACTATAATTTTTATTTGAGACGGACCCTTGCTCTGTCACCCAAGTTGAAGTGCAGTGGCATGATCTCGACTCACTGCAACCCCTGCCTGCCGGGTTTCAAGCAATTCTCCTGCCTTAGCCTCCCAAATAGCTGGGATTACAGGCCCCCATCACCACACCCAGCTAATTTTTGTATTTTTAGTAGAGACAGGGTTTCACCATGTTGGCCAGGCTAGTCTTGAACTCTTGACCTCAAGCAATCCGTCTGCCTCGGCCTCCCATAGTGCTGGGATCACAGGCGTGAGCCACCACACCCGGCAAATGATTTCTGTATATTGATCTTGTGTCCTGCAACTTTGCAGAACTCATTTATTGGCTTTAGTGTTTTCTTAATGGATTCTTTAGAATTTTCTACATACAGAATTATGTCACATGCAAATGGAAATGGCTCTTTTTCCTATCTTTTCTTAGAAGTTGCAGCAGAGCAATTAGGCTTCTTTTCTTTTCCTTGCCTAATTGCTCTGGCTGGAACGTCTAGTACCACGTTGATGAGATGTGGCAAAAGTAGGCTATCTTGTCTGCTTCATGATCTTAAAGGGAAGGCTTTCAGTCTTTCACCATCAAGTTATTAACTGTGTTTTCATGTACGGTATGGAACATCATTTTTACTTGAAAGAATGATGAATAGACTAACTATGGCTATTCAGACTTGCATAACTGGCAGAGTGTTTCTCCAAAATGAAGTGCCCTGTCACCTGATGATAAACTGGCAGTTTTCATTGTCAATAATGAAACTCAAGCTTTTAAGCAAAATTTCATTTTTCAAACTTCTATCCACAACCATCAGCAACAGCTTCCCAATACCAAACTTTTCTAATGAGATTTAATTAATGAATTTAATGTTTTGATATATATCAATATATGGAAAAATCTCTATAACCTAGTCAATCAATATTTTCCAAGTGACCAATGTGTGTTACGAAATCATGCACAAGTAAAACAATCATTCCAATTACAAGATAGCATGAATCTTAAAGTACAAAATGTTAATTGAAGCAGTTGCACACTGCAACTAACCTTTTAAGAAACTAATACTCGCCTGGGCGCACTGGCTCACACCTGTAATCCCAACACTTTGGGAGGCCGAAGTGGGTGGATCACTTGAGGTCAGGAGTTCAAGACCAGCCTGGCCAACATGGTGAAACCTCATCTCTACTAAAAATACAAAAATTAGCCAGGTGTGGTGGCACACGTCTGTAGTCCCAGCTACTCGGGAGGCTGAGGCAGGAGAATTGCTTGAACCCAGGAGGCGGAGGTTGCGGTGAGCTGAGATTGTGCCATTGCACTCCAGCCTGGGCAACAGAGCAAGACTCCCATCTCAAAAGAAAAAAGAAACTAACACTCGTTCAGTTTTGGTAAAGTATGAATACCCCTCCCCCTTTCCAACTACATATTTGTGGGTAGCTGAATTTTCTCCATAAACTTCAACCAAAATATCACACTGTAACACACTGAATGCAGCAGATATGAAACTCCAGCTGTATTCTCTTAAACTATGTATTAAAAAGATTTGTAAGGCCGGGCGCGGTGGTTCGCACCTGTAATCCCAGCACTTTGGGAGGCCGAGGCAGGCGGATCACGAGGTCAAGAGATCAAGACTATCCTGGCCAACATAGTGAAACCCTGTCTCTACTACAAGTACAAAAATTAGCTGGGCATGGTGGCGCGCGCCTGTAGTCCCAGCTACTTGGGAGACTGAGGCAGAAGAATTCCTTGAACCCAGGAGGCAGAGGCTGCAGTGAGCTGAGATCGCGCCGCTGCACTCCAGCCTGGTGACAAAGAGAGATTCCATCTCCTCAAAAAAAAAAAAAAAAAAAAAAAAAAAAAAAAAAGATTTGCAAAGAATGCGTCTGTCTTAGTTTGCTTGGGCTGCTATTAACAAAATACCAAAGACTAGTTAATTTATAACAACAGAAATTCCAGCCCGGGCAACATAGTGAGATCCCATCTCCACAAAAAAATTTAAAAATTAGCCAGGCATGGTGACACAGACCTATAGTCCCAGTTATGAAGAAGGTTGAGCAAAACCTTGTCTCTATTTCTTTTTTGTTTGTTTTTTGAGACGGAGTTTTGCTCTTGGCACCCAGGCTGGAGCGCAATGGCACAATCTCAGCTCACTGCAACCTCCACCTCCCAGGTTCAAGTGATTCTCCTGCCTCAGCCTCCCGAGTAGCTGGGATTACAGGTACCCACCACCATGCCCGGGTAATTTTTGTATTTTTAGTAGAGATGGGGTTTCACCATGTTGGCCAGGCTGGTCTCGAACTCCTGACCTCAAGTGATCCACCTGCCTCGGTCTCCCAAAGTGCTGGGATTACAGGCATGAGCCACTGCACCTGGTCCATTAAAACTTTTTATGTTAACATGTAATAGGCTTATTATTGTTAAGTGTTTAAAGGTTAAAAACCTAAATATTTTTAAATCTCTCGGTTTTAATATCAAATATGGTAAATGTTGATCGATATGACCCATATATACAAAAGCTCTTTGAGGTCCTCAAAAAATTTTTAGAATGTAAAGGGGTCCTCAAACCAAAAGGCTGAGAGAAAAACTGCATTAATAAAAAAAAGCTCTAGACAAGCAGGTAGATATCTGGTTTAAAAAAAAAAAAAAAACTGGTCGGGCAAGGTGGCTCACACCTGTAATCCCAGCACTTTCGGAGTCCAAGGTGGGAGAATCACTTGAGGCCAGGCATTCAAGACCAGCCTGGGCAACAAAGTGGGACCCCATCTCTACAAAAGATTAAAAAACTGCCCAGGCATGGTGGTGTGTGCCTGTAGTCCCAGCTACTTGGGGTGTGTGCCTGTAGTCCCAGCTACTTGGGAGGCTGAAGCAGGTAAATTGATGATCCTGGAAGAGGCAGCAGTAAGCTATGATTGTGTCACTGGACTCCAGTCTTGTGTGACAAAGCAAGACCCTGTCTCACAAAAATAAACAGGCCAACCATGCTGGCTCACACCTATAATCCCAGCACTATGGTAAGGTAAGGTGGGGCGGATTGCTTGAACTCAGGAGTTCAAGACCAGCCTAGGCAATATGGCAAAATCCCGTCTCTACAAAAAATACAAAAATTCAGCTACTCGGGAGGTTGAGACAGGAGAATGGCATGAACCCGGGAGGCGGAGCTTGCAGTGAGCCGAGATCACGCCACTGCACTCCAGGCTGGGCGACAGAGCGAGACTCCGTCTCAAAAAAAAAAAAAAAAAATTAGCCGGGCATGGTAGCATGCACCTGTTCCAGCTACTCAGGAGGCTGAGGTGGGAGAATCACATGAGCCCTGGAGGTTGAGGCTGCGGTGAGCCAAGATTGTGCCACTGCACTCCAGCCTGCACGGCAGAGTGAGACCTTATCTCAAAAAAAAAAAAAATTAATTAAAAATAAAAAGCAAACCATGTTTGAAGCACTAATATAACCTACCATTACATTAGAATTTCTAAGAAAACAGATGATCTGATTATCAGGTTTTCATAATTAAACAAACCATAGTAATTTATGATCTACTGCTCTACAAGCACTATTACCTTGTACAGGATGATGCTGAGAACTAACTGTGACTTTTCACCTTCATAAACTAACCCAGTTTTCCAGTCTTTCTAGCTAGCAACTTTGCACTCTCTCTAGCTAGGTTCACTGAACTTCACCATAATCTAGCGATCATATTACTACAACAAAAGGGAAAATTTTCAGAACTGTTCTTGTGAATTCGTGCTGTTACCTAAGAAGTTACCACATTTTTTTTCTTCTTTTAAAAAGAATCTGAGGTCAGGAGTAGTGGCTCATACCTGTAATCCCAACACTTTGGGAGGCCAAGGCAAAAGGATCACTTAAGCACAGGAGTTTGAGACCAGCCTGGGAAACACAGTGAGACCCGATGTCCACAAAAAATTTAAAAACGAGCCAGGCATGGTGGTACACACCTGTAGTCACAGCTACTCAGGAGGCTAAGGCAAGAGAATTGCTCGAACCTGGGAGGCTGAGGCTGCAATGAGCTGTGATCACACCTCTGCATTCCTGCCTGGGTGACAAGAGACCCTGCCTCCCAAAAGAAAAAAAAAAAGTTTTTTGATCAATTGCATATTCATTGTAGAAAATTTAAACCACCTGTAATTCTAATACTTACCGTTGTTATTTTGGTATCATTCTTTCTAGGTGTTGTTTTTGTATTTTAAAATACTTTCTACAAAAATGGAATATTATTAAACATACAATTCTATAGCCTATTTAACATATTGTCATATCGTTACTCTTCATCAGCAAAAAAAAAAAAAAAAAATTTTTTTTTTTGAGACGGGGTCTCATATCCTTGATCAATTCTCTTTGATAAATTCCTAACAGTAGGCTGGGCGCAGTGGTTCATGCCTATAATCCCAGCACTTTGGGAGGGTGAAGCGGGCATATCACTTGAGACCAGCCTGGAAAACACAGACCAATCTCTCTTTAAAAATAAATAAATAAATAAATATCCTACCAGTGAACTTATTAAGCAAAATTCTAAGTCTTATCTTCTTTTTGAGATTGAGTCTTGCTCTGTCGTCCAGGCTGGAGTGCACTGGCATGATCTCGGCTCACTGCAACTTCCACCTCCTGGATTCTAGCGATTCTGCTGCCTCAGCTTGCCAAGTAGCTGGGATTACAGGCGTGCACTGCCACACACAGCTAATTTTTGTATTTTTAGTAGAGACGAGGTTTCACTACATTGGCCAGACTGTTCTCAAACTCCTGACCTCAGGTAATCTGCCTGCCTCAGCCTCCCAAAGTGCTGGGATTACAGTAATGAGCCACCACCCCTGGCTGAAAATTCTAAATCTTTTGATATAACCACCACCCCAGAAAGGTTAAACTAATTTCACCCCTAATGCAACCTGGTATGGCAATACCCATGTCCCTGCACCCTCTTTTGGAATACTCATCATAAATAGATTTGAGAGAAAAATTTTTTTAAAAAAGTAAAAAAAAGTAGATTTGCCATTTTTGCCACTTTTGCAAGCCAAAAGAAACAATTATTTTAGGCCTAGCAAACTGGTTTCTTTTTTTTTTTTTTTTTTTTAAAGAGTCAGGGCCTTATTCAGTCACCAAGGCTATAGTGCAGCGGCTCAAGTGATCCTCCCCACCTCAACTGCCTCCTGAGTAGCTGGGACTTCAGGTATGCATGCCACCACACCCAGCCAATTTTTCTTTTTTAAATTTTTTGTAGAGACAGGGTCAGGGTCTCTCTATGGTGCCGTGCTGGTCTTTTTTTTTTTTTTTTTTTGAGATGGAGTCTCACTCTGTCACTCAGGCTAGAGTGCAGTGGTGCAATCTTGGCTCACTGCAACCTCCGCCTCCTGGGTTCAAGTAATTCTCCTGCCTCAGCCTCCTGAGTAGCTTGGATTACAGGTACCCGCCACCATGCCCAGCTGATTTTGTATTTTTAGAAGGGAGGGGGTTTCACCATGTTCACGCTGGTCTCGAACTCCTGACCTCAGGTGATCCAACGCCTTGGCCTCCCAAAGTGCTGGGATTACAATCGTGAGCCACTGTGCCCAGTTTCAGGCTGGTCTTAAACTCTTGGCCTCCACTGATCCTCCTTAGTCTCCCAAATCACTGGGATTACAGGAATTACACCATACCTATCCCCAATCTATTTCTTATTTGCCCACCTCTCTTCATTTTAAATTCCTCCTCCCTAGTCTCATCAATCTAACATGGCCTAGAATACTAATTTAGTAACCTATCCATCTATTTCCATCATTGCCACAAGACCTTACCTATTTTCCAGACAGCAGCCAATACTGTCACTGTAAAATACAAGTGGATCACATCCTTCACCTGTTCAAAAGTTCAGTGGCTTCCCATTGCACTATCTATCCAGTTGCTCAAACTAGAAATCTATCCAATTCATTAGCAAGTCCTGGTATGTTAGCTTTAAAATACATCAAATTCTGCCCACTTCTTTCCATCTCTACACCCATCACTTTGGTCCAAGCCATCATTGTCTCTCTCATGGACTGAAAATCTTTTTCAGGACCCATGTTGCTGTCCCTTTCCTAAATGCAAGGACATTTTTAACCTAAGTGAAAATCTCTTCCCACCAAGCCCAAATTCCTGAACACAAAGATCTAAACTGCCATTACCTACCAGAAGAATTTTGCACACTTATTGAAAACCTATTTTCATGGTGCTAGGAAAAGATTATAGCTGCACAAACACTTTTGTCTCGCTTGTTAAATACTGTTCCACCGGATGATAATATGGAGGTTATGCTTTGGAAACTAATGGAAAAAGACATAATATAAGCTTATAAGCTTCATGAAAAGAAGGGACTATGTACTATTCAGGAGCAGTGCCTACCATAGACAAAATACTCAATACTAATTTTTTTTCCTTTTCCTACCTCTAAGAAGGCAGAATTACATTAGAAAAGCTTAATCCTACTTGCACAATGAATACAATCAAGTTTTTAAAATTAACTGCACTGTATAATCCCATTCGGCTTCTACTGTAACTTCCTGTACACAAATGAAAACAGGTGCAAAACCCAGAAAGATCAAAGGCAAAACAGAGGCTTATGGTTTTACTTAATTCATTTTTTATAAAGTCTAAGAAAAATGAGGGCAAATTTATCTTTGGAGAACTTAAACCAGCTAATAATAACTAAAATAAAATCATGAAGCAACAATACTATACAATAATAGATAGAATTATGTACATTCTTTTTTATTTTTTATTTTTTATTTTTGAGATGGAATCTAACTCTGTCGCCCAGGCTAGAGTGCAGTGGCACAATCTCGGCTCTGCAACCTCCACCTCCCAGGTTCAAGTGATTCTCCTGCCTCAGCCTCCCGAGTAGCTGGGATTACAGGTGCCCGCTACCACACCTGGCTAATTTTTGTATTTTTAGTAGAGACGGGGTTTCACGATGTTAGCCAGGCTGGTCTTGAACTCCTGACCTCAGGTGATCCACCCACCTCAGCCTCCCCAAGTGCTGGCATTACAGGCATGAGCCACTGCACCCAGCCAATTATGTACACTCTTATAGAGAAGATTTAAGAGACTGGCTCCTCAACACCCAAAAAACTAGGAACAAACTCCCCCATGCACATGGCTATGAAGGAACACATATGTCTCCCAAGCCACAGTCGATTAGTCTAGAGGTCTGCAACTGGCCTCTGCTGTACTAATCCCAGTACTTAACCTCTCCTTCCAGAGGTTGGTCCAGGGACAATCAAATGCTCTATACCAAGCCAAAGTGAAAACTGGAACTAAGAGTCATATCTTCTGCTACAGCAGAAACTCTTAAGATATAAAACTTGGGTGTAATAGAGACCAAACTTTTCTGCAATTTACGCATTAATCTGCACTGAGTATGGAAGTAATACCAGAAGAATCAAAGAGAACAGACAGAGTCCTGGCAACATTTCAATCCTGGTTTCAGTTGTTCCTGAGGCTTACCTGCATTCTTGCCTTTAGTGCAATTTTTCTTTTTCTTTCTTTTTTTTCTTTTTTTTTTTAATTGGTAACAGTCTCACCCTGTCACCCAGGCTGGAGTGCAGGGGCATGATCTCAGCTCACCGCAAACCTCCACCAACCGAGTTCAAGCAATTCTCGTGCCTTAGCCTCCCAAGCAGCTGGGATTACAGGTATATGCCACCATGTCCAGCTAATTGTTTTGAATTTTTTAGTAGATATGGGGTTTCACTATGTTGGCCAGGCTGGTCTCCAACTCCTGACCTCAAGTGATCTGCCCACCTCAGCCTCCCAAAGTGCTGGCATTACAGGCGTGAGCCACCATGCCCAGCCTCTTTAGTGCAATTTAAGATACTCATTTTTTCTAGAATTTTATGAGTCAACAAGTTTCTACTTTGGCTTATTCAAACTAGTTTTCTTTTCAAGATTCTTTCTATGTACTATATTTAACTAGCACTCAGCTGTCCACAACTCACCTATCAAAAAAAGAAAAACCACGAATGAAACATAAAAGGTCTCTAACAACTGTTTATGATAAAACAAAAAAGCAAAAAAAAAACAACAACCAAAAACTGAAAAACAAGACATGTAAGGAAACTTCTTTAACCTGATGAAAAGCCTTTACAAAAATCTCACAGCTAATATACTCAATGGTGAAAGGCTGAACATTTTCCTCCTCAATACCAAAAAGACAAAGATGGCCACTCCTGATATTCCTATTCAACATAGCCAAGAATAATTAGGCAAGAAAAAGAGATAAAATGCATGCAGAAAGAAAAGGAAGAAGTAAAACTACCTCTAATTGCATGTGACATGATCTGGTATCTAGGAAAGCCTAAGGAACCTACTAAAAAGCTACTAGAGCCAATAAGTAAGTTCTGCAAAGTTGTGGAGTACCAGATCAACATACAGAAGTCAACTATGTTTCTATATATGAACCTAAAATTAACAATTCCATTTACAATAGCATCAAAATGAACAAAATAGGAATAAACTTAACTAAGAAGGCAAAAAACTTGAACACTGAAAACTACAAAACATTACTGAAATACATTAAAGAAGATATAAGTAAGGCCAGGCAAGGTGGCTCATGCCTATAATCCCAGCACTTTGTGAGGTGGAGATGGGCAGATTGCTTGAGCCCAGGAGTTTGAGACCGGCATGGGCAACACGACGAAACCTCGTGTCTACAAAAAAATACAAAAATTAGCCAGGCATGATGGTGCGCACCTGTGGTCCCAGCTACTAGGGAGACTGAGGTGGGAGGATCACCTGAGCTTGGGAGGTGAAGGTTGCAGTGAGCTGAGATTGAGTCACTGTACTCCAGCCTGGGCAACAACAGAGTGAGACTCTGTCTAAAACAACAAAGACAAAAATGAATAAAAATATAAGTGGAAATATATCCAGTATTCATGTAGCGGAAAACAGTATTGTTAAGATGGCAGTAATCCCCAAAATGATCGGCAGATCTAATACAATATCTACCAAAATTCCTGCTGCTCTTGTTTACTTGAGATGAACTCTCGCTCCGTTGCCCAGCCTGGAGTGCAGTGGCTTGATCTCGGCTCACTGCATCCTCCGCCTCCTGGGTTCAAGAGATTCTCCTGCCTCAGCCTCCAGAGTAGCTGAAATTAGAGGTACTCGCCAGCACACCTGGCTAATTTTTTGTATTTTTAGTAGAGACGGGATTTCACCACACCGGCCAGGCTGGTCTCAAACTCCTGATCTCAGGTGATCCACCTACCTTGGCCTCCCAAAGTGCTGGCATTACAGGTGTGAACCACCACACCCAGCCCCTGCTGCTCTTTTTGATAAGAAAACATTGTATTTAGGGGTCGGGCACAGTGGCTCACTCCTGCAATCCCGGCACTTTGGGAGGCCGAGGCGGGCGGGTCACATGAGGCCAGGAGTTCGAGACCAGCCTGGCCAACATGGTAAAGCCCCATCCCTACTAAAAATAGAAAACTTAGCCAGGGGTTGTGGTGCATGTCTGTAATCCCAGCTACTCAGGAGGCTGAGGCAGGAGAATCGCTTGAACCCGGGAGGCAGAGCCAAGGTCATGCCACTGTACTCCAGCCTGGGTGACGGAGCAAGACTCTATCTATTAAAAAAAAAAAAATTGTATTTGGGATCAAATTGACAGGCTGATTCTAAATTCATGCAGAAATTCAAGGGAGGCTGGGCACAGTGGCTCACACCTGCCAGCATTTTGGGAGGCTGCAGTGGGCAGATCACTTGAGGTCAGGAGTTCAAGACCAGCCTGACCAACATGGTGAAACCCCGTCTCTAGTGAAAATGCAAAAATTAGCTGGGATTGTTGGTGCACACCTGTAATCCCAGCTACTCAGGAGGCTGAGGCAGGAGACTCGCTTGAACCTGGCAAGAAGAGGTTGCAGTGAGCCAAGATGGCGCCACTGCACTCCAGCCTGGGTGACAGAGTGAGACTTCATCTCAAAAAAAAAAGAAATACAATGGATCCAGAATAGCAGCCAAAACAATCTTGAAAAACAAAGCTGAGGAACTCACACTTCTTGATTCCAAAGCTTTAGTACAAAGCTACAGTAATCAAGATGGTGTGGTACTAGCATTAAGATAGATATGTAGATTAATGAAATGAAACTGAGAGTCCAGAAATAAACCCTTACACTTATGGTCAACTTACTTCCTTCCTAAAATGGCAACAAGTCCATGCAATTAAAAAGGACAGACTTTTCAACAGATGGTGCTGAGACAAAGGGATATCCACATGCAAGAGAATCAAGTTGGACCTCTACCTCATACCATATACAAAAATTAACTCAAAAATGGATCAAAGACCTAAATACAAGAGGTAAAACTATAAAATAGGAAAAAACAGGCCTCATGACCTTGAATTAGGCAATAATTTCTTAAAAGTACAAAAACCAAATAAATATTGGTCTTCACCATAATTAAAAACTTTTGTGATTCAAGGCATACTGTTAAGAAAGTGAAAAGATGACCCACAGAATGGGAGTAAAGTTTTGCAAATCATGTATCTGGTCTAGCATCCAGAATATGAAGGAAAATCTTACAACTCAACAATGAAAAGACAAATAATGCAACTTTAAAATGGGCAAAGGATTTGAATAGATGTTTCTCCAAAGAAGATAAATAGTCCCCCTTTGCATTCCAAGATGTGCAGATGCCTGAAACCACAGATAGTACTGAACCCTGTGTATATTATGTTTTCTCACTCTGATAACTAAGATAGCTACTAGGTGACTAATAGGTGCTAGTGTATACAGCATGGAGATGCTGTACAAAGGGATGCTTTGCATCCCAGCTGGGATAAAGTAGAACGTTGTGAAATTACATCACACTACTCTGAAGGGCATGCAATTCAAAATTTATGAATTATTTCTAGAATTTTCCATTTAATATTTTCAAACCATGGTTGACTGCCAGTAACTGAATCCAAGGAAGGTTAAACTGAGGATAAAGGGGGACAACTATATACAAACATCCAAGAGGCACATGAAAAAGTATTCACATGCATTTCAAAACCTCAAGACACCACTTTACCCCTAGTAGAATAGCTGTAATAAAAAAAGTCAATAGCAATTGTTAGCAAAAAATCAGAACCCACATACATTGCTAGGGGAAAGAAAAATGGTACAGCTACTGTGGAAATAGTTTGGAGGTTACTCAAAAGTTGAACACAGAATTACCATATGACTCAGCAATTCCACTCCTATGGGTATATATATATATATATATATATATATACTCAAAAGAAGTGAAAACATATATGTATATATGTTTATATGGCTATAGCCATACAAAAACTGGCACATAATCATAGCAACATTATTCAGTAGTAGCCAAAAAGTAGAAATGACAAAAATATCATAAACAAAATATGGTATATCCATACATTGAAATATGACTTAGCCATAAAAAGGAATGAGGTACCAATACATGCTACAATATGGGTGAATTGTAAAAACATTCTAAGCGAAAGAAGACACACAAAAAAAAACCACAAAAGGCCACCGTTATGTGATTCCACTTAACACGAAACGTCCAGAGCAGGCAAATCCACATAGACAGAAAGCAGGTATTAGTGATTACCAAGCGCCAGGGGAGATCCAGAGAGAGGAACAAAGAGTGACTGCTAATGGGAGTGGGGTTTCCTGTTGGGGGGTGAAAATGTTCTGGAATTACAGAGGGGTGATGGTTGCCTGACTTTGCGAATACACTAAAAACCACTAAATTGTACACTTTAAAAGGGCAAATTTTATGGTATGTGAATTATATCTCAATTTAAAAACTGAATAGGAAAAAAAAACCTCTAAGTAATCAAAAAGACCACAAAGATCATTCGCAAAAACCCTATATATTTTTCCCTATTTACAAAAACCCTTTCAACCTGAGAAAGTTGATTGAAAAAATGAACTCCTTGATTCTCACTTGAAATCTGTTTACTCTCATTTTACATATAATTTGTACAAATCAAATCCATAAAATATTAAAAGCCTCATGTTAGGGGGAATAAAATTGATACAGACAGGCACACTGACAGTGAGGTTTAAAAAGAGGCAAAAGAACTTGTCAACATGTACTGAAGTCATTTGGTAACGGCAAATTAGATATAGTTGAGCCTTAACAACATGGGTTTAACTGTGTGGATTCACTTATACACAGACTTTTTTTTCATTATAAGTCACACCAAGTGTGCCTGCCTCTCCTGCCTCCCCTTCCACCCCCTCCACCTATTCTGCCTCTACCACAGAAAAACCAGTACTGGAATTTTCAGTACCAAGACAGCAGCCAACCCCTCCTCTTCCTACTCCTCCTCCTCAGCCTATTCAACCTGAAGACAATGAGGATGAAGACCTTTATGAGGATCCATTTCCACTTACTGAATAATAAATGTTTTATCTTCCTTATGATTTTAGTAACATTTTCTTTTCTCTAGCACACTTTATTGTGAGAATACATATAAAATAGAGGCCAAGGCGGGCGGATCACTTGAGGCCAGGAGTTTGAGACCAGCCAAGCCAATATGGTGAAACCCTGTCACTACTAAAAATACAAAAAAATCAGCCCAGCATGATGCACACACCTGTAATCCCAGCTACTCGGGAGGCTGAGGCAAGAGAATTGTTTGAATGCGGGAGGCAGAGTTTGCAGTGAGCCAATATCACTCCTTTGCACTCCAACCTGGGCAACAGAGTGAGACTCCATCTCAAAAAAAAGAAAAAAAATAGAAAAAAGAAATGCTCTTTAAAATAAACCTGTTCTATGACAGCCTATCATCTATAAGAGAAAGTCTAGAGGTCAAAAAACAGCCCTTTACAATCTGACTTCAACCCGTCTTTCCAGCGTATCTGTCTCCCACAATTCTAACCAAACCAAACTTCTCATTTTAAACATACCAGAGCCTCCATTTTCATGCCACTGTGTTAAAAGACTTTTCTTGACTTCTCTGCCTAGAAAATTCCTATTTATCCTTCAAACTCTAATTCAAATTACAAGTCCTCTATGCCACCTTCTCTAATGCCACTGGACAAAACTGTATTCGCACAGCACTTTTTAAATGTTTCATTTATTTTAAGAAGAGTTCTCGCTGTGTTGCCCAGGCTGGTCTCAATTTCTTGTGCTGAAATAATCCTCCCACCTCAGTCTTCTGAGTAGCTAGAATTACAGGTGCATGTCACTGTGCCCGGCTCCCAACAGAATTTTGTACATATCTCTATTAATGCATTTGTCATATTACCTCAAATTTGAATGCTTAACTTTCCTTTTCACCTCCTAGAACCAGAACCTAGTTCACGTACATGGTAAACAAAATTTTTAAGTTTTGGTACCTCATGAATTAAAATTATTTTTTAGAAACTCAGCAATACAATACAAAATGACTAGTTAGCTAAAAGGTCCATACAGTCGAGGTTTTAACAAAAGTTACAAAATCTGAATATTTAAAAGGAATAAAGTTCACTTCCAAATAAACGAGAAGTTACAAAGGCTCTTACGGATTGAATTCACTCAGAATCTTTTTAAGAAAAGATGGACAGGCCAGCTGAAGTGGCTCTCAACTGTAATCCCAACACTTTGGGAGGCTGAGGCAGGCGGATCCCCTGAGGTCAGGAGTTCAACACCAGCTTGCCAACATGGCAAAACACCATCTCTACTAAAAATACAAAAATTAGCCGGGCACAGCGGTGCATGCTTGTAATCCCAGCTACTAAGGAGGCTGAGACAGAAGAATCACTTGAACCCAAGAGGCGGAGGTTGCGGTGAGCCAAGATCACACCACTGCACTCCAGCCTGGGTGACAACAGCAAGACTCCGTCTCAAACAAAACAAAACAAAACAAAAGAAAGAAAGAAAGAAAAGATGGACATTTTGAGTCCATTACTCAGACTACACCTGAGTAATTTGTTGCAATAACGGTAATATGGATAATCATGTGCATAAAATTTTAATTGAAAGCTAGGGTTGCCAGAATCTAGGCCAACAGGCCCAAAGGAAAGGTAGACAACAAGGACACCATTTAGTATGTTACTGCTAGAGTCATGCATGGTAACCAGATGACTTCAGAAATACTGTTCCTTCTAATTCAAGTCACTACTCAAGAATAATTTACTCACTAAAAAATTCTAGTGGAATTATTTTATTACTCATTCTAGATGAGTTAATATTTAGTTCAAATTGAACAAAATAAAACACAATTACATCCACACATACAGTTAACTTATTTCTCTCCCAGTATGTAATTTACGACAGCTAAGCTAACAATATGCAGGATAGCCTATAGTTTCTGGTATTTAATTAACACAAAAGAGGGCCAGGCGTGATGGCTCACATCTGTAATCCCAGCACCTTGTGAGGCCAAAGCGGGCAGATCACCTGAAGTCAGGAGTTCGAGACCAGCCTGGCCAAGATGGTGAAACCCCATCTCTACTAAAAACACAAAAATTAATCAGGCATGGTGGTGCACATCTATAATCCCAGCTAGTCAGGAGGCTGAGACAGGAGAATCACTTGAACCTGGAGGCTGAGATCGCACCACTGCACTCCAGCCTGGGCGACAGAGCCAGACTCTGTCTCAAAAAAATAATAATAAAATTAATATAAAAGAATACATAGTGATCCTTCAAATATTTATTGAATTAACTGCATTCACCTCTACCTATTTTATTTGAAAAGTTACTTTTACCTATAAAGAAAATGTCATTTCACTTTGCTTCATGTTTTAAAAAGTTAAACTAGTGGCTTTTTCCCCTATTATCCCACATATAAATTTACCTAATATGCTACAGCTTTTGGCAAGATCGGCCTCTTATTTACTCCCAAACTCCACTTAACCCCAGTCTTCTTTCTTCCAAACTCCCACCTGCCCACAAACTTTCATGATCTTCAGGTTCTCCAAAGGACCTACTGCCTCCAACTCATTTTCATTACTATCAGTAAATGATTTTTCAGAGGTAAGCAAATCAATCAGAGTTAGGGATAGTACAACGTCATCCATGGCAACCTTTTATATAAACTATACCTTTAAATCAAATGTCAACTTTCCATTCCTACTAACATAAAATTAAAACCAACTCAACTACTTCTATGTGTTACCCATTCAGGCAGTCACAGACCTGCATAATTATTTGTGTAGTATTTCTCCATTACCTAGGCTGAGAATTCTCCTCATACATTCTTTCTTTTCCCTCCTTGAAGAGGCTTATGGTTTGCTTAGTTTTCTTCATCAAATTCTCCATAAACACCCTAAAATACTCATTTTCTCCAAGTGTCTCCATCTTCCCCTCATATCTTGACAAGATAGTACGGAGATGCTGGTAGGTATCTGGTAGCAGGTCTAAGATATAAGGTGGGCTATTCTTTAGCGCCAGCTTTGGGTTCTGACACAACCGCACCACCTGCAACAAATGAAAAAGAAGGGCTATTACTTGGAGAATTTTAAGGACAGCTCCCTTTTTTAAGTTTAAGAAAGTTATGAAATATGTGCTCTTTTGCAAAATATGAAAAATACATGAGAATATAAGAAGCAGATCCATAACCCCATTGCCCACAGGCAACCATTTTAAAATTTTTAGTGGTCCCCCAGAAGAATGTGTTTTTAAATCCGTTTGAGAGACTAATGGTACAGATAACACACAGAACAAACAACTAGGGGAAAACATCCACATAAATCCCTAAAACATGCTAGATGAAATATGGCAAATTACTTTTAAATATACTGCTGATCCCCACAATATTTTTATTTATTTATTTATTTTTTAGGGTCTCACGGTTGGAGTGGAGTGGAGCAACCACGACTCAGTGCAGCCTCAAACCCCCAGATTCAGGTGATCCTCCCACTTCAGCCTCCTGGGTAGCTGGGACTACGGCCATGCATAACCACACCCAGCTAATTGTTGTTTTTTTTTTTTTTAGAGACATGTTGCCCAGGCTAGACCCAAACTCCTGAGCTCAAACGATGCCACCTGCCTCAGCCTCCCAAAACACTGGGATTACAGCCCTGAGCCACTGTGTCCAGCCTGACCCCTATAATAAACTAAAGAAAATTCCCAGGGACAGAAATAAAGGACATGACTGCCCTGGGAGGTAAATCTCTGTACTCTAGGGTCTTGAGCTTTGTTTGTTTGTTTGTTTTTTGAGACAGAGTTTCACTCTTCTTGCCCAGGCTAGAGTGCAATGGTGTGATCTTGGCTCACCGCAACCTCCGCCTCCCGGGTTCAAGCGATTCTCCTGCCTCAGCCTCCTGAGTAGCTGGGATTATAGGCATGCACCACCATGCCCGGCTAATTTTGTATTTTTGGTAGAGACAGGGTTTCTCCATGTTGGTCAGCCTGGTCTCAAACTCCTGACCTCATGATCCACTGGCCTCAGCCTCCCAAAGTGCTGGGATTACAGCACTTTGCTGGGATTACAGGCCCTTTGTTTGTTTTTTGTTTTTGAGATGGAGTTTTGCTCTTTTTGCCCAGGCTAGAGTGCAATGGTGCAATCTCAGCTCACTGCAGCTGCTGCCTCCCAGGTTCAAGCAATTCTCCTATCTCATTCAGCCTCCCAAGTAGCTGGGATTACAGGCGGCCACCATCACACCCAGCTAATTTTCATATTTTTAGTAGAGATGGGGTTTCGCCATGTTGGCCAGGCTGGTCTCGAATGCCTGACCTTAGGTGATCTGCCAGCCTCAGCCTTCCAAAGTGCTGGGATTACAGGCATGAGCCACCGCACCCAACCTGGGGTTTGAGTTTTAACAACCGCTTGAGGAACAGGAACAGAGAGGCCTTGGACCCAGTAAAGCATAGAGCTGAGAGTCCTACATTTGGACTCTCAGAATTTGCCTGGCAATTCTTTGTACCATCTTTCACTTTCAACTTTTCTGAGTTATGTTTTAAGTGTTTCTTTTAAAGATCATATAGATAGAATTTAAAAATCCAATGTAACAATCATTGTTTTCTAACTGGTAAGTTTAGTCCATTTTGTGTTTGTCATACAAATAAATTTGGATTTATTCCTAACAACTTGTTTGTGCTTTCTATTTACATGGACTTTTCTGTGGACAAACTAGTGGAACAGAAAGTCCAGAAACAGACTCACACATGCACACAAGGAAATTCAGTATCAGCGGTGACATTACAAATCAAGAATACAAAAGAAAAACTATTGAAAACTTTGTTATCCATATGAGAAAAAATAAAACTAGATCCCTTACACATTACATGAAAATAAATTTCTCACAGCTCTCCTCAACTTCCCAAATTTGGCATAATTTCTCACTGTCTTGATAACAATTCTATGTCTTCTAAGTTTTCTTGCTATTAGCAGTATATTTGGTTCAAAACAACCTAAGCTAACATTAATGGAAGCATAAGCCTGACATTCTCGTTTTTATTTCACATTTAAAAATACCTATTTTCAGGCCGGGCGCGGTGGCTCACGCTTGTAATCCCAGCACTTTGGGAGGCTGAGGCGGGCGGATCACGAGGTCAGGAGATCCAGACCACGGTGAAACCCCGTCTCTACTAAAAATACTAAAAATTAGCCGGGCGTGGTGGCGGGCGCCTGTAGTCCCAGCTACTCGGAGAGGCTGAGGCAGGAGAATGGTGTGAACCCAGGAGGCGGAGCTTGCAGTGAGCCGAGATCGCGCCACTGCACTCCAGCCTGGGTGACAGAGCAAGACTCCGTCTCAAAAAAAAAAACAAAAAACAAAAACCTATTTTCTTGTGTCACCGAAAGCTCATTATAAACTTTTTTGAGATATTTAAATAATTCTAGTCTATGGATAGACAATAACATATCTTAACCATCTCCCCCCAACTTTAACATTTCTTTTGTTTTCAAGTCTTTACTACTGCAACATCACAGTGATGAACGTGCTTGGATATTTCATTCTTCTATACATCAGATTATTTCCTTAGGATAAATTCCTGTTTAATGACTAATGATCAAGAATTCTTCAAAAATTAGCCGGACATGGTGGCACATGCCTGTAATTCCAGCTACTCGGGAGGCTGAGGCAGGAGAATCACTTGAACCCAGGAGGTGGAAGTTGCAGTGAGCCAAGACCATGCCACTGCCCTCCAGCCTGGGCCACAGCAAGATTCTGGTCTCAAGAAAAAAAAAAAACAAAACACAACTCTTCAAATGATAATATGAAAATTGTAAAACTAAATACATCATTCTCAATACAACATTTCTTGAACTCTTGTTTTCTTAAGTTTTTGTTTTTTGTTGTTGTTGTTGTTGTTTTTGAGAAAAAGACTCCCTCTGTCTCTCAGGCTGGAGCTCAATCATAGCTCACCACAACCTCGAACTCCTGGATTCAAGCAACCCTCCTGCCTAAACTGCCTGAATAGCCGGGATTAAAGGCTCATGCCACCACATCCAGCTAGCCCCATATATAAGCCTAGCAAACAAAGACAAGCTGAATCAACAAAAACATTTGGTTCATGAATATTTTCACAGCATTTTAGAAAGCTCTT
Organism: Homo sapiens; assembly: GCF_000001405.40. Classification (NCBI taxonomy): domain Eukaryota; kingdom Metazoa; phylum Chordata; class Mammalia; order Primates; family Hominidae; genus Homo; species Homo sapiens. The sequence continues at coordinate 119,229,375 of NC_000011.10, read as the reverse complement.
CATTCTTATCAAGTGTTCAAGTCAAAAGGGAAGAACATGGCCAGGGAAAAAAGACTCCACCTCGGAAGATAACTATATTCTAAGTACAACAGAGTTAATAACTCATATTAATAAAACAAATACAGACAGTTCCCAGTTTACAAGTGCTACATTCCAAAAGTAAGTCAGGTATTTATAAACAGACTACATTTCACAACAAAAATATTAAAATTGTAGTTTCCTATGTTAGTCTGTGGAAGGAAGTGGGGAAGACCGACACTGTAACTAGAGATTAAGATCTAGCAAAAACTGAAAACTAAACATGCTTTATATTAAGAAAGATCCAGAAGAGAAAAGGAGATAAGTGACAACTGGCCAACATGGTGAAACCCTGTCTCTACTAAAAAATACAAAAAAAATTAGCCAGGCATGGTGGCAGGCACCTGTAATCCCGGCTACTTGGGAGGCTGAGGCAGGAGAATCACTTGAACCCGGGAAGCAAAGTTTGCAGTGAGCCAAGACCACGCCACTGCACTCCAGCCTGGGGGACAAGAGCGAAACCACGTCTCCAAAAAAAAAAAAGAGAGAGAGAGAGAGAAGGAATTAGCTAGGAGTGGTGGTGGTGTGGGTGTAAGTCTCAGCTACTCCAGAGGTTGAAGCAGAAGGATTGCTTGAGTGAGTCCAAGAGTCTGAGGCTGCAGTGTACTATGATCATGCCTGTGAACAGCCACTGCACTCCAGCCTGGGCCACATGGCAAGACCTTGTCCCTATTTCCTTTTTTTTTTTTTTGAGATGGAGTTTTGCTCTTGTCGCTCAGGCTGGAGTGCAATGGTGCGATCTCAGCTCACTGCAACCTCCGCTTCCCAGGTTCAAGTGATTCTTCTGGCTCAGCCTCCCAAGTAGCTGGGATTACTGGCATGCGCCACCATGCCCGGCTAATTTTTGTATTTTTAGTAGAGACAGGGTTTCACCATGTTGGCCAGGCTGGTCTCAAACTCCTGAACTCTGGTGATCCGCCCACCTCGACCTCCCAAAATGCTTTGTGTCTATTTCTAAAAAATTAAAATTCAGCCTGGACAACATTGCAAAACCCCATCTCTACAAAAACATATAAAAAAACATTAAGTAGACATGGTGGTGGGCACCTGTGGTCCCAGTCACTCAGGAGGCTGAGGTGGGAGGGCCGCTTGAGGCGGAGGTTGCAGTCAGCCAAGATCACACCACCATATTCTAGCCTGGGCAACGGAATGAGACTCTATCTCAAAAAAAAGAGAATACATTAAAATACATATATTTTAAAAGAAGAGGACGCCTCCTAGAATAGGAAAAAAAAAAAAGAGTGAGCATAGGTTCAGACAGAGACCAATTTGTACATATGGAGGCTGTAAGTTAAAGGTTGTACCAGTTTTTATTTTTCTCAACATATTCATTCAACAAATATGTGTCAGGCACAGGGACACAGAAGTAAAAAGACAAGGTATCTGAATGTGAGAGGAATCAAGCAATAAAACAATAAAAATGAATTCAACAAGAAAATTATAAGGTTTGCGGGGCGCGGTGGCTCACGCCTGTAATCCCAGCACTTTGGGAGGCCAAGGCAGGTGGATCACCTGAGGTCAGGAGTTCGACACCAGCCTGACCAACATGGAGAAATCCTGTCTGGAATAAAAATACAAAATTAGCCAGGCGTGGTGGCCCATGCCTGTAATCCCAGCTACTTGGGAGGCTGAGGCAGGAGAATTGCTTGAACCCGGGAGGCAGAGGTTGCGTTGAGCCAAGATCGCACCATTGCACTCCAGCCTGGGCAACAAGAGCAAAACTCCGTCATAAAAAAAAAAAAAAGAAAATTATAAGGTTCACTATAGAATTAAAATAGGCTAATATGATAAGAAAGTGCTGGGTGACTAGTAGATAAGGCTTTTCTGATGCGACATTGAGGCTAAGAGTTGAAATTAGAGAAAAAAGCCAGCTACAGCAGAAGAGTAGCCCAAAAAGAGCGAACAACTACAGATGTTCCTCAATTTACAATGGAGTTACATTCCAATAAACCTATCCTAAGTTGAAGGTATCATAAGTCAATAGTATATTTAATATACTTAGCCTACCAAACATCATAGCTTAGCTAGCCTACCTTAAACATGTTCATAACACAGTAGCCTAGAGTTGGGCAAAATCATCTTAACACAAAGCCTACTACTTTATTATAAAGTGCTGAATAACTGATGTAATTTATTGAATACTGTACTAAAAGTGAAAACAGAATGGCAGAATGGTTATATGGATATTCAAAGCGCAGTTTCCACTGAATAGCTATCACTTTTGCACCATCATAAAGTCGAAAAATCCCAAATCAAACCACCGTACCATCAAACCATTGTACTTCAATGGTCTTAAAGTGGTAAGTGGTTGAGATTTGTTTGAAGAATAGAAAGGTCAGTGAGATTAAAGCATAGTGAACAAGGTGGAGAAGGTAATGAGAGAGATTTGTGGAACAGGTAAGGAAGTCACCAAAGAGACATTATGCTAAAGCCTAAGCTATAAGTTTTTAAGTTTTCAATTAAATTTTTAAAGGACTAAATAACATTTTAGTACTTTGACCAGATTGAATCAAATAGCCATATCAAAATGTCTTGCTTCAGGCGGGGCGTGGTGGCTCATGCCTGTAATCCCAGCACTTTGGGAGGCTGAGGTAGGCAGATCACTTGAGGTCAGGAGTTCAAGACCAGCCTGGCCAACATGGTGAAATTCCGTCTCTATGAAAAATGCGAAAATCAGCCAGGCATGGTGGCACACACCTGGAGTCCCAGCTACTCAGGAGGCTGAGGCAAGAGAATTGCTTGAACCCAGAAGGAGGAGGTTGCAGTGAGCTGAGACATGCCACAGACCCCATCTCAAAAAAAAAAATGTCCTGTTTCAGTCATTTAAGTTGAGTAAATTTCTTAACCTCTGAGCCTTAGTTCTTTTAACCACAAAATCAAAGATAATGCCTCATAATAAAATTTGCATAAAAGGATTGCACAGTTTCCAAAAAAATCGCATTCAATAAATGTTAGCTCCCCTTCTCATTTCCACACCATCTGAGTGGCTTATATGCAGGGGAGGCAAGAATTACCTACTAAAGACAGAATAGTGGACCTCATATCACCCTTTGATGATTCCCAGAACCTGGTAGCATTAGTCCTATCATTTGGGCCCATAACACAACTACTGTCCCAGTCCTGCATGGTCTCTGGTAACCAAGAAATAGAGAAAAGGCAGCAGCAGGTAACACAAGAATTGGGTGACCAACAATCTGCAAAAGCTACAGAATCCAGCCCTTAAAAGGTTCAAACCAAGTACCAAGTACAGCTCCCAATGAAAATATTTAGGCCAGATGCGGTGGCTCATGCCTGTAATCCCAGCACTTTGGGAGGCCAAGGCAGGTGGATTACCTGAGGTCAGGAGTTTGAGACCAGCCTGGCCGACATGGTGAAACCCCGTCTCTACTAAAAACACAAAAAATTAGCCAAGCGTGGTGGCACATGCCGGTAATCCTAGCTACTCGGGAGGCTGAGGCAGAAGAATCGGTTGAACCCGGGAGGCGGAGGTTGCAGCGAGCTGAGGTAGCACCTTTGCACTCTAGCATGGGCAACAAGAACGAAACTCTGTCTCAAAAAAAAAAAAAAAAAAAAGAAAATATTTATATTGGCTGGATACGGTGTCTTACATCTGTAATCCCAGAACCTTGGGAGCTGAAGCTGACGCTGAGGTGGGCAGATCGCTTGAGCCTAGGAGTTCAAGACTAGCCTGGACAACATGGCAAAACCCTATCTCTACAAAAAATACCAAAAATTAACTGGATGTGGTGCACATGCCTGTAGTCCCAACTACTTGGGATGCTGAGGTGAAAAGATCAATTGAGCCTAGGAGGCTGAGGCTGCAGTGAACCAAGACTGCATCACCACACTCCAGCCTGTAGGACAGAATGAGACCCTGTCTCCAAACAAAAACAAAACATAAGGCCAGGCACAGTAACTCACACCTGTAATCCCAGCACTTTGGGAGGCCAAGGCGGGAGAATCACCTGACGTCAGGAGTTGGAGACCAGCCTGACCAACATGATGAAACCCCGTTTCTACTAAAAATACAAAAATTAGCCAGGCATGGTGGCATGCACCTGTAGTCCCAGCTACTGGGGAGGCTGAGACAGGAGAATTGCATGAACCCGGGAGGTGGAGGTTGCAGTGAGCCGAGATCACGCCACTGCACTCATAGCCTGGGCAACAGAGCAAGACTCTGTCTCAAATAAATAAATAAATACATGCATACATACAAGCGCGCGCACACACACACACACACACACACACCCCAAAGAGTTTAGGATAAAACGGAGTACTTGCCTAATACCTCTGAAAAAAAGGTATACAGTTGACCCTTCAACAACATGGGTTTGAAAGCGTGGGTCTGCTTATACGAAGTTCTTTTTCAATAAAAGTTATACCAAGTGTGCCTGCCCCCTTGCCTCCCGCTCCACCTCTTCTATTTATTCCATCTCTGCCACCCGAGACAGCAGCCAACCCCTCCTCCTCCTACTCAACATGAAGACAAAGAGGATGAAGATCCACTTCCACTTAATGAATCGTAAATATTTTATCCTCCTTATGATTTTTTCAATGTTTTCTTCTGTAATCCCAGCTACTCAGGAGGCTGACGCAGGAGAATCGCTTGAACCCGGGAGGCAGAGGTTGCAGTGAGCCAAGGTCACGCCACTGCACTCCAGCCTGGCGACAGAGCAAGACTCCATCTCAAACAAACAAAAAATACAAAAAATAATGTTTTCTTTAATCTGGCTTACTTTATTGTAAGAACACATGATATAATACATGTATGTACAAAATAACATGTTAATAAGCTGTTTTATGTTATCAGTAAGGCTTCTGGTCAACAGTAGGCTATTACTGGTTAACTTTTGGCAGGGAGTCAAAAGTTATGTGTGACTTTCAATGGGGGGCAGTGGCTGGAGGTAATGAGGGGGACAGGGACTGAGGTGGATGGGACGTGGGGTGGTCTGTGCCCCTAACCTCCTAGCTGTTCTAGGGTCAACCACACATCCCTTCAACAACAACAAAAAACTAAACTAAAACCTGTATCATATGCAATCAATAAATGTTCATGACAATGTATCAGCCCTCACAATGTAACACAAAATGTTTCCAAAACATTTCATGAATTAGTATTTTTAAACTAGTACCATGTCCCCTCCACAAGTGTTATTTGTCCTTCTTTAGCATGTCACCTCTTAAAGTTCATTTGTATACTAAATGTCTGGTTTTCTCAAGATCTTTTGAAAATGAATCATCATGACCAGGGAAATCAGCACTGCACTAACTCTTAAGTCTTCAACTATGGAACACTAACACAGACCTCAAAGAATATACAGGTAGGTACTCTTTTTTCTTCATCTTTTAAGAGATAGAGTCTCAAAAAAAAATTGCCAGGGGCATTGGCTCACACCTGTAATCCCAGCACTTCGGGAGGCTGCAGTGGGCAGATCATGAGGTCAGGAGATCGAGACCAGCCTGGCCAACATGGTGAAACCCCATCTCTACAAAAAATACAAAAATTAGCTGAGTGTGGTGGCACGTGCCTGTAATCCCAGCTACTCGGGAGGCTGAGACAGGAGAATCACTTGAACCTGGGAGGCAGAGGTTGCAGTGAGCTGAGATCACGCCACTGCACTCCAGCCTGGCAACAGAGAGAGAGAGACGCTGTCTCAAAATAAATAAATAATAAAATAAATAAATAATAATAAAAAAAAATTTAGCCGGGCGTGGTGGCGGGCGCCTGTAGTCCCAGCTACTTGGGAGGCTGAGACAGGAGAATTGCTTGAACCTGGGAGATGGAGTTTGCAGTGAGCAGAGATCAGGCCACTGCACTCCGGTGTGGGTGACAGAGCGAGACTCTGTCTTAAAATAAAATAACATAACATAATAACATAACATAACATAACATAATTCAAAATAAAATATAAAACAAAACAAAATAAAATAAAGTAAAATAAAATAAAAACCAAAAATTTTAAAAAGGCCAGGCATGGTGGCTCATGTCTGTAATCCCAGCACTTTGAAAGGCTGAGACGGGAGGATGGCTTGAACCTAGGAGTTTGAGACCAGCTGGGCAAGATGGCAAGATCTGTCTCTTTAAAAAAAAAAAAAAAAAAAAAAAAAAAAAAGGAAGGGTGTGGGGTGGTTTGCTCTGTCACCCAGGCTGGAGCACAGTGGCATGATCATACCTCAAATGCTTTGAACTCCTGGACTCAAGAGACATTCCCAACTAGACCTCCCAAGTAGCCGGGACTACAGGTACACGCCACCACACCTGGATAATTTTTTAAACTATTTTTTGCAGCGATAGGGCCTCACTATGTTACCCAGGCTGGTCTCAAACTCCTGGCCTCAAGTTATCCTGCCTCCTGGCATCCCAAAATGCTGGGATTATATACAGGCAAGAGCCACCACGCCTGGCCATGCTCTTGATACTCTCGATATTAATATTCTTTGGAAAGGAAAAAAAGTCCTTATTATGTATAACCTCTTTTAAAAAATGGTTCCTAAAGGCCCTGTGTGAATAATTCAAGTCAATAGTTAACAAACATCAAAAACCCAAACAATCTGCCTATATTATTTAGTGAATTTTAAACTGGCAGTCATAGTTAACCTTCAAAAAACAAACATGAACCAAAAAACAAAAATTCACCAAAAAATTTCTAAAAGATACAAATATTTTCCTGCTTAGTCTGTCCTCCATTTGGCTAACTTTATTTTGCATTCCAAATCCTGCAGTGGCAAAAATGGCTGCCTTTTGTTTACTTCTGCCTGTACATTTACAGCATCACTCAGAACAATGTTAAAAAGAAACGTGCTTAGCTCCGGGAAACCAACAGTATCCTTGTACAGCTGCCATGCACTCCATTCATAATAGCTTTCTCACTGGCCTAGCTCCTCCCTTTGCTTCTGCCAAGACTCAATGGTCAATAGAAAAAATTTGGAAAGTGTTATGATCACAATAAAGAGGAATAAAACTATGCTTGAAAATTGCTAAACTTTTAAAGAGCAAAAAGTTATAGAGAACAACAATGCCTAAGCCTAATGCTGTTGTGAATACAGAATCTTTTCTAACACTAAGGAATCTGTGTTTCTAATTAGGCAGAAAACCATACACATGTAAGACTAAAATAAATATTTTTATCTCTAAAGACTCCAACTTATTGATACAAGCATTTCTCATTTTCAATGTTTTCCCATGTTAAAAATGAATAGTTTTATGCTACAAAAACAAGTATTCAATATGTGGAGCTATACATGTAAAATGTCATTATAATTTAAAAGGATGAATATTAACCTCCTGTCAAGAAGAGAGGAGGATACTAGAGCACAAGTCCAGAGACCTGGGCTCTAGTCTGGTGACTGACATTAACTGGCTATACAACCTCAAGCAAGTTATTTGCCCTTCCGGGTCTCTGTAAATGAAAGAGTTAGATCAATTTATTTCTAAAGTCTCTTAAAGCTTCAAATTTTAAAAACTCCATCTCAGAAACTTGAAGAAGTTTAACAGGTATAAATATATAGTGAAGCTTTTTTTTTTTTTTTTGAGACGGAGTCTCTCTCTGTTGCCCAGGCTGGAGTGCAGTGGCGCGACTTGGCTCACTGCAACCTCCGCCTCCCGGGTTCAAGCAATTCTCCTGCCTCAGCCTCCCAAGTAACCGAAATTACAGGCATGCGCCACCACGCCTGGCTAATTTTTTTGTATTTTTAGTAGAGAGGGGGTTTCACCATATTGGTCAGGCTGGTCTCGAATTCCTGACCTCGCGATCCATCCACCTTGGCCTCCCAAAGTGCTGGGATTATAGACGTGAGCCACTGTGCCCAGCTTATAGTGAAGCTTTTTTAAACGAAAACTCATGACTGTTTTTCAAAGACAAATCAGAAACCCATCCTTTTTTGTTTTTGGTTTAATTTTTAAATAAAAATAGAGATGGGGTCTCACTATGTTGCCTAGACTGGTCTTGAACTCCTAGGCTCAAGCAATCCGCCCACCTCAACCTCGCAAAGTGCTGGCATTACAGGATGTGCCACGGTGCCCAGCCGGAAACCTATACTTTTTTTTTTTTTTCTGAGATGGAGTCTCGCTCTGTCACCCAGGCTGGAATGCAGTGGTGTGATGTCAGCTCACTGCAGCCTCCACCTCCCAGGTTCAAGCAATTCTCTGCCTCAGTCTCCCAAGTAGCAGAGACTACAGGCGCGCACTACCACGCCCGGCTAATTTTTGTATTTTTAGTAGAGACGGGGTTTCACATGTTGAACAAGCTGGTCTCGAACTCCTGGCCTCAAATGATCGCCCACCCCGGCCTCCCAAAGTGCTGGGATTACAGGCGTAAGCCACTGCATCCGGCCACCTATACTTTTTTTTAACAAACATATTTTAAAGTCAACTGATCACAGGAAAAAAAAAAGTGTCATCACTAGACAATAGCCCCATCATTAGACAATAATTTGAAAAACGCCTTACTTGTAATTATTATTCTCAATTTTTGATTTCTCAAAACTCCATTCAGGTTCTTGAATTGTAGTTACTACAGTATACTTCTCAAATATCACCCAACAGCACTTATTAAAAACACCATGCCACTTATAATTCATTACCAATCTCATTACTTTCACCTACCACATCAACTGCAGAAAAAATACATTCAATACAATGTATGCTCTGAAAACTTAACCATGCAGTTTTTATATATGGATTTTATTTTTATTTTTTTGAAACAGGGTCTCACTCTGTCGCCCACATTGGAGTGCAGTGGCGTCATCACAGCTCACTTCAGCCTCGACCTGCTAGGCTCAAGTGATGCTCCTCCCTCAGCCTCCCCAGTAGCTGGGACTACAGGCATGTGCCACACCTGGCTAATATTTTTTTAGACACAGGGTCTTGCTATGTTATCCAGGCTGGTCTTAAATTCCTGACCTCAAGTGATTCTCCCACCATAATCTCTCAAAGTGCTGGGATTACAGGAATGAGCCACTGCACCCAGCCAGTTCTACTTTTAAAAGGCAAAAATGGGCCAGGTGCAGTGGCTCACACCTGTAATACCAACACTTTGGGAGGCTGAGGTGGGCGGATCACCTGAGGTCAGGAGTTCAAGACCAGCCTGCCCAACATGGTGAAACCCCATCTCTACTAAATATACAAAAATTAGCCAGGCATGGCCGGGTGCAGTGGCTCACACCTGTAATCCCTACGCTTTGGGAGGCCAAGGTGGGTGGATCACAAGGTCACAAGGTCAGGAGTTCGAGACCAGCCTGGCCAACATGGTGAAACCCCGCCTCTACTAAAAATACAAAAATTAGCCGGGCGTGGTGGCGCACACCTGTAATCCCAGCTACTCGGGTGGCTGAGGCAGGAGAATGGCTTGAACCCGGGAGGCGGAGGTTGCAGTGAGCCGAGATCACGCCACTGCACTACAGCCTGGGTGACAGAGCAAGACTCCGTCTCAAAAAAAAAAAAAAAAAATAGTCGGGCGTGGTGGTGCCCACCTATAATCCCAGCTACTTGGGAGGCTGAGGCAGGAGAATCACTTGAACCCAGGAGGCAGAGGTTGCAGTGAGCTGAAATCGCACCACTGCACTCCATCCTGGACAACAGAGTAAGACTCTGTCTCAAAATAAAAAAAAAAAAAAAGGCAAAAATGGTTCTTTGTCCAGAGTTATCGATGCAACTTCAAACCAAATACTTAGTATGAACTAGAGATTACAGTGGTCCCCCTTTATCTTAGGGGGATGCATTCCAAGACCCTCAGTGGTTGCCTCAAACCAAGGATAATACCAAACCCAATTGCACCAATCAGAAAACGTTTCTGTGCATGTCTTCCATCCACAAATTTAACACCTTCTCCATCTTAATGAAGCACTTATCATATACCAGGGCCATGAAGTATGACAGCAAGCCTAGTATGATTTCTTTCTTTCTTTCTTTTTTTTTTTTTTGAGACAGAGTCTCACTCTGTGCCCAGGCTGGAGTGCAATGACACTATCTCGGCTCACTGCCACCTCTGCCTCCTGGGTTCAAGCAATTCTCCTTAGCCTCCTCCCACGTAGATGGGATTACAGGAGCCCGCCTCCATACCTGGCTAATTTTTGTATTTTTTAGTAGAGACAGGGTATCACCATGTTGGCCAGGCTGGTCTCCAACTTCTGACCTCAAGTGATCCACCAGCCTCAGCCTCCCTCAGTGCTGAGATTTCAGGTGTAAGCCACCACGCCCGGCCCTAGTATAAATTTCTTTTTGCTTCTTCAAAATTTTTTTTTAAAATAAAGAAGGGTTTCACCACATGCCCAGGGTGGTCTCGAACTCCTGGACACAAGTGATACACCCACCTTAGCCTCCCAAAGTGCTGGGATTACAGGCATGAGCCATTGAGCCCAGACCTTTCTTCAGAATTTCATGAGTAGAAGATTCATTCTTACTGTACATCTTAGTAACCTCGGAATATGAGTTTTTTCTTTTCTTAACAGCTTTCACCTGTTCACTTAAAGAAGGCATTTTCTGGCTTTTCTTTGGATATTTAAAATGCCGACATCATTACTCTTATGCTTTGAGGGTCATTAAGCAAAATAAGGGTGACTCAAATACAGGCACTGCAAGACTGCCAACAGTTGATCTAAGAATCAAGATGACTACTAGGTGACTAACCGGTGGGTAGTGTAGACGGTGTAGATACACTACTATATCCACAGTATGTATCTACACTGCATAAAGGGATGATTCATGCCCAGGACAGAAGCAGCGTAAGATTGCAAGATTTCACCTCGTTACTCAGAACAGCATACAATTTAAAACTTATGGATTATTTCTGGAATTTTCCATTTAATATTTTCAGACCACAGGTAACTGAAACAGCAGGAAGCGAAACTATGGATATGAAGGGACTACTGTAAATGTTTTAGTATCACTTTTAGATGCCATACACTAATTAAGACACAATTGTGGATGAGGGTATTACAGAAGAGCCTGACTGGTCTAAAGTTCCTCCCCATCCCCTTTTTGTCTCCTCAGAGATTAATGGTTTGCCTCATGAGCCCCAGTGACTCTATAGCATAGAGGGTTCCCAGAGCCCTCTACATACCTTCAGTTGTATCACACAAATTGTAAGTGTGAGTGCCGGGTCATCTTTAACTCCCCAGCAACTACTACATTTATGTTAAGTGGGACTGTGGAAAAGTGTCAACATAATTTTCACTTGAGGTAACTAAGAATCAGCTGTTTCTTTTCCTTTTTCCTTTCCTTTATTTAGAGACAGGGTCTCACTCTGTTGCCCAAGCTGATGCACAGTAGCAGGATCATAGCTCACTGCAGCCTCAAACTCCTGGGTGATCTTCCCACCTCAGCCTCCTGAGTATCTGGGACTAAAGGAACTCACCACCACGGCCAACTAATTTTTTTATTTTTTATTTTGTAGAGATGGGGTTCTAACTACATCGACTAGGCTGGTCTTGAACTCTTGGCTTCAAGCAATCTTCCTGCCTCGGCCTCTCAAAGTGCTGGGATTACAGGTGTGAGCCACCACACCCAGCCAAAAATTTGTATTTTAAAGTAAGTATTACCTTCATAGTTGAAGAACATCATAATTAAAATCTTAAATAAGATGCCCAACTTCCATTTATTTAAAAAAAAAATCCGCCAAGCTTATCCAAAATAAAAGCAACTGTGGCATACAGCCTTCCTATATCAAGTCTGGTACCTGGGTCTGCTGCAATGACATCTCCTGAGAGCTGATTAGGAATGCAAAATCTCTCAGGCCCCACTCCAGACCTATTCAAAGTCAGTATTTTAACAAGATCCCCTGAATTGATCTGAATTCATGATAAAATCTGAGAAGTACTGGTTTATAAGAAATTACTTGACACAGTCTGAACATCAGTTCAAGATCCACATAAAAAACAAAAATATGGGCTGCACGTGGTAGCTCACGCCTGTAATCCCAGCACTTTGGGAGGCCAAGGCAGGCAGATCACCTGAGGTCAGCAGTTCGAGACCAACCTGATCAACATGGAGAAACCCCGTCTACTAAAAATACAAAATTAGCCGGGCCTGTGGTACATGCCTGTAACCCCAGCTACTCGGGAGGCTGAGCAGGAGAATTGCTTGAACCTAGGAGGTGGAGGCTGCAGTGAGCCAATACTGCACCACTGCACTCCAGCCTGGGCAACAAGAGTGAAACTGTGTCTCAGAAAAAAAGATACGAGCTAGGTGACTTAAGTAGCTTGTTTAATCTATCTGAATCTCAGTTTAACTGTAATAAGACACATTATTTTGAGATTGAACTTATCTGCAGATGTAAAATTGTAAACTGCTCTACAATATAACAAATTATTAGTTCTTACTTGTCAGTCTTAACATGATGACATGCTGAAAAGTCAACGACTTGCTTAAGTATATAAATAATTCCAGGGCAATCAATGCTATTTCTCCAACCTTCTCGGAGTAACCGAGGATAAGACAGGTAGGGAGATGGGAGGGAATGGACCCCAAACTACACACAGTAGATACCTCTTGGGAGGGTAGTTATTTGGGGGTATGGGGGTAAAAGGAGACTTCTACATTTCGTTCTGTATCTTTTATGATTCATAAATTGTTTTTGGTTTTCTCAAAGATTGCTACAGTTATGTGCTGCTGTTTAAAATAAGTCCAAGAGGCTGGTCGCAGTGGCTCAAGCCTGTAATCCCAGCACTTTGGGAGGCCGAGGCAGGCGGATCACAAGGTCAAGAGATCGAGACCATCCTGGCCAACATGGTGAAACCCCATCTCTACTAAAAATACAAAAATTAGCTGGGCATGGTGGTGGGCACCTGTAGTCCCAGCTACAAGGGAGACTGAGGCAGGACAATCGCTTGAACCCGGGAGGCGGAGGTTGCAGTAAGCCGAGATTGCACCACTGCACTCCAGCCTGGTGACAGAGCAAGACTCCATCTCAAAAAATAAATAAATAAATAAATAAATAAATAAATAAATAAATAAATAAATTACAATAAGTCCAAGAGAGGAGGAGGGCAGGAGTTAGGATCCCATCTCCACTCAATGAAGCACCAATGAATTGGCCTCATTTTAGTCCTTCCTCCATGGCAGATCCAAGCCACAGGGAAGGCAGCAAACAGTGGTGGTTGTGAGAAGGTGCCCAGGCAGTGGAGGCTGTTACACACGACTCACTAGCCATTCCAAAGACAGCAGAGAGGGGACCCAGAGGGGCTGCTTATTTCTCGTGAGAGAACCACAGGTCCATCTATGATAGTGGCATCACATCTCCCCAGTGCTGGGATCCCCAGTGGATGTGCACCACCAGTGCCATCATTAGCACCCCCTCTCCCTCCTTGCGGAAGCTGCTGCAGGAAGGAGCACTGTGGGGACAAAGCTGACGCTGGCTTCCAGGTGCCTACTCCTACCTATATTCTTCCAGCACAAAATTTGCTAATCATGAAAATATTTCATAGTGACTTGTTAAATGCCCCTCTTCTAACAAATCTTTTTTTTTTCTTTTTTGAGACAGAGTCTAGCTCTGTCGCTCAGGCTGGAGTGCAGTGACACAAACTCAGCTCACTGTAGCCTCTATCTCCCAAGTTCAAGCAATTCTTGTGCCTCAGCCTCCCGAGTAGCTGGGATTACAGGCGCATGCCACAACCCTCGGCTTTTTTTTTTTGAGACAGTTTCACTCTTGTTGCCCAGAATGTAGTGCAATGGCGTGATCTCCGCTCACTGCAACCTCCACCCTCCCGGGCGGGTTTAAACGATTCTCCTGCCTCAGCCTCCCGAGGAGCTGGGATTACAGGCATGCACCACCAAGCCCAGCTAATTTTTGTATTTTTAGTAGAGATGAAGCTCACCATGTTGGTCAGCCTGGGCAACACAGCAAGACGCAACCTCAAAAAAAAAAAAAAAATTTAGGCTGTTTTCAAACGAATATTTAGTCCATTTTGCTCTTAGCACTCTAGGTTAATCATTAGGGAAATTACTTATCACAGTATAAATATTATTGTATGTTTGAATATAACATTGAACTCTGCTGAAGACGAAGACTCCAGGACCAATTTGACCATGATTTATCAGGTTCATTATATGTATACTGCTGGCTGAAAACATACTAAAAATAGGTTTTTCCTATATCAAGAGTCAGCAAAAACTTCAACCAAACTCACAAAACGGAGAGAGCATACAATCTTCTTCCCTGGTCTAACTCTACTTTTATTCTACATGCCTTTCAAAATCCTACTGCTGATTACATGAAATACTCAACCGGCTCATGTTTTACATTAAGGAATTATGAAGAATCTTACATCCTTTGGGTGAGCTTTTCATAGGCATAAAACACAAATCATGTTTTACAATAATTATAATACTACCTTTATAAGGTAAAACCTCTTTTAGTAAATGTTACCTTAATGAGCACTCACTAAAAAAAAAAAAAAAAAAAAAAAATTCCCTACCAGATCCCCTCAATTAATTAGACAGAAAATGAGGGACTGTGTTAAGACAAAGCCTTGGTCCTAAGGAGCTCTAATGGGCGAGAGAGAGAGATGTTAATAAACTGAAGCTAAAAGGTGAACTACAATCTAAACTATCTGATCAGAAAAAAATAAAAAATGAAGTGGACAACATAAATTAAGTATAACTGGAAAAGTATACAAAAGCCTCTATGATCACCACACAAAGTAACTAGCACACATAATTTGAAGAAACACCAACCTTTAAGTAGACAACAGATATTTGATTGAATAATACTAGTTAAACACTATCTTAGTATCATTCAAGAGAATGTCTACTGCCCAGGCACGGTGGCTCACACCTGTAATCCCAGTACTTTGGGAGGTCGCAGTGGGCGAGTCACTTGAGGCCAGAAGTTTGAGACCAGCCCGGTCAACATGGTAAAACCCCATCTCTACCAAAAGTACAAAAATTAACTGGTGTGGTGGCACACGCCTGTAATCCCAACTACTTGGGAGGCTGAGGCACTAGAATTGCTTGAACCCAGGAGGCAGAGGTGAGATCACGCCACTCATTGCATTGAGCCGAGACTGTACGCCAGCCTGGGTGACAGAGCGAGACTCTGACTTTAAAAAAAAAAAAAAAGTCCGGGCGGGGTGGCTCATGCCTGTAATCCCAGCACTTTGGGAGGCCAAGGAGAGCAGATCACAAGGTCAGGAGTTTGAGACCAACCTGGCCAACATAGTGAAACCCTGTCTCTACTAAAAATACAAAAATTAGCCGGCTGTGGTAGCACACACCTGTAGTCCCAGCTACTCAGGAGGCTGAGGCAACAAAATTGCCTGAATCCAGGAGGTGGAGGTTGCAGTGAGCCAAGACTACGCAACTGCACTCCAGCCTGGGGCAAAAGAGCGAGACTCCGTCTCAAAAAAAAAGAAAAGAAAAGAAAAGATGAATGCCCCCCTCCATACCTTTTCCATGCAGTTATTCCTTGGGGGCACACAAAGCCAACTACTAGTTGGGTGCAGTGGCTTGTGACTATAATCCCAGCACTTTGGAAGGCCAAAGCGGGAGGAAGGCTTGAGCCCAGACGCTTAAGGATGCAGTGAGCTATGATTGTGACACTGCACTCCAGCCTGGGTATCAGAGCAAGACTCTGTCTCTTAAGTAAAAAATAAATAAAAATAAAAATAGGCACTTGGTCTCAAGTCACCCGCTTGGCCCTCTTCCAAGTGTACTAAAAAATAAATAAATAAATCC
Source organism: Homo sapiens (assembly GCF_000001405.40). Classification (NCBI taxonomy): domain Eukaryota; kingdom Metazoa; phylum Chordata; class Mammalia; order Primates; family Hominidae; genus Homo; species Homo sapiens. The sequence goes on along the minus strand of NC_000011.10, from coordinate 119,213,627 downwards.
CTTTTTAAAAAAAACAAAACCAAAAAACTTACAAAGTATCTACTATTACAGAAGGCTCCATAACTGGATATTGCAGGAGACAAGCAGGTTACAGGTGCTACCCTCAAGGACTTTACAATCCTGAGAGGTTAAGATAAATACAGAAAAAATATTGACACATTTCACACACAGAAGAAAGATGTTTAAACTTAAGAGATCCTCATCACTTCAGACATATTTCTCCTATAGTCACATCACTTATATATCATTTATAATGTAATCTCCTAGAGTGTGACAATACCTACCACTATGCTTGTGTACACAAACACAGGAAGGTAAGAAGGAAGGGAGGGAGTGAAGTAGTAGTCCAATTAAATGCTATATACTAATTTGCAAATTCTAAGTGTATCTCACTTCCAAAATACAGGAAGTTTCCTAAGGTGCTTTTAGGAGGCACAGGGAAGGCAAGGTGGATAGGGTAAGGCAGGAAAAGTTAGAAGGAAGGAAATAATCATCTTTTAAAAATACTTTCTTGGCTGGGCGCAGTGGCTCAAGCCTGTAATCCCAACACTGTGGAAGGCTGAGGTGGGAGAATTATTTGAGCTCAAGAGTTTGAGACCAGCCTGGGCAACACTGTCAAGATTCTGTCTCTATTTTTTTTTTTTTCTTTTTTTTTGAGACGGAGTTTTGCTCTGTCACCCAGGCTGGAGGTCAGTAGCATGATCTTGGCTCACTGCAACCTCTGCCTCCTGTAGCCAGGACAGGCACCCGCCATCATGCTCAGCTAATTTTGGTATTTTGGTAGAGACGGGGTTTCACCATGTTGGCCAGGCTGGTCTCAAACTGCTGACCTCAGGTGATCCCCCAGCCTCAGCCTCCCAAAGTGCTGGGATTACAGGCGTGAGCCACTGTGCCCAGCCTGACCCTGTCTCTATTTTTAAAAATACTACTAGTTAATAATAATGAATAAAAATAAAATTTATTTATTTATTTATTTATTCATTCATTCATTTATTTATTTTGAGACAGAGTTTTGCTCTTCTTGCCCAGGCTGGCATGCAATGGTGCGATCTCGGCTCACCGCAGCCTCCGCTTCCCGGGTTCAAGGGATTCTCCTGCCTCAGCCTCCCGAGTAGCTGGGATTATAGGGATGCACCACCACACCCAGCTAATTTTTGTATTTTTAGTAGAGACAGGGTTTCTCCATGTTGGTCAGGCTGGTCTTGAACTCCTGACCTCAGGTGATCCACCCACCTCAGCCTCCCAAAGTGCTGGGATTATAAGCATGAGCCACCACACACCCGGCCAATAAAATATTTTTTTAATTCAAAAAAATGTAATTTTTTTTAAGCTCATGATTTTAAATGTATTTTTCTAATAAACTATACTCCATTTAAAAATCACCAATACCTTAATGTTTCAATTATATAAGCTAATTAAAAATAAAGGCTGGGCGTGGTGGCTCACTTTGGAAGACCGAGGCAGGCAGATCACCTGAGGTCAGGAGTTCGAGACCAGCCTGCCCAACATGGAGAAACCCCATCTCTACTAAAAATACAAAATTAGCCAGGCATGGTGGCACATGCCCGTAATCCCAGCTACTGGGGAAGCTGAGGCAGGAGAATCACTTGAACCTGGGAGGCAGGGGCTGCAGTGAGCCGAGATCATGCCATTGCACTCCAGTCTGGGCAACAATAGTGGAACTCCATCTCAAAAATAATAAAAAAAATAAAATAAAAATAAAATTCAAACCTAAAATAGATGCTCTACTTCAGGAGTGGGCAAATTAATCACCTGCATCCTTTTTTTGTGGCTTTCACATTTTTAAAGAGTCGTAACAACAACAACCGGGCACAGTGGCTCATGCTTTTAGTTCCAGTACTTTTGGAAGCTGAGGCAGGCAGATCACTTGAGGTCAGGAGTTCGAGACCAGCCTAGCCAACATGGCAAAACCTCATCTCTACTAAAAATACAAAAATTAGCTGGGTGTGCTGGTGGGCACCTGTAATCCCAGCTACTTGGGAGGCTAAGGCAAGAGAATTGCTTGAACCCAGGAGGCAGAGGTTGCAGTGAGCTGAGATGCCATTGCACTCCAGCCTGGGCAACAGAGGGAGCCTCTACCTCAAAAAATAAAAAATAAAAAGAGTTGTAACAATAACAACAAAGAACATGAGACTTAGTGTGTGCCCAGCAAAGTCTAAAATACAGTATCTCCCCGTATCTGAGGTTTCCATTACCTGCAGTACCATACAATAAGATTTTTTGTTGTTGTTTTTGAAACAGAGTTTCACTCTTGTTGCCCAGGCTGGAGTGCAATGGAGCAGTCTCAGCTCACTGCAACCTCCGCCTCCCGGGTTCAAGCAATTCTCCTGCCTCAGCCTCTCAAGTAGCTGGGATTACAGGCACCCACCACCATGCCCGGCTAATTTTTGTATTTTTAGTAGAGACAGGGTTTCACCTTTTTGGCCAGGCTGGTCTCGAACTCCTGACCTCAGATGATCCGCTTGCCTCGGCCTCCCAAAGTGCTGGGATTACAGGCATGAGCCACCGCGCCCAGCCTACAATAAGATATTTTGGAAGACTACATTTATATAACTTTTACTACAGTGTATTTTGTAATTGTACTCTTTCATTATTGTTGTTGTTAATCTCTCACTGTGCCTAATTTATAAATTAAGCTTTATCATAGGTAGGTATGTATAGGAAAAACATAGTATATGTACACGGTTCAGTACTATTGGGGGTTTTCAGGCATCCACTGGGTGTCTTGAACATATCCCCTAGAATAATGGAGGATTACTGTATTTACAGTGGCCCTGAAACCTCCCTTTACAGAAAAAGTTTGCCAACCTCTGTTCTATTTCATAATGGAATTTAAAGTCTCTTACTAAATTGAGCCAGGCGCGGTGGCTCATGCCTGTTATCCCACCTCAGCACTTTGGGAGGCTGAGGTGGGCAGATCAATTGAGGCCAGGAGTTCGAGAGCAGCCTGGCCAACATGGTGAAAATCCGTCTCTAGTAAAAAAAAAAAAAAAAAAAAAAAAATTGAAAAATTAGCCAGGTGTGGTGGCGCATGCCTATAATCCCAGCTACTTGGTGGCTGAGGCACGAAAATCATTTGAACCTGGGAGGTAGAGGAAACAATGAGCCGAGATCATGCCACTGCATTCCAGCCTGGGTGACAGAGCAAATAAATAAATAAATAAAGTCTCTTACTAAATTAAACACTTTGATACTTTTAAATTTACATTTAAAGCAATTTATTTGTTTTTGAAACAGGGTGTCACTCTGTTGCCCAGGCTGGAGTGCAGTGGCTGACTCAACAGCTCATTGCAGCCTCTATCTCCCAAGCTCAAGTGATCCTCCCAAGCAGCTCGAGCTTAGAGGAAGGCACCACCACGCCTGGCTAATATGTGTATTTTTTGTAGAGACAGGGTTTCGTCATGTTGCCCAGGCTGGTCTGGAATTCCTGGGCTGAAGCTGGGATCAAATGATCTGCCTACCTCATCCTCCCAAAGTGTTGGGATTACAGGTGTGAGCCCAGCATACATTTAAGGCCAATTTAGGTGACTTTTTCTCTTTTCTCTCCACTTCCCACTCCTCTCCTCCCTGCCTAATTGTCTTTTGGCTTACAAGCCACTTCACATACAAGTATTTATGCACATGTTTATTACAATATCCTGGGGTGGCAAAAAGAAAACCAGTGGCTCTGTCTAACTTTTGTTTAATAACAAGCATTCTAGCACAAACATTTTTCCAACAGTTAAGTTTAAGTTCCATAATGGATTAGTAAATCGGGCCTATGTTAACCAGAACCCATGACTTATGCCAACTTTTTCCATCTGTATATATCCAATATTGGGGGAAGGAAAGAGACTAACAGCTCCCAGTGCTAATTCAATAAACTGATTAAGAGTTGGCTGGAATAATATTCATCCAGCTTCAACAACAAAGATAAAGCAGGTATGAGATGGTGACTTAGAACTAAATGTGTGTCATTTAAAAGAATTAAACAGACTTTTTTTTTTTTTTGAGACGGAGTCTCACTCTGTCGCTCAGGCTAGAGTGCAGTGGTGCGATCTTGGCTCACTGCAACCTCTGCCCCAGGTTCAAGGGATTCTCCTGTCCCAGTCTCCCAAGTAGCTGGGATTACAGGCGTCTGCCACCACACCCAGCTAATTTTTGTATTTTTTAGTAGAGGCAGCATTTCACCATGTTGGCAGAGCTGGTCTGGAGCTCCTGACCTCAAGTGAGCCGCCCACCTCGGCCTCCCAAAGTGCTGGGATTACAAGCGTGAGCCACGGGGCCCGGCCCAGAAATTTTGTTAAAAAGAATTAAATGTGTGGGACATCTGTGGATTTGACAGTAGGTTCTTCACCACTTATAGCACATGAAGTCAAGGTGTGGTGACACATTTAAGACTTTCAACAATAAAAATAAAGTGAAAAAAGAGGACACCTTATGCTCAAAACATCAAGGGTAAAAGAGATGGTGCAATCTAGTAACATCACAGAGGTATTCAGAAAATCTGGAAAGCAGTATAAACGTATCAGACTAACACATTAGAAAGTACTACGTTTTCAGAGCAACTAGAAATACGTGATAAGAGGGGAACAGACAGTATTAAAATCAACTTCCGAGGCAAGTAATACAAAAATAAAACATCCCTCTCCCTACACTGGAAGGGAAAAGCTAGAAGCCTACTTTCCGTGAAACTATCAAACCTGAAAAGCAATTTGAGTCTAAACTTTGAGTCCTCTTTATTCTTCCCAAATAATTAAACATTCTGCAGAATAAATCAAAATTCAATACACATACTTTAAATAGATGAAGGAGTAAGACTTAAGGGAGGATTTTATTTGGGCTACCTTGTAGAATAGGACTATCTACAACTTACTCTGTATTTATAGAAACACTTTAATAAGAATACAGAATACTCTTATTCTTTAAGAATACAGGGCCAGGCCCAGTGGCTCACACCTGTAATCCCAGCACTTTGGGAGGCCGTGGCGCATGGATCACCTGAGGTCAGGAGTTCGAGACGAGCCTGGTCAACATGATGAAACCCCGTCTCTACTAAAAATACAAAAAATTAGCTGGGCGTGGTGGCGCGCACCTGTAATCCCAGCTACTCGGGAGGCTGAGGCACGAGAATGTCTTGAACCCAGGAGGCGGAGGTTGCAGTGAGTCGAGATCGCACCATGCACTCCAGCCTGGGTAACAAGAGCGAAAAACTCCGTCTCAAAAAAAAAAAAAGAATACAGAATACAGAAACTCTTTAGTAAACAGATTATTCTTAAGCAGAGGCCACTAATCAACACAATTTTGATTGTACTGCACCCACATGTCTGATACGAGACACTCATTAGAAAAGTATTTTTTCTATGCCAGAGTAAAATTTGTAGTCCTTAACGATAAATCCCTAAAAAGCAAACTAACAAACTTTAGCATTTGAATATCTTCGATGTGTTTTTTTTAAAGGAGTCGACACATTTAAAGTTTCCTTTACACACCTAAACTTTCTGTAAGGATTTTATTATAATTTCTAACAATAAAATTAGTACTACACCACCAATATAATCAACACACGAATACTTGTGTCATTAATTACAATACCAATTATTTAACATGAGAAAAGCCAGCCCTAAAAAGGTGGCTATGAAACCACTGGCATGCACTACTGGAGTGTTAATTCACACACAGGACTTATTAAGCATTTAAATTGCACATTACATTGGCTAAGTGCTTCATAATCATTTTATTAGCGGTTTCTAGTCCAAAGCAACCCATGAAGAACTTTACAGAAGAGGAACCGAGGCCCAGGGAGGAACCAAAGAAAACCAAATTTTACCCTGGAGGAAATAACACCATTCTCTTAAAACGTGCCAGATACTTCTAATCACTTTTCATACGCAATATGAATTTTGTCAAAGTAATTAATTAAAGAATATGAAAAATACCAAGAAAACGTATTGAATTCTGACAAAGCGTCCGACTGCTTAAACAGTTAAATACTTGAGACTGACTACATTTCATCATATAGACACAACTATAAGGAAGTAAAATTCTCCCAAATGACAAACTTAGTGGCTAAATATAAAGGAGTTATTTTTGTTCGCACTTGCAAAAAGCAAACAAACAAAAAAGCGTAATCAAAGAAGCTCAACGAACAAGTTTAAAGTCAGGACCTGTAATAAGGAGTCAGAACCGTTACCAGAAAAAAAGAACCCAGCTCAAGCGATGTAGTAGGGAGGAAGTTATTAAGAAGTCAGAATCTGCTGCTGCTTAACAGGCTCAGCCAGTCCATCTTTCAGAAGATAATAGTTCTAACCAGAACTTGTGGTTTAATCAGTGCATATCTCAGCACCAGCAATGGATCACATCCAGTGTTTCTGAGGGTAACAAAAAACTTGAGCCGGCGCTAGATGGGGAGGAAAGTTCTTTCCTTGCCTCACTTAAACATCAATATGTCTTTTATCTTCGTGTTACATCTTAATGAGAAAGGACTATACTCTCACCCAGAGCACAGCTTCCCTGAGAGCTGTCCTGACCCCAGCCAGGTTCCTCAGTCAGAGCCCATGAACCTAATTCCCTAGTCAGATCTCACCCAGCCAAGAGCCCCAGCCGGTACATCACTCTTCCTCACCCCCTCCCTGCTAACCTCCCAGGCCAATTCCGTGACCTACATCCCTACACCCTGCACAGAGCCCCAAACTCCGCACCCCTCATTGTACTTCCGCCCCACTGACTTCCCAGTTAACCTTCGCCCCAGCCCCCACTCCATCTTTGTCTGGCTACCCCAAACGCGGCACCCCAGCGTTCCCCGACTCCCAACGGCAGCCCCTCCCCCACGCCGCCCCCCACCCTCCCGGCCTCGTCCCTGCCCCCACGCCCCCGGCCGGTCACCCCGGCTCCGCGCCTCCCCGGCTTCACCAGACCCGTCCCCTCCCCCGCTTCCTCCGTCCGCTCGTTCCCCTCCCCGCGGCCCTCCGCCCACGCCCACCCTGCAACAGCGGGCGCTCAGCCGGCCTTTCACCTTGTCCATGAGCTTCCAGCACTTCTCCACCATCTTCTTGTCCACCGTCCCCGGCGGGTGGGGGCTGAGGTGGTGGTGGTGGTGGTGGTGCGGCTGGAAGGCGTCCTTCATGAGCCCAATCAGGCCACCCGAACCCGAGCCCCCGGAGCCGCTGCCGCCCCCGGCCCCAGAGCTCTTCTTCACGTTGCCGGCCATGGCCTGGGCAGGGTCGGAGCCCAGGCGGGTCCGCCGGCTCGGCTCGACTGCGAGCGAGGGAGAGAAGCAGGGCGTGAAGGAGGGGCCTCTCCCGGCCGCCGCCGCCGCCGCCGCCGCCGCCGCCGCCGGCTATCCGGGCGGAGGGAGGAGCGGCCGTGGGGAGGGGAGTGGGCGGCGCCGGGAGTGCGCGGGACGCGCCCCTTCAGAGCGCGCGAGCCCGGGGCGGGCGGGGCGCGTCCCGGAGGCGGACCGGCTTACTGGTAAGCTCGGGGAAGCGGCCGGCCGCGGCCGGACTGGGCAGCGACGATCCCCGGGCCACCGGCTTCGAGCAGCTCGCGTGCCCACAGCTCCCGGAAAGCCGCGGCCAGGTTTCTGTGCCCGTCTTCCCCGCCCCTACGCCGGGGCGGGGCGGGGCCAGGCTGGGGCGGGGTCGGCGGAACCTTTGGGCCTGCGCCCTCTGCTGGAGAAACGGGGAAAGGAGCGGCGGGGGGTTGGGGAGTAGGTCCAAGGTGGAGTCTGCGCAGTAGCCAGAAACCAAGACTTCCATGCTCCTTGTGGGCGGGAGGTTGGCGCTTCTGGGGTGGGTCATGGGAATGTTTAAATTAAGACAGGTGGCGATGGAATGGAAGAGTCCTGATGTCAAGTCTTTCCCCACCCCTGACAAATGAGGAAATCGAGCTTAGAGTTATTTGTTTATTTACACTGTGGGAGGATGGTGGGAGAAAAAGGAAAGTTATTTCTCCACCCCTTATTATTTTCAATTCTTCATTAAGACACGACCAAGGACAGGAATATGAATGCTGCGGCCCATTCCAGCCGGATTAGGCCCCAGAAAGCCTTGAGACACTCAAGCCAGGACCTCTTCTTCCAGGCCCTTTGACCTCTTGAAAAGAAATCACTTCCTTTTTTTATTTTTTATTTTTATTTTTTTGGCTTGTGAAGACTAGTTACGTTTCTGGGAATTGAATCTCAAACATGTATTTAAGATTCTCCTACTCAGAGCATTGCACCACAGGTCGGCGCCGCCAGCATGAGGGCCCCCTCAGAAGCTGACCTGCTGCTGGCTCCGCCCGAGGGGGTTCTCTCTCCCGCCCAGGGAACAGAAATGCTGTTCCTGGTCACTTCCACTTCTCAGTCAATTACACTTCTCTAATGTAAAAGTTCCGTTGGAAGAACTTTGAAAATAGGAACTTCCCTTCCAAAGAGGGAAGTGCCCTGCCCTAATTTACTAATTCTGAGCCTCAGTTTTGGGAGTTTGCAGACCCAGGTGTGTCAGTATCAGTTCCGCCTTCGATCCCCCTCCAGGCTCTTCCACAAAGCCCTTGACAGATTAGGGAGTTAAATTTATCCGGTGCTCCTGTAAAGGGGAAAATATCTTTGAATGCAGGGACCATTCAGACAGGCATCCTGGGTTTGCAATTTAATCGCCTTTATCTAGAATTGATTTTGGAGTCAACATTATAATTTACTATCAGAAGAATTTCCTTTTATCATTTTCCATCCAGGAAGAGAAGAATCTACAAAGGGAAAATCTAGGCAAAGCTCCATCCCTTAGTGCCAACACCTAGTTGCAGGTCCTCCGTTTCTTTTCCCTGGACTATTGAATATTGAAACCTTTTCCTGTGCCTTCAATTCATCCTGCCACCATAGGCTTCCTAAAGTATAGTTCAGACAGCATCGCAAAAAAACTTTAAACACCTCCCATTGCCTCGGGAATAAAATTGACAAGTTGCTCTAACTCCAAGCTAAACAACCTTGTAGTTTTATACTACTCCCTGGTACACATGTCTTATGCTAGCTGACTCACCAAGTCATCAAATACAATTATTTCTTTTTTATTTATTTATTTATTTTATTTTATTTTGAGACAGAGTCTGTCACCCAGGCTGGAGTGCAGTGGCACAATCTTGGCTCACTGCAACTTCTGCCCCCCGAGTAGCTGGGATTACAAGTGCCCGCCACCACACCTGACTAATTTTTGTATTTTTAGTAAAGATGAGATTTCACCATGTTGGCCAAGCTGGTCTTCAACTCCTGACCTGAGGGGATCTGCCCTCCTCAGCCTCCCAAAGTGCTGAGATCATGGGTGTGAGCCACCGCACCTGGCCAATTCTTTCTTTTCTCATCACCGTTACTCAGACTATTCCCTTATTCCATCTGCCTGAAGTATGCTTTAAAATCCAATCCATTCGGCCCAGCACAGTGGCTCACACCTGTAATCCCAGCACTTTGTGAGGCCGAGGGAGGCGGATCACCTCAGGTCAGGAGTTGGAGACCAGCTTGGCCAACATGGTGAAATCTTGTCTTTACTAAAAATAAAAAAATGAGGCCGGGCGTGGTGGCTCACGCCTGTAATCCCAGCACTTTGGGAGGCCGAGGCAGGTGGGACACGAGGTCAGGAGATCGAGACCATCCTTGGCCAACATGGTGAGACCCCATCTCTACTAAAAATACAAAAAAAATAGCTGGGTGTGGTGGCGCACGCCTGTAATCCCAGCTACTCAGGAGGCTGAGGCAGGAGAATCGCTTGAACCCAGGAGCCAGAAGTTGCAGTGAGCCCAGATTGTGCCACTGCACTCTAGGCTGAGCGACAAGAGTGAGACTCTGTCTCAAAAACATAAATAAACAAATAAATAAATAAAGTTAATAAGAAAAGGAAGATTACCCTTTTTTTTACCTTTTTTTTTTCTTTGAAACAGAGTCTCGCTCTGTCACCCAGGCTGGAGTACAGTGGTGCAATCTTGGCTCACTGCAACCTCCACTTCGGGTTCAAGCCATTCTCCTGCCTCAGCCTCCCGAGTAGCTGAGACCATGCCCAGCTAATTTTTTGTATTTTAATAGAGACAGGGTTTCACCGTGTTGCTCAGGCTGATCTCAAACTCCTGAGCTCAGGCAATCCACCCACCTCGGCCTCCCAAAGTGCTAGGACTATAGGCGTGAGCCACCGTGCCCTGCCACAATTTTTATTTCGCTTGCTTTAGAAAATGTACAAGAGAGGGGGTTGGACTGTTGATCACAATGTCATTCCCATTCTGGATTATGCTAGAGTTGGTTCATCCTGCATCACATCGTGTAACATGTAGCCTTTTTCTTATCCCACTTCACCTTCACCCCAAACCACATCCTCATTCTGCACCTGAAAGTCCATTGACTGGGCCGGGCACAGTGGCTCACGCCTGTAATCCCAACACTTTGGGAGGCCGAGGCGGGCGGATCAACTGAGGTCAGGGGTTTGAGACCAACCTGACCAACGTGGCGAAACCCCGTCTCTACTAAAATACAAAAATTAACCAGGCGTGGTGGTGGGCACCTGTAATCCCAGCTACTCTGGAAGCTGAGACAGGAGAATGCCTTGAACCTGGGAGGCAGAGGTTGCAGTGATCCGAGATCGCACCACTCCACTTCAGCCTGGGCACAGAGCGAGACTCCATCTCAAAACAAAAAAAGGAAAGTCCATTGACTGAACGTATTTGGAAACTATATTCTCTTCTGAGGTATAGTTGCTTGTATTCTGCAATCTCTATTCTAATATCATTCTATGCATCAGGATGAGAAAAGAAAAATAGCTTAAAGCAGTCTGAACTATGTGAGGTATGCAAAATTATCAGGCCCAGCGAGACATGAGTATGGGACTTCAGTCACAAATCCCCGACCCATGCCTGGGGGCAATGGTTTAAAGGCATTTGGTCCCTGACTAGCTGCCTCACCCATTATCTTCATGTTCGTGGAATCTGTGACACAAAGAACAACGTACAGCCAATCAAATACCTTACGCTGTGTTAATGTAAGTGATTGGCAAACAGTTTAGGAACTGCCTCTTCTATTTATTTATTTATTTATTTATTTTCGGTGGGGTGGTGGTAGTCGCAAGTTGCCCATGCTGATCTTAAATTCCTGGCCTCAAGCTATCCTCCTGCCTGGGCCTCCCAAAGTGCTAAGATTACAGGCATGAGCCACCACACCTGGCCTCTTTTTTCCTTTAAAAACACACTTGTTGGCCAGGCCTGTAATCTCAGCACTTTGGGAGGCGGATCACAAGATCAGGAGTTCAAGACCAGCCTCGCCAAGATGGCGAAACGCTGACTCTATTACAAATACAAAAAATTAGCCGGACGTGGTGGTGGGCGCCTGTAATCTCAGCTACTCGGGAGGCTGAGGCGGGAGAATCACTTGAATCAGGAGGCAGAGGTTGCAGTGAGCCAAGATCGCACCACTGCACTCCAGCCTGGGCAACAAGAGTGAAACGCCATCTCAAAAAAAAAAAAAAAAAAAAAACCCCACACACGTTTGTAACTGCTATTAATCTGATAATCTGAGCCTATTGTCCAGGGCAACTTGAATCTACGCTCCTGGATTGCTGTCCTCAAAATTGGTCCAAGTAAACTCTCTACTTAAATTTGTGCCAGTTTTTTCCTTTATGTTAACAAGTATAATGGGGACAGTAATCATTCCATGGGAAAAAAGTTCCCAGACCAAGCAAGGTAGCTCCTGCCTGTAGTCCCAGCACTTCGGGAGGCTGAGGCAGATGGATTGCTTGAGCCCAGGAGTTCGAGACCAGGATGGGCAACATAGCAAAACCCTGTCTCTATAAAAAATACAAAAATTTGCTGGGCGCAGTGGCTCATGCCTGCAATCCCAGCACTTTTGTTACAGGAAAGGGGTCCTGATCCAGATCCCAAGAGAGGGTTCTTGGATCTCGCACAAGAAAGAATTCAGGGCAACTCCATAGAGTAAAGTGAAAACAAGTTTATTAGGAAAGTGTTGGAATAAAAGGATGGTGACTCCATAGACATAACCATGTTTATGGTTATTTGTTGATGATATGCTAAACAAGGGGTGGATTATTCATGCCTCCCCTTTTTACACCATACAGGGTAACTTCCTGATGTTGCCATGGCATTTGTAAACTGTGATGACGCTGGTGGGAGTGCAGCAGCGAGGACGACCAGAGGTCACTCTCGTCGCCATCTTGGTTTTGGTGGGTTTTGGCCAGCTCCTCTACTGCAACCTGTTTTATCAGCAAGGTCTTTATGATCTGTATCTTGTGCCAACCTCCTATCTCATCCTGTGACTTAGAATGCCTTAACCTTCTGGGAACACAGCCCAGTAGTTCTCAGCCTCATTTTACCCAGCTCCTCTTCAAGGTGGAGTTACTCTGGTTCACACACCCCTGACACTTGGAGACCAAAGCGAGCAGATCACCTGAGGTTGGGAGTTCGAGACCAGCCTGGGCAGCATGGTGAAACCCCATCTCTACCAAAAACACAAAAATTAGCTGAATGTCGTGGCACATGTCTGTAATCCTAGCTACTCTGGAGACTAAGGCACAAGAATCTCTTGAACCCGGGAAGCGGAGGTTGCGGTGAGCTGAGATCGCACCACTGCACTCCAGGGCAAAAGAGTGAGACTGTCTCAAAAAAACAAATAGGCCGGGCGCAGTGGCTCACGCCTATAATCCCAACACTTTGGGAGGCCGAGGCAAGCAGATCACCTGAGGTCAGTAGTTTGAGACCAGCCTGGCCAACATGGCAAAACCCTGTCTCTCCTAAAAATACAAAAATTAGCCAGGCGTGGTGGCAAGCACCTGTAGTCCCAGCTACTTGGGGAAGCTGAGGCAGGAGAATCGCTTGAACCTGGGAGGTGGAGGTTGCAGCAAGCCAAGATCACGCCACTGCACTCCAGCCTGGGCAACAAGAGCGAGACTCCATCTCAAACAACAACAACAACAAACAAACAAAAAATTAGCTGGGAGCAGTGTGTGCGTCTGTAGTCCCAGCTACTGTACTCCCAGCTGGGAGCAGTGTGTGCGTCTGTAGTCCCACCATGCTGAGGTGGGAGGATCACCTGAGCCAAGGAGATTGAGGCTGCAGTAAGCCGAGATCGCGCCACTGCACTCCAGCCTGGGCCACAGAGCGAGACTCTGTCTCAAAAAGAAAAAAAAGAAAGAAAGAAAAACCTCCCAAACAGGCTTCTAGATGAGGAGGACAGGGACAGGTACCCCCACTGCATTACAGCACAGGAGAAGGAGGTGGTGGAGGGAGAATAAATGAAAAACATGCTCAAGATTAGAAGAAGCTGGTCTGATGGTACTGGGTTATCAGAACTTATTAACATTAGTGTCATGTCAAAGAAAAGAGTCAAACTCTGTAAAATATTTGAAGAGATTTATTCTGAGCCAAATATGAGTGACCAATGGCCCGTGACACAACTCTCAAGACATCCTGAGAACAAGTGCCGAAGGTGAACAAGCTACAATTTGGCTTTATACATTTTTTTTTCAGACGGAATTTCACTCTTGTTGCCCAGGCTGGAGTGCAATGGCGCGATCTCGGCTCACTGCAACCTCCGCCTCCCGGGTTCAAGAGATTCTACTGCCTCAGCCTTCCAAGTAGCTGGGATTATGGGCGCCCACCACAATGCTTGGCTAATTTTTTGCATTTTTAGTAGAGACAGGGTTTCACCATGTTGGCTAGGCTGGTCTTGAACTCCTGACCTCAGGTGATCCACCTGCCTTGGCCTCCCAAAGTGCTGGGATGACAGGCGTGAGCCACTGCACCGGCTTGCTTTATATATAAATTTTAAGAAAACATAAGACATCAATCAATATATGTAAGATGTACATTGGTTCAGTCTAGAAAGGCAGGACAACTGGAAGCGAAGAAGCGGGCAAGAGAATTAGGGTTAGAGTTAGGGTTCCAGGTCATACGTGGATTCAAAGATTTTCCAATTGACAATTGCTTGAAAGAGTTATTATCTAAAGACCTGGAATCAATAGAAAGGAATGTCTGGGTTACAATAAGGGGTTGCAGAGACCAAGGGTTTTTTGTTTTTGTTTTTGTTTTTTTGACAGAGTTTTGCTCTTGTTGCCCAGGCTGGAGTGCAGTGGCGCAATCTCGGCTCACCACAACCTCCACCTCCCGGGTTCAAGCGATTCTCCTGCCTCAGCCTCCAAAGTAGCTGGGATTACAGGCACCCGCCTCCACACCCGGCTAATTTTTTGTATTTTTAGTAGAGACAGGGTTTCGCCACGTTGGGCAGGCTGGTCTCAAACTCCTGACCTCAGGTGAATCCACCTGCCTTGGCCTCCCAAAGTGTTGGGATTACAGGAGTGAGCCACCGTGCCCGGCAAGAGACCAAGGTTTTATCATGTAGATGAAGCGTCCAGGTAGCAGGCCTCAGAGAGAATTGATTGTAAATGTTTTTTCTTCTTATCTTTTCTCTTTTTATTTTTTGAGACAGGGTGCCACTGCATTTCCCAGACTGGAGTGCAGTCACGTGATCATGGCTCACTGCAACCTCAACCTTCCCAGGCTCAGGTGATCCTCCCACCTCCGCCTCCCAAGTAGCTGGGACTACATATGCACACCACCAAACTGGGCTAACTTTTGTATTTTTTGTGTAGATGGGGTTTCACCACATTGCCCAGGCTGGTCTCAACCTTCTGGCCTCAAATGATCTGCCCGCCTCAGCCTCCCAAAGTGCTGAAATTACAGGCATGAGCCACCAGGCCTGTAAATGTTTCTTATCAGATTTAAAGAGTGTGTTCTATCAGTAATTCTAAAAGGGAGGAGGGTATGTTGAGGCATGTCCGGCTCCCCCTTCCCATCACGGCCTGAACTAGTTCTTCAGGTTCACTTTGGAAAGCCCTTGGCCTAGAGGAGGGGTCCACTCAGATGGCTGGCAGGCTTAGAATTTTATTTTTGGTTTATAGTCACTAAAGTTGGTATACAGGCGCCCACTACTAAATTCCACTGGCTTCAAAAATAAATAAATAAAAGATTAGAAGAAAAATATCCTCCAGATTTGGGAGATGTCCACAAGATTAGTTGACTCTGAGTTACAGGAGCTGGAAGCACTTGGGAAGTCAAGACTGGCTCTTCTCTTTGCTCTGTAAAATGCCCGGAAGTTCATGTAAGTGCCGTGCAGCCACCAAGGTGACAAGCATGAACCAGCCTCTGCCTAAAGTTACCCACTACCCAGAAGAAGGACTTTTCAATTCCAGATCTTGTGGCTTTTTTTTTTTTTTTTGAGATGGAGTCTTGCTCTGCTGCCCAGGCTGAAGTGCAGTGGCGCAATCTCTGTTTACTGCAACCTCCTCCTCCTGGGTTCAAGCGATTCTGCTGCCTCAGCCTCCCCAGTAGCTGGGATTATAGGCACGTGCCACCATGCCCAGCTAATTTTTGTATTTTTTAGTAGAGACAGGGTTTAATAATGTTGGCCAGGCTGGTCTCGAACTCCTGACCTCATGATCTGCCTGCCTCAGCCTCCCAAAGTGCTGGGATTACAGACGTGAGTCACCGCGCCCAGCCTCTTGTGGCTATTTCTACAGATCTGCTCCTGACAATAGGCAATGGACCAAAAATATTGAGGGTGACAGAGATGAAGAGAAGTACCTAAAGAAGGCCGGGCACAGTGGCTCGCGCCTGTAATCCCAGCACTTTGGGAGGCTAAGGCGGGTGGATCACGAGGTCAGGAGTTCAAGACCAGCCTGGCCAAGATGGTGAACCCCCATCTCTACTAAAAATACAAAAATTAGCCAGGCGTGGTGGTGGGCACCTGTATTCCCAGCTACTTGGGAGGCTGAGGCAGAGAATTGCTTGAACCTGGGAGGTGGAGGTTGCAGTGAGCCGAGATCACGTCACTGTACTCCAGCCTGGGCAACAAGAGCGAGACTCTGTCTGAAGAAAAAAAAAAAAAAAGATAGGCTGGTGCAGTGGCTCACGCCTGTAATCCAAGAACCTTGGGAGGCCAAGGCAGGTGGATCGCTTGAGGCCAGGAGTTTGAGACCATGCTGGACAACATGGTAAAACCCCATCTCTACAAAAAATACAAAAATTGGCCAGGTGTGGTGGCATGCGCCTGTAGTCCCAGCTACTCAGGAAGTTGAGGTGGGAAGATCACCAGAGCCCAGGGAGACTGAGGCTGTAGTGAGCCGTGATCATGCCACCGCACTCCAGCCTAGGTGACAGAGAGAGACACGGGAAAAAAAAAAAGAAACCTAAAGAAAAGAAAGGGTCTGCAGGTCCCCTAATCCAAAAGGAGAAAAGTCCTGAAGTTTTTGCTATTTTCACTCTAACCAGTATGGTGCCCAGAGATCCAAGTGGCAGATAAATGGCAAGCCTCCAGGATAGCACAGAGCTGGAGGGAAAGTGAGGGCTGCCTGACAAGGGAGGGCCACCCATCATACTCTCTCCCCAATGTTAATTCTTCCAGCCACTCCTGGCTCAAACAGGACGCTAAGAAGTATCCCCAAAGGGAGTCACCCCCACTGTTGCCCAGTAAATAATTTAAAAGCAAAAATGTAGGAAACTCAGGAGAAGGTCAAACAAGTCCACTAGAGGGAGCCCCAACCAACTCTATGCTACAGGGAGCCTCACAAAGCAATGTCTCAACACCTGTCTGAAAATCAACCACACAAGGGAATGGGGAAATGTAGCAATAGATTAAGTCACTAGGAGAGAAGATAGCCATGTAAACACGCAGCTAAAACACAGGCTTTTCAAGAGCTGCAAAATCAAACAATTAAAGATCAGGAAACTGATGCTGAGCAAAGTCAAATGGCTCGCCTCAGTTTACATATCCACAGTTGGGACTCAAACTCACATGTCTTGTCTCTAACCTGAGCTCTTTCCTCCACACTTGCATCCCTCTAGGTCAGTACCCTAGAGTCCATGGGTCCACTATTCCTCTGCGTCTCATTTCTCTGAAGTGGGAAACTCCCTGGACTACCTATTCCTGCACTTATTACCCTCATTCTACAGTGTACTGAAGAGGATCTTCGGTGGTCTGGGAGTTTTGTTTGTTTGAGACAGGGTCTCCCTCTGTCATCCAGGCTGGAGTGCAGTGGTGCAATCATAGCTCACTGCTGCCTCAACCTCCCAGGCTCAAGTGATTCTCCTGCTTCAGCCTCCCAAGTAGCTGAGACTACAGGTGTGCACCACCACACCAGGCTAATTTTTTAATTTTTTTGTAGAAATGAGGTCTCACTGTGTTGTCCAGGCTGGTCTCGAACTCCTGGCCTCAAGTAATCCTCCTGCCTCAGCTTCTCAAAATGCTGGGATTATAGGCACGAGCCACCGCCCCAGCTTAGATCTTCAGTTTTAAGCCTACTAATGTCATTTTGCTGGTGGGACCTCGGGATGTCAGTTGTCCAACATGGCTACTGTCAGTCCTTTTCCTCTGTATCAGCACCACATATTATCTCAGATGTGTACATCTGAATTTGGAAGTCTCCAAATTGCAGGCCATGTCTACATGGCAATGAATCATAACTAATCGACCTCCAAAGCCCTTTCTTTTCAAACTATACTTAGGATTTTGGGATAAGGAAAGAACTGACCCTTTGAGACCTTGATATTTTAAACTTTGTGAGCTGATTTAGCCCATTCCACCTTCCTGTGAACTCCATGTTTCCCAGTTGCCTGGACAACATACAGCCTCTGGAAACCCAACCTTCCAGCCCTCAGTCCTGCCCTCAAGAGAAATTTGCCACCAAGGATTGGCTCCCAGGACCCAGGCCCCGCCTCAGGCTCCTCGCTAGTTGGGCCTTCTCTCTGCCACTCCCCACGAGTGGGTCACTCCACGGGGAGCCCCAACGCTGGCAGGAGAGGATCCTACAGGTAGGAAGTGAGGGTTGAGGATGATGGGAAGAGGGAGGGGAGCAGGTACAGGGATTTCGTTTCTCTAAAAGAGAGTTGCAAGGAATGACTTCTGTACAGAGTCAGCCTGGTTGAGAGAAAAAACTCCATCCTCCCCACTGACCCCAACCCTGTCTGAGGTTCCAAAGAGACTGTGAACTGACTTTTCTGAAGGATATGAGAGACAAATTTGGACTCAGGAGAGTCTCCTGGTTCAGTCTAAAGCTCAGGAAAGCATCCCTGTGTCCAGACCTAAACATAAGGTCCCCTCCTTCTCCCAGGACAGCAAGGAGATGCCACCTAAAAACAAAGAAAAAGGGAAGAAATCTGGGGCACAGAAGAAGAAAAAGAACTGGGGTGAGTCATGGTGGGTGGAGGTGCCCCCTGCTTCTCCATGTTCTGCCATGAAGACCACGCAGAGCTCCTCCAGAGAGAATTCAGCCTTCTGCAGGACAGGATGGAGCTCTCTTGACCTACCTCTTTCATGTCCTCACAGCCAGATCCAGGGAGCTGAGGAAGTGGGGAAATGGTCACCCACGCTCTCCTTTAAGCCCCATCTAGCTCTGTGCCTTCCTAATATATTTGTCATGTGTATTTTGCATATCTGTTATGTGCTGGTCGGTGAGGACACGGTGCTGACTTCAGTAGACTCTGCCACTGTGGATACCTCATTTAGTGGTCCTCAGGTCTGCTGTGGCAAAAGTGCAGGGTGTGGGGTGAGGATGTGAGCAGAGTGAGGAATGCTGAGATCATGAAGAGCTGAGGCTCTGCCACTTGCCACCGCAGGTGCAGATGTGGTGGCCGAGTCCAGGCACAGGCTGGTGGTGCTGGAGAAGGAGCTGCTCCGAGACCACTTGGGTAAGGAGGGTAGAAGCTGGCATGGGTGGGCAACAGGGGAAGTGAAATGGGGCATTTCTGTATCCTGGGGGATTGGAGAGTTGGAGGTATGGTGGGGGGTTAAGTTGACCCTAACCATCCCCTAGTGGAAAAAGATGATGAGAGAGGGTGGGCAGTGAGAGTTGATAAAGGAAGGTGTTTTTTTTGTTTGTTTGTTTTTTGTTTTTTTTGGTTTTTTTGACAGAATTTTGCTCTATTGCCCGGGCTGGAGTGCAGTGGTATGGTCATAGTCCACTGTAATCTCTAACTCCTGGGCCGCAACAATCTTCCCGCCTCAGCCTCCCGAGTAGCTGGTATTACAGGTGCACACCACCATGCCTGGCTACTTTATTTATTTATTTTTTTTTTTTTTTTTTTTTTTTTTTTTTGAGACAGAGTCTTGTGCTCTGTCGCCCAGGCTGGAGTGCAGTGGTGTGATCTCGGCTCACTGCAACCTCTGCCTCCCAGGTTCAAGCGATTCTCCTGCCTCAGCCTCCCGAGTAGCTGGGATTACAGGCACGTGGCCACCACACCTGGCTAATTTTTGTATTCTTAGTAGAGACGGGTTTTCACCATGTTGGCCAGGCTGGTCTCGAACTCTTGACCTTGTGTCCCACCAGCCTTGGCCTCCCGAAGTGCTGGGATTACAGGCGTGAGCCACCGCGCCTGGCCCTATTTATTTTATAGAGACAAGGTCTCACTCTGTTGCCCAGGCAGGTCTCAAACTCCTGGCCTCAAGCAATTCTCCCACCTAAGCCTCCCAAAATATTGGGATTACAGGCATGAGCCACCATGCCAGGCTATCCGAAAAGAACATAGAGGGAGTTTTTACTTCTTAATAATGAGGAGCCTGTGAGACTCTAGGGATAAAAAACAAAAACAACAAAACCCAGAGAGAGAGTAAGAGGCTGGACACCCCACCACCAGATTTCTAGAGGTGGGCAAAGTCCATCACGTTCATGGGGGCTGATTTAGTGGGACCCAGCCAGTCCTGACGGCGGCTCTGGGACTGCTCACAGCTCTACGGAGGGATGAAGCCCGTCGAGCCAAGGCTTCCGAAGACCAGCTGAGGCAGAGGCTGCAAGGGGTGGAGGCTGAGCTGGAAGGGGCCCGAAGTGAAGGGAAGGCCATATATGCAGGTGTGTGGTCGGTTAAGCAGGTGGGCAGGAGACAGGGGCTTGGAGGAGGACAACCAACAGGGTCAGTTGATGCAAGGAAGGGAAACAAGGAGGGCTTCCGACTGCCAGGCCTGGTCTTGGTCTTTCCCAAACAGTACAAATCAGGAAGGATCCTGCAGGAACCAAAGGCAGGTAGGTTCCTGGGATCCCAGGCAGGGGCCTTCCAGGATGCCTGGTGCCATGTGCTTGATGCTGTGTAGGATACACATGCAGTCATAGCCATCATCTCAATCAGCCCATGGGCGGGGAGAAGGGCTAGCATCCCCATCCAAAGCTGGACTGGGGGAGGTAGGTCGGGCTTCCTGTCCCTTCCTCAGGTTTTCATGGTCTGCAGCTTCTCAGAATCACAAAAAGAACCAAGAAGGCCTTTGTGCTCCTGTTCCACTAGACCAAGTAGAGTCTTCCCCACCCACAACTTCATTTCCTTTCTCCATCCCTCCATCTCCAACCTGGGTCCCTGGTGGCCCACTGCCCCCACCCCAGAGATGAGTCGCCAGTGCCATGCCCTGCAGGAGGATATGCAAACCCGCAGCAAGCAGCTGGAGGAAGAAGTCAAAGGCCTTCGGGGGCAGCTAGGTAGGTTTCCCCACCCTCCAAGCCCCTTCTCTCCAAGAGTTGCAGCAAGGGCCAGCATGAAGGGGTAGACTTCAAAGTCTCTGCTCCAGAAAGCTGCCGTCTGGGCTCTTGGATCACTTTCCCCACTTTCGCTGACCCTCCACCACTGAGGACTGCAGCAGAGGGTTCGGGATACCAAAAATCTCTGCTGTAAGTAAAGAAGAGGCTCCAGGCGCGGTGGCTCAGGCCTGTAATCCCAGCACTTTGGGAGGCCAAGGCGGGCGGATCACCTGAGGTCAGGAGTCCAGGAACAGCCTGGCCAAATGGCAAAACCCCGTCTCTACTAAAAATATAAAAATTAGCCGGATGTGGTGGCGCACACCTGTAATCCCAGCTACTCGGGAGGCTGAAGCAGGAGAATCGCTTGAACCCAGGAGGCAGAGGTTGCAGTGAGCCGAGATCACGCCATTGCACTCCAGCCTGGGCAACAGAGCAAGACTCTGTCTCAAAAAAATAAATAAAAATAAAAAAGAAGATGTAGGCCTCACACCCCATTTCCTCCTCTCAAGTCCAGCCCTAACTCCCCACCACTGCCATGTCTCTTGTGAGCAAAACATATTCCCTTTTAGTTTAGCTGATTTCTACAATGAAACTAAGGGGAAATGTTTGACTTATTTACTTCTGTATCTTCAAGACCTAGCATCTGGTAGATCCTAAATAACTGTTCACCAAATAAATGAATAAACACTCCTAATAAGCAAAAATATTTTTAAAAACCAGGAAGCCTTTGCTTCTCTTGTCTCTTGCTTACAAAATAATGTTGAAATATCTCAGCATGACACATGAGCTCTTTCACAATTTTGGTCTCAAAGTTTTCATACCTTAAAAATGCCTTCAACCGGGTGCGGTGGCTCACCCCTGTAATCCCAGCACTTTGGGAGGCCAAGGCAAGAGAATTGCTTGAGGCCAGGAGTTTGAGACCAGCCTGGCCAGTATGGTGAAATGCCATCTCTACTAAAATTACAAAAATTAGCTGAGCATGGTGGCGTGTGCCTGTAATCTCAGCTACTTGGGAGGCTGAGTCAGGAGAATCACTTGAACCCAGGAGGCGGAGGCTGCAGTGAGCCGAGATCGCACCACTGCACTCCAGCCTCGGCAACAGAGTAAGATTCCAACTAAAAAAAAAAAAAAAAAGGCCTTCGGTTTAGCTATAGATGGCCAGGAGCTGCTTATCTGCCATTCAGACTCTGGGTTCCTTTCCTAATCTTTGCTTTACCTCAAATTCCAAGTCAATCAATGACTCAATTGTTTTTGTTTTTGCTGTTGTTGTTTTGGGGATTTTTTTGTTTTTTGTTTTTTGTTTTGAGACGGAGTTTCACTCTGGTCGCTCATTCTGGAGTGCAATGGCAAATCTCGGCTCACTGCAACCTCCACCTCCTACGTTCAAGCAATTCTCCTGCCTCAGTCTCCCGAGTAGCTGGGATTACAGGTGTGCGCCACCATGCCTGGCTAATTTTTGTATTTTTAGTAGAGATGGAGATTCACCTATGTTGGCCGGGCTCGTTTCGGACTCCTGACCTCAGGTAATCCGCCCTCCTCGGCCTCCCAAAGTGCTAGGATTACAGGCGTGAGCCACCGCACCCGGCCAATGAATCAATGTTTACTGAGCACCTCCTGTATACTAGCTAGGTGCTTTGTCATCCATTTATCATGTTTAAAGGTCACAGCATGCCCCTGAGGGATGTGTCATTCTCTCTTTACAGATGAAGACACCAGCCAGCCGCGGTGGCTCACACTTGTAATCCCACCACTTTGGGAGGCCGAGGCGGGCGGATCACAAGGTTAAGAGATAGGGACCATCCTGGCCAACATGGTGAAACCCCATCTCTACTAAAAATTCGAAGATTAGCTGGGCATGGTGGCATGTGCCTGTAATCCCAGCTACTCGGGAGGCTGAGGCAGGAGAATTGCTTGAACCCAGGAGGTGGCAGTTGCAGTGAGCTGAGATCGCGCCACTGCACTCCAGCCTGGCGACAGAGTGAGACTCCATCTAAAAAAAAAAAAAAAGATGAAGACACCAAGGCTCAGAAAGAGACATGCATGTGGTCACCTAGGTAGTAATCCGACTTTGGAGCCTTCTATCTCAAGCCCGCCACTCTCTGCTATATACCTCAGTGGAGCTTCAGCTTTTACAGGGACTGCGGGAAATTTGGTGATGCTGGGGGAGTCTGGAACGAGCCCATTTGAGGTCTCCTTTCCAGATACCTTTGGAGAGACTGGTCAAGGATAGAGTGTCACCATCCTGCTCTCTTTCATCCTGCCTGCCCCCAGAGGCATGCCAAAGGGAGGCTGCAGCTGCCCGGGAAGAGGCTGAACAAGCTCTCGGAGAGCGGGACCAGGCCCTGGCTCAGCTTCGGGCCCACATGGCAGACATGGAGGCGAAGTATGAGGAAATCTTACACGTAAGCACCACCCCCTGGATCCCAGCCATCCCAGTACCCAGGACTCCCCCATGCCCACAAACCCCAGCTCGTATGATGACTGACAACCCAGGGTTAAGGAGAAGGAGCGTCTCCAAGGGAGCCCTGCTCTATCCTGAGGGCAGACAGAGGGGATACGACCATGTCTACTGGGCAAGGAAAGCTTATGAACCAACCTGGGGCAGCACTCACTCCTTCCCTCTCTCTCTTTCTGGGGTCTGAAATATTGATGTCTGCAGGACAGTCTGGACAGGCTCTTGGCCAAGCTGAGAGCCATCAAGCAGCAGTGGGATGGGGCAGCACTGAGACTTCACGCCAGGCACAAGGAGCAGCAACGCCAGTTTGGACTCACCCCCCCTGGATCTTTGAGGCCACCAGCCCCTAGTCTCTAGTGTTCTCTGAGGCCCCAGCAATAAAGTGTCTTGATGTAGAACTCAATAGAGCTGTGGGCTCTGGCCGTTTGGCAGAGAGAAGTGGATCTTATTTTTATTTTTATTTTTATTTAGTTTTCTTCTTTTTTTGTTTTTGTTGTTGTTTATTTTTAGGAGTGGCTGTCATACAGACATCTCAGTTCTGGGTTGACCCATTATCCCTGAGATTCAGTGATTGATAGGAAATAAATTTGACCAGGTCTCAACCTCTCTCCTGCAGGAGCCGCATCCCACCCCTTGAGCCTGAGGCCCTTTTGGTCCCTTCACACCACTGCCCCTTACCCCCACCAACACAAACACAGGCAGTCAGATTTATGGCGAATGGCCATTTCTATAACAAATGCAACGGTGACCAAGCACCACCCTCCCGCAATGCTAAGGCACCCACAGAGGGCAGGCATAGCTGGTCTCCAAATTTTTGCATTACACTCAAGGGTCCTGGAGTCATATCTAGAAAAGGTCCAGATGGCTTCAATCCTAGCCAGACCCACAGCCACACCTTCATCCTTGGGACACAGCTCTCTAAAACTCCCATATGACATCCTCTGGAGCCTCAGACTCCTTCAGGGACCTGTCTGAGGCCTCCAACCACACCCTCTGCTGGCAGGTGGGCCTGCAGGAAGGGAGGGAGCACCTGGGCCAGCCTGTGATCGGTGGTGTCTGAGTCCCTCTGGTCTGGCTTAGAGAGAGCATCCTGCCTTCACCACCTCAGGCTGGAGAGTGAAGACACGGTAGCCCCTGAGTATGTCTGTACCAAGCAGGGGTGCTCTACAGTAGATCCGAGGCCAGAGCCCAGTCCTATACAGAGAGAGGAGGTAGAAGGTCATTCCAGGTGGGACCCAGAAGAGTTCCTTTTTCTTGCCCCGCCCTGCACTGGAATGCCCAGAAATGGGGTTTATTTCACGAGTCCTTCTGTCCCCACCTACCACGACCTGAAGTCCCAACCTGCATACCCCACACGGCTTCACCTTGTACCTCGCCCACTCTGCCCTTCTTTCTCACTCCTCCCTGCCCTCTGTAGCTACTCACAGTCCCATCTGTTTCTTCTTCCTCACCTCTGCAGCCCCAGGGGGAATCCAGGCTTCCAAGCCCCGCAGAGACCTGGCTGCCAGCTTCAGGCAGAGGGGTGGCTCAGCCTCAGGCAGCTGCTGAAGCCTCTCCAGGTCATTCTGTCCCCCAACAGGATACCCGTTCACTTCCAGAATCACGTCTCCCACTTGCAGCCCAGCCCGGGCAGCTGAGCCTCCTGGAGTCACCTGGTGTTGTGGGGGCATGCAGAACAGGGGACACCGGGGGAAAGTTTGCTGGCTTTAGGCTCTGGGAGGGAAGCAGAGGAAGACCGATCAGGCAGCAAAGGATCGAAGGGATTCAAGATCCATGGGGCATCAGTCACCTGGGAGATGAAGAGACGAGGCCCACTGGCCACACAACTGAGTCGGAAGCCATAGCTGCCACCAGGCCCAGGGTACAGGAAGCACTGTCGGGAGCCAAGAGGGACAGAAGGCACGCTTGTGTCTTCAAGTGAAGGGTCCTCTGTCTCAACCAGTGAGGCTGAGCTGCTGCCCCGGGGCGAGGCGGGAGCCTCTGTGTTCTCCAAGAAGAGGAGTGGGGACAGGCGAACCTGGAAGGTGGCAGGGAGAGCAAATCTTTCGGACCTCAGCCCTGCCCCACTCCTGCCCCAACCCTAGCCCCTGCCCCTCAGCACGCACCATGCTGAAGAAGCGGTCCGCCTCAGGGTCGACGACAGTGAGGGAGACACAGGAGCCCTGCCCCTGGATCCTGGACACTGTCTCCTCATGGCCCAGCCCCTCCACGCTCTCCCCAGCCACAGCCACCAGCCGGTCCCCAGCCTGCATCCCAGCCTTCTTGGCTGGCAGTCCCGGGTCCACCTCCCACAGGAACTGTCCTGGGGCATAGACATCCTCACTGCTCCTCTCCAGCTATCCTAGGCCACTGTGTACACACCAGGGGACTGACCCCAGAGTGAACGGGAAGAGGCGGCCCAGGGCCAGAGCTCAGACAGGGACACCTCTTCGGTGCACTGAAAGGTGTATATACGCTTGTGTGCCCACCCCAAGGCCCACCTTCCCCCACCGCCCCCAGGGCTCCCACTCACCAGGGCGACCGTCAAGGCCCTTTTCCTCCCGGAGCAGGAACCCAAAACCCTGGGGCCCTTTCTCCAGGTGCAGGCAGCGGGGCTTGGTGGGCAGTGCCCAGCCCTCTGCCAGGGGTGCAGCCAGGGGCAATCCCAGCTGGCGACACTGTTCTTCCACCTCTGGCCCTGCCACCAGCAAGGTCACCTGCTGTCCACTCTGCCAAAGCTGTGGGGACCCAGCAGGGCATCAGTATAACACCTGGGCAGGGAGAGAAGAGGTATGCTCCCCCCACAGCCCCTCCTCCCAGGCACTAAGTGGAGCCTGGCACAAACTGTAGAGGGGGAGGATGGTGATAAAGGTAGGAGACCAGATAAGGAGGTTAGGCGCATGGGGAAGGAGGCGTCTTCCCGAGGTGGGGCCCAGGCCCGGATTGGGGGAGGAGAGTGGGAGACAGGCAGTCACACCTTCCTGGTGAGTTGGTTGTGAGTGAACTTCTCCACACTGACCCCATTCACTTCCAGCAGCCGGGCCCCGGGGGGCACCCCTGCCCGCTCAGCTGCTCCTCCAGTACTTAGCACCAACCAGAAAGGACCCTGATTGCCTAGAAATTAAAAAAAAAAGCAAGGTCCAGTCTGTTTCCTGCCTGCCCTGAACAGGGGCTGAGATCCCTCATCCTTGCCGCCCCCTCGCACCCTCTGGGCTCACCATGGGTGACACTGAAGCCAAAACCACCCTCATCTTTCACTATGTGGCACAGCCGGGGCCGGACCCCTGGGCCTAGGGTGGGACAGAGGTGGGCATCTTCTCCCAGCTGAGCTCGGGCCACGTCATGTGCATGCCGTGCCAATACTGTCAGCAACACCCGAGGGCTGCTGGCCCGGATGCGGCGTACCACCTGGACAGAGGGCACGTGGGCGTGGGTTTGGTCTAGACCCTCTTGCCAACCCCCAGGACCTCCCTGGAATCCACATTTTTTTGCCAAGGGAATCGGCTTTTTTTCTTTTTCTTTTTTTTTTTTTTTTTTGAGATGGAGTTTTGCTCTTGTCGCCCAGGTTGGAGTGCAATGGTGCGATCTCAGCTCACCGCAACCTCCGCCTCCCATGTTCAAGTGATTCTCCTGCCTCAGCCCTCCCGAGTAGCTGGGATTACAGGCGCCTGCCACCACGCCCAGCTAATTTCTGTATTTTTAGTAGAGACAGGGTCTTGCCATGTTGGCCAGGCTGGTCTTGAACTCCTGACCTTGGGTGATCCACCTGCCTTGGCCTCCCAAAGTGCTGGGATTACAGGCGTGAGCCACTGCGCCCAGCGGGAATCGGCTTTCTAGATGCTTTCCCTACCCCTCTGACTTGGGCACTTCTAAATCCTGGGGTGTGGGGGAGTGAGGCTTGTGCCCTGCTGCCATACTGCCCAGGGGACTGAGCAACCCGCTTCTCTTTCTGAGGTGCTAGCATGCTCTCCTGGACCACAGCCTTACCACCGCATAGTCTTCGTGTTCCACAACATCATTGTTCACCGCCAGGATCCTGTCTCCTTCCTGAAGACCCTGGCGCTGGGCAGAGGTGCCTGGGTCCACCCTGCACACCACATGCCCAGCCCTGCCCAGCTCCTGCTGCAGGTGGAAGCCAAAACTCTTGCCCTCCTCTTTGCTCAGTAAACAGAAGCGAGGCCGCTCCAGGCTCCAGGGATCTGGAGGGTGAGGTGGGCAGCAGAAAAGGGGGAGGAGAGGGCACAGCCCAAGTACAGGTTCGCCGTGTGCCTGGCAGACCCTGTGTCCTGATAGGGTGCTGGGCAGTTTCTGCCTGGTTGGGTGTTGGGTGGTGGGGTTCGTGGGCAGAGGGACTGGGACAGGAGAAAACACCCGGCCCCTCCTATCTCTACTCCCAACCAAGGCTGTTATCAGAGGGAGACCGAGTGAGTGGTTACCAAGGAGATCGGAGGCCGTGTGGAGCCGTGGTGCCTCCAGGGATAGGGAATGGTTGCCAGGGGGTGAGGGAGTTACCATAGGGGTCGTGGTCTTCGGCCAGGGAGAGGACAGGATTATCAATGCCCAGCTTTGGGTTAAACTTAAACTTCCTGCAAGGAGGCAGGGGAAGCAGGTACAAGCTGGCAGCTGGACTTGGGTCCCAGGATCTCCTTTAGGTGCTAATGGCAGTGAAGCGCTTCGCTGCCTCCAATTATTTCCTCCCCTTGCCCCAACCCTCGTGGCACTTACAGAGTTAACGAGGCTGTGTCCTGCAGATCTACTGGGCAAAGAAGTGGGTGAGAG
Source organism: Homo sapiens (assembly GCF_000001405.40). Taxonomy (NCBI): domain Eukaryota; kingdom Metazoa; phylum Chordata; class Mammalia; order Primates; family Hominidae; genus Homo; species Homo sapiens. Next base: position 119,185,898 of record NC_000011.10, on the reverse strand, counting down.
GAGGAGAGTCACATTCTTCTCCCCAGATGTGCCTCTTCCATTGGCATAAACTAAAAGGACTCAGGGAAACCCCCAAACTCAGGGCATGCCCCCTCCTTTCTGCTCCAAAGGGGTCTTCTCTTCTCACTGCCATACACACAGGACTATTGTGCGGTCCCCTCCCTTTCTCTCCCCCCAAGTCCTTGGCACATAAATCTGAGCATATCAGTACAGGGTGTGGACCAGGAAGACAGACATATCAACTCATTACTTTTCTCCTGACTTGTTTACCTGCCTCAGGGCTCCAAGCCCCAAAATCAAGTGTGCCCTGGTCCCAAAGCTTCAGCCTCCAAGTCGGCCCCCTGCCTGTCCCAAAGTCCCCTGCAGAGGATTTCTCCTGGCCTCCTACCTGCGGCTTTCTCCATAGCTGGATCAGCAACCCAGTGCCCGGGGTAGGGACAAGGTTCATCACAGCCACTGATCCTCCCACCCATCCCCTCCCAGGTCCCGCCTCCTTGAAGACGCTGTGGAAGCAGTGGGGTAATGGTTAACGGGAGTGAGAGTCTTTTTTTTTTTTTTTTTTTTTTTTTTTTTTTGAGACCGAGTTTAGCTCTTGTTGCCCAGGCTGGAGTGCAATGGCATGATCTTGGCTCATCATAACCTCTGCCTCCCAGGTTCAAGCAATTCTCCTGCCTCAGCCTCCCGAGTAGCTGGGATTACAGGCATGCACCACCACACCTGGCTAATTTTGTATTTTTAGTAGAGATGGGGTTTCTCCATATTAGTCAGGCTGGTCTCAAACTCCCCACCTCAGGTGATCTGCCCTCATCGGCCTCCCAAAGTGCTGGGATTACAGGCGTCAGCCACCGTGCCCCGCTGAGAGTCTTATCCTCTGGAAAACTGTGTGGGTTCCTCCTGAATCTATCCCTGGGCCCCAACTTTTTCTGGAGACCCTGAATCTGACCCAGTTGCCCCTCTGTGCAGAGAAAGGCAGATTGCTGGTCACTAACTCCAAGCCTGGGGGGTAAGTGTGAAAAGGGTGATAATTCTATGGCCCATAGTATGGTTTGGCTGTGTCCCTACCCAAATCTCATCTTGAATTGCAGCTCCCATAACTCCCTCGTGTCATGGGAGGTACCCGGTGGGAGGTAATTAAATCACAGGGGCAGGTTTTCCCGTGCTGTTTTCATGATAGTGAATAAGTCTCATGAGATTTGATGGTTTTATAAAGGGGAGTTCCCCGGCACACACTCTCTTGCCTGCTGCTATGTAAGATGTGACTTTGCTCCTCATTTGCCTTCTGCCACGATTGTGAGGCCTCCCCAGCTATGTGGAACTGTGAGTCAATTAAACCTCTTTCGTTTATAAATTTTTTTTTTGACAGAGTTTCACTCTTGTTCTCCAGGCTGGAGTGCAGTGGCACTATCTCGGCTCACGGCAACCTCCACCTCCTGGGTTCAAGCAATACTCTTGCTTCAGCCTCTCGAGTAGCTGGGATTACAAGCATGTGCCATCACACCCAGCTAATTTTGTATTTTTAGTAGAGACGAGGTCTATCCATGTCGGTCAGGCTGGTCTCAAACTCCTGACCTCAGGTGATCCGCTCACCTCGGCCTCCCAAAGTGCTGGGATTACGGGCGTGAGTCACCATGCCCAGCCTCCTTTATAAATTACTTACCCTGTCTTGGGTATGTCTTTATTAGCAGCGTGAGACTGGACTAATACAGCCCAGCATGGCCAACCCCCATGCCAATATCTTGTTCATGGGCCCTTCCAGCCTCCACTGCCTCTGAACCTAGTGCCCAAGAACCACTTGCAATAGATCATGGTTGGTAGTTTAACCAGAAAGACCAAGAACAGTGCCCTTTCTTGGAAGCACCAGGCAGTAAAGAAGAGGCCACAATTGGTAGAAGGCACACGGCTTTTTAATAGCAGCAAGTCAGGTGCATCTGCCTCGAGGGGCTACCAAGCCATCATACCATTGTGGCAAAGGGGGCATGAGGATGAGGAGAAAGCACCAATGTGAGGGCATCCTCGGTGTCCACAGGTGAGCATAAGGCAGGAGGGGAAGCTTCCAACACATCTGGATGGCGACACCCCTGGCATGGCAGACATAAGATGTGAGCCCCTTGGTGACACAGTCAGAGGCTCTTTGAGAGGAGGGGGAGGCAAGGTTGGTAGTGGTGCTTCAGGGCACTCTGGCCATCCAAATGCCACATGCTTTGGTCCTTCTAGCTGAATGGAGAGGAGGCATGTTCCATCTCCAAGCCCGAAGCATTGATTCACCATCTTTAACTTGGAGATTCCAGACTCAGTCCTGGTCAAACATGCCCTAGGAGGGCAACTGGCTCAGCTATGCCCATTCCTCTGCCTCCAGACCTGAAGGAATCTTTCTAGAGGGAGCAGTGCAAGCCAGGAGGCCACAGAGGGAAAAGGTTTAGGGCCAGTGGTCACATAGCTAGGTGCCTGCCGCCAGTGTCTCAGCTTCCAGAGCTTCCCAGCTGCTCCAGGAGGGCCCTGACCTCGCCCTCCACTCGCAGCAGCTGGGCCTTGCGCCAAGGATTAAGGGTGGCACCCCGGCTATCTTCCAGATCCCGCAGTAGGAGCTCAAGGTGTCGCTGAACCCGGGCCCGATCCCAGCTATTGAGGTTCCGCTGGACTTCACTGAGGATCACTGACCAGTATTCTGACACCGCCGTCCCCTCTGTCAGTGACACCACCACCCGGGCACCACCTTCAGCAGCACCCCCCAAGTCTCGCAAGACCTGGCGGCCCTCTGAGCTCAGCTCATTGAAGTAGAGGCTGGCAGGAGAGAGAAAGTCGATGCCATTCAGTAGAGCTCTGAGAAGGAGGGCCCGAGGGTAGATGGATGGAAAGTCAGGGGGCCTCACAACTCATCTCCTGGCTGCAGAGTGCGATCAGGTAACTGCAATGAGCCAGAGGTGGAGGCTGCTGGCCAGTGGGAGGCAGGGACTAATACTAAAATTCTTTTTTTTTTTTGTTTTTGTTTTTGTTTTTGTTTTTGTTTTTTTTGAGATGGAGTCTTGCTCTGTCACCCAGGCTGGAGTGCAGTGGCATGATCTCGGCTTACTGCAACCTCCACCTGCCGGGTTCAGGTGATTCTCCTGCCTCAGCCTCCCAAGTAGCTGGGATTACAGGTGCGCACCACCACACCCAGATAATTTTTGTATTTTTAGTAGAAACGGGGTTTCACCATGTTGGCCAGACTGGTCTTGAACTCCTGACCTCAGGTGATGTGCCCGCCTTGGCCCCCCGAAGTGCTGGGATTACAGACGTGAGCCACCACAGCCGACCCTGATACTAGAATTCAGTGGGACCAGAGACAGTAGGGCTTTAGGAGAAATGGTGGTAGGGAATTGGTGCAGTTTAAGCGCCAGTCACAGAGGGGGTGGGTTGGCTCAGAGCTAGGTTGACAAGGATCAGTCAGAAACCAGGAATAAAGGACAGGCACCAGGCCCAGGCCCAGAAGCACTCCCTAGGATTGGAGGAGCACAGTTGAGAGAGGGAAGTAGTCTGAAGGGCTGGGGGCAATGGGACCAGGGACAGGACTCACTGTAGCAGTTCCAGGGAAGGGTGCTCCCGGGCAGCTCTGGCCAGGGCCAGGGCCGCTGTGTCACCAGCACCGTTGTACGCCACGTTCAGCTCCTGCAGCTGCCGGTTGCGGTCCAGCTGGGCAGCCAGCAGCTCCAGGCCTTCGTCCCCAAGGCCCGTGTGCAGCAGGGACAGGTGCGTCACTGAGGTGTTTCCTGCCAGCCCCTCCATTAGCACGGCAACACCTGCCGCCGTCAGCGGGTTGTTGGACAGCCTACAGCCACGTGCAACCCAAGGTTATGAGGGCTCATTGAGAGGAGGGGGAGGCAAGGTTGGGGGTGGTACTGGCAGCCTTAATGGGGCAGCCCTGTGCTGGGTGTCAGGACTTGGGCCAAAGAGGGCCCTGCATGGGGCAAGAGGAACCTGGACATAGAAATGCAGGCCCAGGAGAAAGGCTGGAGCAATAGGGGGTGTGGCGCCTGGCAGAGGAGTCAGAGTAGGGGAGCTGGCCTTTCCTTCCCTCTTCCCCTGACTCCCTTCTTATCTATTCCCTTCCTTTTCACCATTTCCGTTTCCCTTTTTCTGCCTTTTTCACCCCCTCCACAGCCTCTGCTTCTCCCTCCCCTCTGACTCCCCTATCCTTCTCCCTGCTCTTCCTTTTTCTCTCCTCATTTGCCTCCCCTTACACCAATCAGAAACTGGGAACCCAGGAGCTCAGGTTCCCCACATATCAGTCAACACTTAAGGGGTGTCTACTGAGTGCCCAGCATTAGGGTCCTCCTCGGGAGGCTGCAAGAAAAATCCTGGGAGGGGATCAGTGGCACTGTTACCAGGCAACCGGCCTAGGTATTATTCCACCCTCTCTCCCCACCTCCCCCAGGCTGATTTTAGCCACGTGAGAGGTTTCTTAGCACCCATTACAGGTGGCATGTTTCCCTGCTGCCCTGCTGCTTGCAGTGGACCTGGGGGAAGTGGAGGGGACAGGTCAGGGCCTAGACTCTCCTCCATTTACTATCCCTTGGGTGGGTCTGTGCCAAGTATGTCAGGAAGCAGGGAGCTCACCCTTGACCTTAGCTGGCCACCAGGATGCCCCACTCCCAGGTCACTCACCGCAGTGTGGTAATTTGGCACTGGTCATGCAGCAACAGGTCTCGGAGGTCCTTGCAGGCCTCAGGGCCCAGGCTGTTGAGTTGCAAGCTGGAGCAGAAGGTGGCCAGAGGGGAGGTGAGAGACCAGGGAGGGAATTCAGCAGGCAGTCTGTCCATCTACCATGCCTTTTTTTCATCAGCCTGCCTCTGGGAATCTATACCTGCTTCCCCTTTTTTGAGAGACAGGGTCTCACTCTGTTGCCCAGGTTGGAGCACAATGGCATGATCACAACTCACTGCAGCCTCAGACTCCTGGGCTCAAGCAATCCTCCCACCTCAGCCTCCCGAGTAGCTGGGATGATAGCTACATGCCACCACACCTGACTAATTTTTTAATTTTTTGTAGAGACAGGGTCTTGCTATGTTGCCCAGGATGGTCTCAGACTATTAGGCTCAAGTGATGCTTCTGCCTTGGCCTCCCAAAGCAGTGGGATTACAGGCAGGAGCCACCATGCCTGGCTCCTCCCTTCTGTTGCTCCTGTCACCTCCACCCAAACTAGACTTTTTTTTTTTTTTTTGAGACGGAGTTTTGCTGTTGTTGCCCAGGCTGGAGTGCGATGGCATGATCTCAGCTCACCGCAACCTCCGCCTCCCAGGTTCAAGCAATTCTCCTGCCTCAGCCTCCCAAGTAGCTGGGATTACAGGCATGCACCACCATGCCTGGCTAATTTTGTATTTTTAGTAGAGACAGGGTTTCTCCATGTTGAGGCTGGTCTCGAACTCCTGACCTCAGGTGATACGCCCGCCTTGGGCTCCCAAAGTGCTGGGATTACAGGTGTGAGCCACTGCTCCCGGCCCCTAAACTAGACTTCTTCATCCCACCTTCTGGTCACTCATCGGTACCTCTGGTTTCCCTGGCACTTTCTTTTCCCACTTCTTCACCTCCAACCCTCTTCCCTCTTCATGCCTGTGCATGAGGATAGGTCCTCACCCCAGCTTCCGGGCACGCAGGAAGACAGGCAGGAGTGTGCGCAGCCCAGCAGGATCTAGCTGGCAGGAGGCCAAGTTCACCTCATCCAGGGCATGCCTTCCGCTGCCCAGCACAGCTGCCACCACTGTGCACTTGACTGGTGTCATGCGCACACCTGCCAGGTTGAGCTGACGCAGGGAGCTGAGCACCTCAGCGGAGAAGCGCTGGTTCTGGAACTCATAGTGGAAGAAGAGGTGGTCAAGGAGCTCTGATGGGGGCAGCACCTGCCGGCCCAGCTTGCCCAGCTTCTTCTTGATGGCCTGGGCATTCTCCAGGGCATCCAGGTTCTTGATGGGGCAGCCAAGCTGAGCTAGCACAGCTCGGTTGTGGGCAGAGAGAAGCCCCCCCATGAACATGGGGAAGAGCTCGAAGACTTCATCCTCAGGGGGCTCATCTGGGTGGCGCCGGGGGCCCTCCACGCCCAGGATACTGGCGCCCATCTGGTCCAGAACATCATCGTTGTAGTAGTCCTCCTCTCGAAACATCTCCAGCACCATGGCCTGAGCCACCGCCTCCCGGCTTTTACCCACCATGCGCCCAAACACTCGTGGAACCACCTGAAAAAGAAGCAGGGGAGAGTCACTGTGGCCTTCCATGTGCCTGTTCAGCCTTCAAGGTTCAGCTTAAGGTACACTCCCATGACTGCTCCAGCCCTGTGATCTCCCCTTGAACTTAGCATAATTTGTCTGATCATGCTACTCCCCTGCTGCGACACCTTCCATGGCTCCCTACTGCCTATGTGGCAAACTCCAAACATTTAGCCTGGAATATGAAACGTTTCTTAAAACTAGAGATGGGGTCTTGCTGTGTCACCTAAGCTGGTCTTGAACTTCTGGGCTCCCTAGCTTAGGCCCCCCAAAGTGCTAGGATTATAGGCATAAGCCACTGCACCTGGCCCAAAACTTTTCATAATTTGGCCCTAATTTGACCTTTCCAGGGTCATCTCTCAACACCTGTCTCATGTGCTGCAGACATTAGGAACTTCTTTCTCTTTCCCAAACACCCTGATACATTTTCAAACCCAGGAGGTGGTGAGAAGGAATTAGCATGTATTACACACTTAGTTTGGGACCGGGCTAGGTATCACAAATACATCACCATCTTCAACATGCAGTTCCTACTGCTTTAAGGGCCTGTGTGATCTGGGCCCTGCCGACTACGATGCCTTCATCACAAGCCTCTTGGCCCCACTCGCTATGCTCCTGCCCTTTCGGCTTTTTTCATCTTAACAGTGCCAAGGTTTTTCCTCCTTCAAAGCCTCCATAGGCCAGGTGCAGTGGCTCATGCCCGTAATCCCAGCACTTAGGGAGGCCGAGGTGGGAGGATCACTTGAGCCCAGGAGTTCTAGACCAGCCTGGGCAATGTAGCAAGATGCCATCTCTATTAAAAAAATTTTCTTAATTAAAAATAAATTAGCCAGGCATGGTGGCATGTGCCTGTAGTCCCTTGAGCACTGGAGGTCAGGGATGCAGTGAGCTGAGATCACACCACTGAACTCCAGCCTGGGCAACAGAGCAAGACCCTGTCTCAAGAGAAAAAAAAAAAAAAAAAGCCTCCAGGGTGCTGCCCTTTCCTGGGGCATTTCCCCTCCCCCAACTTCTTCCTTTGGCTAATGCTACAAGGGTCAGACGACATGCCCTTCCACAAAGAGGCTCTCCTGACCCCGCAGACCAGTTCCCCCACTATACACTTTCATGGCATCTGGGGCTCCTTCTTCCCAGGCATTTGCTGTAATTTTTCCTTATATGGTTACATTGATATTTTTGTGCTCAAACTGTGCAGGAAGTAGCAGTTTCCTTCTGGGAGAGGAGCTCAGACTAGATCAGAAAGGGCTGAAACCTGTAGTTTTGTTAACTGACATTTCCTCAGATTCTAACACATTGCCTGGCACACAGCAGGCACTCAAATATCTGACAAAGAAATAAATGTTGGGGGTTTGTGATATCTTCCCCCATTCCTGCAATGGTTCTGAAAGGGAAGAAGGGTCATTCCTCTGGCAACAAACCATGACGTTGTTTTGTGGCACGTCCTTTAACATCTGGGTTTTTTTTACTTTTTAATGTTTTAATTTTTATTTGTTTAGAGACAGAGTCTTGCTGTGTCACCTAGGCTGGAGTGCAGTGGTGTGATCATAGCTCACTGTAGCCTTTAACTCTTAGGCTCAAGCGATCCTCCTGCCTTGGCCTCCTGACAGCTGTGACTACAAGTGTGCCCCACTGCACCTGGCTTGTTTTCATGTTTATATGTGAGGTTACTCTCATAGAGGTGATAGTGCCCCTTCTCCAACACCAACCTGTGACAGAATATGTCACCCTGTGAAGCTGAATCCACAGGATGGTGAATAAACAGATGGGCTCAGTGCTCTGCCAGGGCAACCCTCCCTCCAAGAGGGCTTGGGGGTGCAGGGCTGACAATTCTGCTGGGTTTTCAATAACTGGGGGCTTTCTGAATCCCCTCGGGAGACTGCAGCCTCTCGTTGCAACTCAGGTCCGGCAGGCACATCCTCAAGGCGGGGTGGCCTCAGCAGCAGCTGTGACCTCCTGTCGGAGGTGATGTGTGAGAAGGGGTGGGCTGCCCGAGCCTGTTTCTTTGTTTCTTTCTTTTTTCTTTTTTTTTTTTTGTGAGACAGAGTCTCGCTCTGTCACCCAGGCTGGAGTACAGTGGCGCGATCTCAGCTCACTGCAACCTCCACTTCCTGGGCTCAAGAGATTCTCCTGCCTCAGCCTCCCGAGTAGCTGGGATTACAGACACGTGCCACCACACCCGGCTAATTTTTGTATTTTTAGTAGAGATGGGGTTTCACCATGTTGGCCAGGCTGGTCTGGAACTAAGTCTGTTTCTATGTGTGACAAACAATTAAACAGCATAGGCCGGGCGTGGTGGCTCACTCCTGTAATCCCAGCACTGTGGGAGGCTGAGGTGGGTGGATCACCTGAGGTCAGGAGTTCAAGACCAGTCTGGCCAACATGGAGAAACCCTGTCTCTACTAAAAATACAAAAATAAGCCGGGCATGGTGGCAGGTGCCTGTAGTCCCAGCTACTTGGGAGGCTGAGCTGGGAGAATCACTTAAATCCGGGAGGTGGAGGTTGCAGTGAGCAGAGACGGTGCCACTGCACTCCAGCCTGGGCGACAGAGCGAGACTCCATCTCAAAAAAACAAACAAACAAAAAACAATTAAATAGCACTTACCATGTCCTAGACCCTGAGGATGAGTTCATTTCATCTTCATATTAGGCCAGTGATATAAGTTCTAGTATTATCTCCATTTCACAGATAAGGAATCTGAGGCACAGAACTAAGTAACCTGTCCAAAGTCTCACAGCTAATAAGTAGCAGAGCCTGGATTTGAACTCAAATAGCTGAGTTACCAAATCCCTGTTCTTAGCCCTTATGCTTTGGTGCCTATAAAAATAAAAAGTTGGCTGGGCACAGTGGTTCACACCTGTAGCCCAGCACTTTGGGAGGCCAAAGTGAGAGGATCACTAGTGAGACCCCATCTCTACAAAATTAAAAATTTTTTATTTTTTAATTTAATTTAATTTTGTTATTATTATTTTTTTATTTTTGAGAGGGAGTCTCTGTTGCTCAGGCTGGAGTGCAGTGGCGCAATCTTGGCTCACTGCAACCTCTGCCTCCCAGGCTCAAGCAATTCTCCCGTCTCAGCCTCCCAAGTAGCTGGGATTACAGGCACCCGGCACCACACTTGGTTAACCATGTTGGCCAGGTTGGTCTCAAACTCCTGACCTCAGGTGATCTACCTGCCTCGCCTCTCAAAGTGCTGGGATTACAGGCGTGAGCCACTGCACCCGGCTACAAAATTAAAATTTTAAAAATTAGCTGGGGATGGTGGCACATGCCTGAGGTCCCAGCTACTCAGTGAAGTTGAGGTGGGAGGATTGCTTGAGCCCAGAAGGTCGAAGCTGCAGTGAGCTATGATTGCACCACTGCACTCTAGGCCTGGGCAACAGAGTAAGACTCTGTCTCAAAAAATAAAAATAAAAATACATTTAAATTTTTAAAAAGTGTTGAAATTCTGCCAGCACTAACCAGCACTCTGCCTCCTCAAAATGCGTTGCTGAAACATTCCTAGAGAAAACAAAGGTTACCTAGCAAGGTCCCACAGCTCGACAGACATATCCGTAATGCACCAGTATAGTTTGGCAGAAAGAGCACAGGATTCAGAATCACAAAGCCCTGGGCTTTTAAACTTACTATTTGAGTGATCTTGGACAAGTTACTTTACCTCTCTGAGCCTCAGTTTATTCATCTATAAAAGGGATCATAATAGTATTTCCTTTCCAGGAGTAATGTGAAAAACAAAAGGATGAACACTGATAACGCGCCTGGCACACATCACACAGAGTGGCTCCTTCCAGCCCTCAAAGACCTCGCTCAGCTGTGCCACTCACAGCACAGTCCTCAGGTCTGTAATTTGGTTTCTGGAGTGGACCTGCCCTCATGATGACTCCCCTAAGCCAATTACCAATGCCATTTATCTTCCTAGTATAAATGAATAAAATGGCATCTGCTTTATAAACCCGTCTCTGGTGATTTAGTTAGGATGAGTCATCACTCTCAGAGCCTAATCACCTCTGGAGGAGCAGACACAATCGAGTTTCTGGACCTGCAAAGCAGAGGATAGGCCTGCCTCCTAGGAGGAAAGACACAAAAAGGAAACCATTTTTAGGAATCCATGTAGCATTATTATTAAAGTCCCCACGTCCCCAGGTTCCCTTCCCCAGCCACCAAGCCTTCCCCAGCCTTGTGGCTTCTCTCTCTGCAATCCCACTAAAAGCCAAAATGCTCAGAGCTGAAACCAGATCCAGGGAGAAGATTCATACCTTTGCAGGAAGCAGCAGTTTCCTGCTGGGAGAGGAGCAAGGGGTGAACAGGGAACCATGTGGGGGCGTGGGCGGCTTGGGGTGCTGGGGAGGGAAGGAGCAGGTTGGGGGGTTACCTTGATCGGGATGTTACCTTGATCAGGTTGAAGAGCAGAGGCAGAGCCCGCAGAGGCAGCAGCTTGGCCATGATGCCCAGTACCAGGCTGACGTCCTCCCCAACACGGCCCACGAGCTCAGCCACTTCCTTGCCCACCTTTTGCAGGGTCGTCTTGCGCAAACCCAGCACAATGTAGAGGGCAGCCAGGTATTCCTGCATGGCGGGCACGGTGAACACGAAGGTGCCTGCACGCCCTGGCTCCACACATGGGGCCAGGAAAAACCTCAGGGCATCCCGACGGAAGATGTGCAGCAGCTGAAACTCCTCCTCCGTCCTGATGCCAGCCTCCAGGCAGCCACAGACATCCTCTTCAGAGAAGTAGGTCTTGCGGGAGGACACCCCCTCATAGGCCAACTTGCCCATGGTTCGGGCTGCATAGGCCATCAGGGACAAATTGGAGGGGTCAGTGCTGTCCAGGGTTTCCCCGCTGAAGTTGAGGCGCAGGAAGCTGGTATAGATGCTTGTAAGGGTCTGCCCAGCAGGCGTGGGGGCATGCAGGAAGTGCAAGGTGGCACAAACGAGCCAGCAATAGGACGGCAGGAAGCAGGCAGCGGCTATCTGGTGGTGCCCCTCCAGGTTCCGGGAGAGCATCTGCACCAGGTGGTCACGCTGAGCTGGTGTGGCAGAGACACCTGAACCGCCAACGGCATACCCGCAGTACGGCTGGTTGAGGCGGAGCTGGAAGTAGAGCTTCTGCAGGTTGGTATCAGAGAAACCGCAGATCTCACCATAGCGGCCCACGTACTTGCTGGGGATACGGCCAATGGCAGAGGGCCGAGTGGTCACCAGAATGCTGGCCTGGGAAGAGCATGGTTGAGAGTTAAGAAAGACCTTAGTGTCCTGTTGACTGCTTCTATTCCCAGGGGACCCCTGAAGACGGAGTGTCCAAGGATGAAGACATTGATGAGGATAACAGTTATAACTAGCAATTACTGAACACCTGCTGTGATCCAGGCCGCTGTGCTAATATTATATGCAGTACCCCATTTGATCAGAGCAACTCAAAAAGAAAGGAACAGAAGGCTGGGGAAGTTACTGACTTGCTCAGGGTCGCACCACTGGGAAGTGAAGGGACCAGGAGTTAAAGTAACCCAGGACCTAGGGGGCGAGTCAACGGGCAGCAGTGATAACCTGGGGTAAAGGGCCACCCACCTGAGGCAGCATGTATTTGCGCAGCAGGTTGACGATGATAGCAGCTGGTTCCTGCGGTTCCTCCGGGTCACTACAAAGTCCCGTGCCTGCCAGCCGGAAGTCGAGGTTGAGATGCTCTAAGCCATGGAGCACAAAGAGGAGGTGGGACCCAGCAGCAGCCATCAGGGGCAGAACCTCCTTCAGGGGCGTGTAGCGCTGGGCCACAAGTTGGCACAGGGAGGCTGGGGCAGGGCCCAGGGATGACAGGTCCTCACAGGAGAAGGGGATGAGCAGCTCGAAGGCCGGCAGCCGCCCATAACACCAGTCCAGAACCATCTTGCGCACCAGCGTGCTCTTGCCTGTGCCCACTGTCCCATACAGCACCACTGTCTGCACCCGGCGCCCACAGGCATCCGGGTTAAAGAGCTGAGACAAGGCCAGTGGGGGGAGCCCGGCCTGGGGTGGCTGATGCTCCAGGGCCAGCTCCGCGGGTGGGCGAAGTAGCTCATCAGGGGTACTCTCGCGGATCACAGGGTCAACGTGGACCGTGTCTAGGGCAAAGGTTGGGCCAAACTGGCGCTCCTCCCTGGGCAGCCGGCTGAACCACTCAGCCAGGTTCCGGCGGTGCCGCTGTATAGCTTCTGAGTGGGAAGATAAGGGAAATGTGTCAGGGAAAGGGGCCTGGAGATGTAGCTTAGGGCCAATCAGGGCGGTGGTGAGGTCAGGCTGGGACATCACGGCATAGATGCTGGGGCCCACAATGGTGGGCACACAAGACTCCCTGAGAAAATATAGACTGTCCAGAAAGTCTGGAACCCCTATGTCAGAAAGTGGGAAGCCACTGGACAAACTGGTTTCACAGTGACCTATGTGCCGTCTTAACCTGCTTGACCCAACTTTGTTGAGCATAGGGATGGTATGGCTCTCCTAGCGCTTTGTACATATAAGTGTGCATTGCAAGAGTATTGCAGGAAGGGATACATAGACGGATGGGAGGGAGAGAGAGAGAGGAGGAGGGACCACCGATGGAAGATGGCAGTGGATCCTCTATGCCTCCCTCACCCTGCTTCTCCTTCCAGCCCCGTCTGCCCACCACACCCCCTGACCAGGGTCCCAGCCAGTCCCTTTACCAGTTGCAGAGGCGCTGGGGAACAGCCGTCCATGCCTCCCGGGTGGGGGAGCGCTATCTACCGAGCTTCCGTGGTGGCGTATAAAGGCCCTGGGAACAAGGAGAGGGGATGAGCTGGGACTTGTAACTTGGATCAGCCCCTTCACAGGCTCTGGGTCCAAGCCTATCTGCACTGCTAGACTTCTGGTTTCCTGAGATAAAGGCCCCACACTGGACCCCCAAGTTTAGAGGCTTGTCTGACTCTCACACCCTTCCCAGGTGCTGAGGCCTTAGCCCTAGCCCTCCAGACCCCACTGCTGACTGCCCGCCTGGAACTCAGGCTGGCCATGTGAGGCTCCACCCACTTCCCACAGGGTCCTCCCTCCACTGACTACTATGCCTTCTACCACAGATGATCTAAGCCAACTTCCTCTCAGGCCTTGGAGCTGCCACTGTCCTCCCACCCCCAAAGGACCAAGCCCCTCCCCAAGGTCCCCAAGAGATCAAGCTAGCCCCAAGTCCTGACCCTTCCCAGTCTGCTCTGTTGTGCCCAGACTAGTCCTAAGGTATGACACCCAGGCCTCACCTAGGGGGCCCAAAGGGACGCTCCCCTTGAAGGGGCCAACTCCAGTGGATCAGGAAGGGGATACGATCATCTACAGAGAGAAGGAAGAAATAGCATCTGCAGATCCCATGCAATACACAGAACCCATGTCTACATCAAACCCCCCAGTATTTGCTCTCATAGCAGCATGTACTGCCCCTTTGCAGCAGTTATTTTGCAATTTTATATTTCATTGTGTGATTATTCGATTAACATTCATTCCTCTCTCCTCCATGAGAGGGATCACATTTGGGTGTTTTAAAATTTTTTTGTCCCCTTTACGTCTGTTTTTGTTCACAATTATTTACTTAGAACTTAACACCAGGTCTGCGGTACGGCAGGCACTCAGTAAATCTCTGTTGTATGTAAAGTAAAATCAGACAAGTTCCTAGACTTATGTAGCTACAAGAGACTCTCGAAGATGATCTAGTCCAACTCTCTTTTTTTTTTTTTGAGACAGAGTCTTACTCTATTGTCCAGGCTGGAGTGCAATGGTGCGATCTCAGCTCACTGCAACTTCTGCCTCCCGGTTCAAATGATTCTCCTGCCTCAGCCTCCCAACTAGCTGGGATTACAGGTGTGCACCACTACACCTGGTTAATTTTTTTTTTTGTAGTTTTAATAGAGACAGGGTTTCACCATGTTGCCAGGCTGGTCTCAAACTCCTGATCTTGTGATCCGCCTGCCTCGGCCTTCCAAAGTGCTAGGATTACAGGCATGAGCCACCGCACCTGGCCAAGTCCAACTCCCTTATTTTAGGTTGGGAAAAAGGCAGCTGAGGAAGGTGAAGCGACATGCTCAAGGTCAACAGCTAGAGAACCACGGAGCTGAGACTAGTGCACCTGGTGTCTGGATCCCTGCTGTCTTGGAGGCATCATGTGGACCCTGGAAAGCAAGAAAGAGGTAAAAACAGAAACCCCTGCTTCCTGCTCACCTGGTCGCTGGAGTGCTCTTCTAAAACCAGAGCCCCAAGAGGCCCTGGGCAAATGGTGGCCCCACCTCATCCTGGGAAAGAAGGTCAGAGCCTGGGGGGCCTAGGACCGACTTCTGTCCTGCAAGAAGAATAGTACGAATGGATCACTGCCACCACTCCTCCCCTGCACCCCTAACCCCATTCCAGCCAAGGAGGGACCTTCCTCCCAGGAGAGGATCAGCCCTTCCTCAAATGTTGGCCCTGCTGAAGCCCTGGCCTGGTTTTCAGCTCTCGTCCCTCTCCCAAACTCCAGCTTGAGGAATCCCATTTTATCTCCTACCACCTTTTTTTTCTTTTTTCTTTTTTGAGATGGAGTGCCCCTCTGTTGCCCAGGCATGATTGTGGCTCATTGAAGCCTATGCCTCCCGGGCCCAAGCGATTCTCCTGCCTCAGCCTCCCAAGTAGCTGGGATTACAGGCGCCCACCACCACACTGGGCTAATTTTTGTATTTTTAGTAGAGACGGGGTTTACCATGTTGGTTAAGCTGGTCTTGAACTTCTGACCTCAGGTAATCTGCCTGCCTTGGCCTTGCAAAGTGCTGGGATTACAAGTGTGAGCCATCACACCTGGCCTTCCTGCCACGTCTTGCCTCTCCCCTGAAGCTTCACGAACACCTTTCCCTGAGTTCCACCCTGGTAAACTGCTTTATTTAGGTGTCCTTTTTCCTTCTTGGCCACCAGCAAGCTCAGATAGGAGTCCTGTGTTCATTTTCAGTGGCTTTTCTGTGCCTAGATTTTCCAGTAATAATTATCCACCCCACTCTGCCTTTCTTCCGCAGATATCAGATCCTTTTAGCTGAGTTTTAATGGCTTCATCATTTTATGTTCTCTGTGACTTTTATGTAAGCAGCCTTTGAGGCTGACATAAATAATAAATAAATGAATGAACTTCTCACTTGACATCTCCAGATGGACAACCTGCCACTGCTTCAAACTTCTCCCATGTAAAACTGAACTCATCATTCCCCTCCTCTTGTCATTTACCTTGCTGCAAATCTTCCCACCCACGCCTTACATTAGAAACCTGACCTCTCTCTTCAAATCTTTCTTCCCTTGCTCCTTTAGGCAGTGTGAAGAGTCCTAGCAATTCCTCCCCACTGCTTTGCCAGCCAGTTGCTGCCCCGACCAGCATTTATTGGACCCGATCTCCTCACCAGCCTTTCTGCCTTCAGTCTCATCCCATTCTAATCCCTCACCCCAAGCACCAAGCACCTCCCGAAAAGTCCAAGGTTACTTATAGAGTCCAAACACTGGGCTCCCACAAGCTATTTTTCTGAGTTTGTCCCAGCCTGTGCCTTATACCCCAGGCTCACCGGATTCTTGCTCTTGCTGTCCTAAATTTGTTCATACACTCTTCCCAGTTTGGAATGACCTTTTTCCTCTGTTAGAGTCCCAACCAATTTTTTTTTTTTTTTTTTTTTTTTTTTTTTTTTTCCTGAGACAGGGTCTCTCGCTCTGTTGCCCAGGCTGGAGTGCAGTAGTACGATCTCAGCTCACAGCAACCTCTACCTCCTGGGCTCAAGCCATCCTCCTGCTTCAGCCTCCTGAGTAGCTAGGACTAAAGTGGTGTGCCACCACACCTGGCTAATTTTTGGCTTTGGTTTTTGTAGAGACGGGGTTTTCACCATTGTTGCCCAGGGTGGTCTCGAACTCCTGGGCTCAAGTGATCCGCCCGCCTTGCCCTCCCAAAGTGCGGGGACTGCAGGCGCGAGCCACCACTCGGGCCCCAACCAATCTTTTAAGATCCTGCTCAAAAGTCTCCGTCCCTGGGAAGTCTTTTCTGAGGCCTCTGAACTCACTTAAATGGAATGTGCCCCTATTTGGCACCTGGTCTCCTCCACTGAGATCGGGGCTTCTTGGGCAGGGTACGCTTAAGGAGAACTGGCTGCATTGGGCCACCTGCCTTAGCAGGGCCAACCAGCGGAGGAGCTGGCTGGGTGCTGGCCCGTCCCAGGGGCTGCGGAAGGGTTAAGAGAGGGCTCCAGAAGCCTGAGAAAGCCTAGGTTCCGGTTTAACCTCGGATCTAGGGCCACTGAGTCAAGACGGGACTTGCGGGGCCGAGGGCAGTTCTCCGGTGATCACCCAGGTCTCCAGGGCAATGAGAAAAGGAGGGGGCACTGCAGGAAACGTACAGGGGCGGTGTTCCTACAGGTCCAGAGCTCCTCCACCAAACTGGGTCCCAAACAGCTCTCCTACTTTCGGGTGGCCTCGGGAACGCAGGGGGAGACTTGCCAGAACGCCCGCCATTCAGCGCCCAGCTCCGTCCCTCTCGTTCTCGGCCGGGATCTCCCCGCGGCCCTTGCACAGCCTCCTCCCCCGGCCCGCCCTGCCCCCCGCTCAGCGCGGCCTCCCAGCCAGGGCGCAGGGGTTATCAAGCCCGCTAGGCCTTTACCCGCGGCTGCCCAGTTCCGGGAGCCGTCGGCCGCGGCCCAGAGGGGTCGGCTGGGCGGACGCCGGCGTCTCCCGCTAGCTCCCAGAGTCCCCGGCTCCTCGGCGTGGCGCTTCCTGCCCACCTCCGCCCGCCTGCGCGGCCCTGGCACCTGGCAGCGGGCGCGAAAGAGGACGAGCCCAGGCACTCGGGCCTGCGGGGTCCTGGGACGAGGGGGTCAGCGAGAGGGGCCCGGTGCTCCGGAGCAGGCGCAGGGCTGGAACCCCGGCGCCACCCGTCCCGCCATCGTCCCCCCTCCCTGCCTCCATCCCCGCGGGCACTGCCGCTAGTACTGCCCTCTGCAGGTTCCCAAGCGCCAGTGACACCCAGTGACCTCACTAACCACCTCCCAGGCTGGGCTGCTTGTTAGGCCCATTTTACAGATGAAGAAACTGATGCTCAGAAGGGTGAAATGACTTGTGCAGGTTGATTCAGTTAGGAAGTGGATGAGCCAGAACAACATCCCGGGCCTGAGTCTTCCTACCTTACCCCTGGGCCTCCCTGAGGCGCGGTGTCCAGGGGATTCTTCCCTCTGTCCCTCTCCGCCTCCCCAGCCTACCTTCAGGCAGAGACCTGAGCCTAAGGCTTCCTTGGGTTCTGCCTTATGTATCCGGTCCTCTTCAGAGCCCAGACCTATGTGTGTGGCTGCTGGTAACCTTGGTTAAGAAAGAAGGAAGAATGGGGGCTGAAGGACAACTTGCACCCCAACCTGCTCTTCGGGTCTGACACCCATTCATGGCCTAGCCCTGGGGCTTCCCAGTTCCCAAAGCCCCCACCCTTATCCCTACACTTCCACACACTTCCACACCCTGGGCTCACGTAGCCCAGAAGGAGGAGCCACCCACCACCCACAGCCAGGGCACGCCTTCGTATGCAAGCATGAGTGTACGATGTTCACACAACAGAGCTGTGCACTAGGGCACCCACAGAGAGGCTCTCCAGGGCAGGGCTGGGAAGAGGACTTACTGAAAACAATGTGGATGTTTCATTTAGACATTTGTTCATTCGTTGTACTGTGGTATTGGGTAGCACTGAGCACCTCACCCCCACAAGCCAGGTCCAGCACTAGGCCCTGGGCTGCCAACCACAGCAAGGCAGGCACCTCACTTTAATGGAATCAACTACCACATTTACAAATGATGTACTTCAAGGCCGAGGCAGGAGGATCACTTGAGACCAGGAGTTTGAGACCAGCCTGGGTGACATAGTGAGACCCTGTCTCTATTTAAAATGAAAATAGAAAATAAAAATATAAAAAACAGACAAACAAATGATGTACTTCAGTGGCAGAGGCAAGGCATTAGGAGAGTCTGGAAAAGGGAGTGCAGAGGAGGTAACATTTGTACTGGATCTGAAAAAATAAATCAGAGGACCAGCCGCGGTGGCTCACACCTGTAATCTCAGCACTTTGGAAGGCTGGGGGTGAGGGCAGATCTCCTGAGGCCAGGAGTTTGGGACCAGCTCAAACTCGTCACCATGGCCAACATGGTGAAACCCCCGTCTCTACTAAAAATAACAAAAATTGGCCAGGCATGGTGGCTCATGCCTGTAATCCTAGCACTTTGGGAGGCCAAGGCAGGCGGATTGCCTGAGCTCAGAAGTTCACGACCAACCTAGGCAACGTGGTGAAACCTCATCTCTACTAAAAATACAAAAATTAGCCGGGCTGGGTGGTGCATGCCTGCAGTCCCAGCTACACAGGAGGCTTAGGCAGGAGAATCGCTTGAATCCAGGAGGCGGAGGTTGCCGTGAGCCAAGATCACGCCACTGCATTCCAGCCTGGGAGACAGAGCAAGACTCTGTATCAAAAAAAAAAAAAAAATCAACCAGACGTGGTGGCATGGGCCTGTAGTACCAGCTACTCAGAAGGCTGAGGCACAAGAATTGCTTGAACTTGGGAGGTAGAGGTTGCAGTGAGCCGAGATCATGCCACTGCACTCTAGCCTGGGAGATAAAGCAAAACCGTGTCTCAAAAATAAAAACAAAAGCACAAAAAATTAGCTGGGCATGGTGGCACATGCCCATAATCACAGCTACTCAGGAGACTGAAGCAGGAGAATTGCTTGAACCTGGGAGGCGGAGGTTGCAGTGAGCCAAGATTGCACCACTGCACTCCAACCTGGGCAACAGAGAGAGACCCTGTCTCAATAAATAAATAAATCAGAGAAAGGAAAGGCAGGGCATCCCAGCAGCAGGGTGAACAACACATTTGCATTTTAAAAGAGGTTCTTCAAGGGGAGTAGAATAGGATGTGGGAGGGGAAGTATAGGAACCCCATGAATGTAGTCTCATGGGTGACAGTTTGGGCCTGGTAATCTCCTCTAGCTTCATTCCACTTACCTAGCCATGCAAGACAGTCACCTGGCAGCAGTTCCTGGACACAGCTCAGAGCAATCTGTTTTCCTCCCCTGTCACCTTCCCCATGGGTACGACAACCATGTAGGTTTTATTAATAACATATACTTTGACTGGCCTCTTGCAGACAGAAGTACTGTGAGTCATGCCGTGGGCATGTCCTCTGTTGTCTGACCTAGGATGCGGTGCAGTGGCTCACCCTATAATCCCAGCACTTTGGGAGGCCGAGGTGGGTGGATCACCTGAGGTCAGTAGTTCGAGACCAGCCTGACCAACGTGGTGAAACCCCGTCTCTACTAGAAATACAAAAAAATTAGCCAGGCTTGGTGGCAGGCACCTGTAGTCCCAGCTACTCAGGAGGCTGAGGCAGGAGAATCGCTTGAACCCAGGAGGCAGAGGTTGCAGTGAGCCGCGATCATGCCACTACACACTCCAGCCTTGGCTACAGAGTGAGACTCTGTCTAAAAAAAAAAAAAAAAGTTATAGCATGAGGCCGGGGTGTGGTTGCTCACACCTGTAATCCCAGCACTTTGGGAGGCTAAGGCAGAAGGATCACTCGAGCCCAGGAGTTTGAGACCAGCTTGGGCAACATAATAGAACCCTGACTCCACAAAAATAATTTTTAAAAAATTAGCTAGGCATGGTGGCACGCACCTGCGGTCCCAGCTACTCTAGAGTCTGAGATGGGAGGATCGCTTGAGCCCAGGAAGTTGAGGCTGCAGTAAGCCATGGTTGCACCCTGTACTCTAGCATGGGTGACAGAGCGAGACCCTGTCTCAAAAAAAAAGAATTATTGCATGGACAACTGTCTTAGTCAACTCTGGTCTTCAGCACTTTGCATAGGTCTGGACACAGAGAAGGTGACTGTGTTAAAGAAGATGATATCAGATGGGCGTGGTGGCTCACGCCTGTAATCCCAGCACTTTGGGAGGCCAGTGTGGGTGGATTGCCTGAGCTCAGGAGTTCGAGATCATCAGGGCTACATGGTGAAACCCCGCCTCTACTAAAAATACAAAAAAAATTAACCAGGTGTGGTGGCGCACGCCTCTAGTCCCAGCTACTTGGGAGGCTGAGGCAGGAGAATTGCTTGAGCCCCAGAGGCGAAGGTTGCAGTGAGCCGAGATCACGCCACTGCACTCCAGCTTGGGCTACAGAGTGAGACTCCGTCTCAAAAAAGAAAAAAAAAAAGATGATCTGTAAGCCCAGGTACTTAGGTACTTTGGCACTTAGGGAGAGAGGGCCCACTTCAAAACATACTTAGATGGGCAGGGAGCATTTATGCTCCAACTCAGCAGGTTACTGGGACTGGTGGGAGGAACATGGGGTAGGGCACAGTGGCAAGAGTACAGTATCTCGCCGGGAGTGGTGGCTCATGTCTGTAATCCCAGCACTTTGGGAGGCCGAGACGGGTGGATCACGAGGTCCGGAGATTGAGACCATCCTGGCTAACACGGTGAAACCCCGTCTCTACTAAAAATACAAAAAAATTAGCCAGGCGTAGTGGCAGGCACCTCTAGTCCCAGCTACTTGGGAGGCTGAGGCAGGAGAATGTCGTGAACCCAGGAGGCAGAGCTTGCTTGCAGCGAGCCGAGATGGTACCACTGCACTCCAGCCTGGGCGACAGAGAGAGACTCCATCTCAAAAAAAAAAAAAAAGTATTTACTGGATTTTTTTTTTAACAGGGTGTCACTCTATCACCCAGGCTGGGGTGCAGTGGCACAATCATAGCTCACTGTAATCTCAAACTCCTGGGCTCAAGTGATCCTCTCACCTCAGCCTCCCAAGTAACTAGGACTACAAGCATTGCCACCATGCCCAGCTAATTGTTTGTTTGTTTGTTTGTTTGTTTGTTTTTATAGAGAGCTGTAGTGATGGGGCCTCACTGTGTTGCCCAGGCTGGCCTCCCAAAGTCCTGGAATTACAGATGTGAGCTACCATGCCATGCCCTAGTATTTACGTTTTAAAAAGAGAAAGAGGGCCGGGCATGGTGGCTCATGCCTGTAATACTAACACTTTCGGAAGCTGAGCTGAGAGGAACGTTTCAGCCCAGGAGTTGGAGACCAGCCTGGGCAACGTGATGAGACCCCATCTCTACATTTTAAAAAATTTAAAAATTAGGCCTGAGGTTAGGAGTTCAAGAGCAGCCTGACCAACATGGAGAAACCCCGTCTCTACTAAAAATACAAAATTAGCTGGGCGTGGTAGTGCATGCCTGTAATCCCAGCTACTCCGGAGGCTGAGGGAGGACAGTCGCTTGAACCTGGGAGGCGGAGGTTGCAGTGAGCCGAGATCGCGCCATTGCACTCAAGCCCTGGCAACAAAAGTGAAACTCTGTCTCAAAAAAAAAAAAAAATTAAAAATTATCTGGGCATAGTGACATACACCTATCATCCCAGCTACTCAGGAGGCTGAGGGAGGAGGATCCCTTGAGCCCAGGAGTTCAAGCTGCAATGAGCTATGTTTGTACCACTGCACTACAGCCCAGGTGACAGAGTGAGACCCTGTCTTTAAATAAAAAAGAGAGAGAGAGTAAAATAAGAATCTTAAGACAGATGCTTTAATGGTGGGATTTCATGCCCTTTGATACGTCAAAAGCCATCTGTTGGCATCACTCCAGGGAGAAGGAGGCACCCAGAATGCCCTCTAAATCTAACTAGAATTCCAGGAGCTTGAACTCAGACTTCTTCATGCTTTCCACTCCCATCACAAACCTCCATAAGAAAAAAAAAAAAAGTCATTCACCTCCAGGTGAGCACCCAACCACTCATAACTTGGACCCTAGTTTAGTTTGGGTCACTTAAGTCTACATGTGGCACAACTAGGGTGTTCCAGGCAGCTGGCAGGTTGATGCCAGTCATTTCCTTCAGTCCCCAAGCCTCAGGCCCAGGAGAGAAGAGGGTGAGGCAGTGCGCTGCTTCTTGGGTTGTCCTGCCCCCAGTCCTCAAGAACTTCTGGACACTTGCCTGCTCCAAACCCCCAGCCACCAGACCCATTTGTATTCCTGGTGGCTGACAGTTCAGCCCCAGTAAGGGTGGCTGGGTGGGAAGAGAGGAGAAGCCAAGGGGAAAGGCGAGTAAGCCCAGCGAGGCCCCCGCCACTCCCATCCTAGGGATGGGGCTCCAGGGTCTTTCCTGCTTCTCACTGCCCTCCATAACCATTAACACACCCCACCCCTGCAGGCACACCCAGGGCTCAGTGAGTCCTGAAGACAGAGGCAGGCATCATTTGGGCAAGAACTCACTCATACAACAGACACGCAGCTCCCCCACACAGCATGTGGGTCCACCATGAACAAGTGCCATTGACCGATGCCAAGAAAGAGGACTTTGGAGGCAGAAGACCTGGTCTCCAGGCCTGGCTCCTCCTCCATTCGTTGAGGGCCCTTGGGTAGGTTACTTAACCCAAGTCTCAGTTCTCTCATCTACAAAACGGGTTGTCATGAAGGATGGTGCAGGGTCAGCATGAGACTCCCTTGAGATAATGAATGTGAAGCCTCTGTGAGATGGACAGCATGATGCAAATATTTCTTTTTTTTTTTTTTTTTTTTTTGAGACGGAGTCTCGCTCTGTCGCCCAGGCTGGAGTGCAGTGGCACGATCTCGGCTCACTGCAACCTCCGCCTCCCGGGTTCATGCCATTTTCCTGCCTCAGCCTCCCGAGTAGCTGGGACTACAGGCACCCGCCACCACGCCCGGCTAATTTTTTGTATTTTTAGTAGAGATGGGGTTTCATCGTGTTAGCCAAGATTGTCTCGATCTCCTGACCTCGTGATTCGCCCGCCTCGGCCTCCCGAAGTGCTGGGATTACAGGCGTGAGCCACCATGCCCGGTGACACAAATATTTCTTAAGCTACATGTTCACTAGCTTGACATGTACCTGGGACCTACCATCCCCTGCCACAGACTCCCTACAGCTGACAGGCCTCATGCCAAATGCTTTGAAGGCCCCCTTGCAGGGCACAGTACCAGGTGGCAGATCCACACACATTTACACATTGCATACTGTATAAATATAGGTTTTATTAATAATGGGTGAAATCCCACAAATACAACTGGCATCCCTGTGTGATAGGAAGAATCTGTGGCAGGGTGAGAGGAGGTAGACAGGGATGTGTACAGGAAAAAGGGGGAAAATGAGCCCTGGGGGAGGGGAAATCAGAAGCAGAATGAGCCTGGACCCACCAGGAAAGCCAGACATGCTCTGAGTGTGTCTGCCACCTGGTGCCCAGGGCAGGCTGTTCTGATGCCCAGGGGCCACCTGCTGATAGGAACAGTGGAGGGACATGGACAGAAGTTTGAATGAGCAGCAGTGGCTGGGGAAGGGGTAGGGGAGTGAAGATGCCAGCATGGAGCACAAAAGGAGGGCCGTGGGTGGCAGTGGCCAAGGCCAACTTATGCCCGTGGTTGTGCTTGTGTTGGTTCCTGAACTCCAGGGATCTAGTGCCCTGTGCCACCCCTGGCTTGGGAGGAGGGAAGACTTGGGGGTAGACACCTGCAGTTCCTGTAGACACCCTGGGCAGCACCAGCCTTATCCTTAGAGTCTCCAACATGGGATCCCCAGGAGGAGGTTGGCACTGTCCTCCCACCAGCACCCGCCACCACCAGCATGCCACCATCACTCTTCCTCTGTGCTGTAGGGGATGGCAAGTGTGTAGGGCTGAGATGGCCTGTTCTCATGTATGTGCCTGTCACTCCGGAGAGGGAGGGAGCATCACGAGACCGTGCATGCGTTAGGGGCAGCGAGAAAGGAGGGTTGGGTCTTCCCCCACTCACCCCCCGCCCAGAATAAAGTGCATTCTCCAGTTCCAGTGGCAGGTGGGAGAGAAACACAGACATTATTGCACAGGTGCCACCAGGCCCTGCCCCCACCAAAGGTGATGGGGAGGGGGATGGGGCATCCCACAGCCCCAGGCCTCTCCAATCCCCAGGATTGGGAGTGGTGACCTAGACAGAAAACCCAGCTTCTGTCCTGGCAGATTGTCCAAGTCAGCCAGGGTCTAGGGGTGGAGAGAAGAGGAGGAGGAGGAAGAGACTTCCAGAGTCCTTCCCTGTCCATTTCAACATCCATAATGGGACTTCCAGTGGACTCCACCAGGGCCCAGCCCTGGAACTCCAACCTTATAGCAGCCCAGTTTACAAACACTTGTGTGGTGGGGACCCCCAGAGGGGGCCACTTTGGTCAGTTGTAAGTGGGGCCCTAGAGAGCCTAGGGCTCCCAGGCAGACAGCAGAGGAGGGTGCCATGGGCAGGAAGGAGGCAGCAGCCTCCCAGTAGTCTTTGCATGCAGGTGTTGGAGAGAGTAGGGAGGAAGCTACAAACCGCATCAACTTGGGAAGACTCCTGGGCATAGTGGGGAGGGCTGGAGCCCCCACTCCCAGAGCCCAGGCTGGGAGCGCAGTCCGACAGCCAGCCTGTGGAGGAGCCAAGGGAGGAGAGGATAGCCCCGCCAGGAACCAGTGCCCAAGTCTATAAGGTTAAAACAGTCCCAAAGGGCTGGGACTGGGGGCTTCCTGCTGCAGGGGCTGGGGTACAGGCTGGGGCAAGCCTCTATCTCTCTGACTTGACCCGGTAACGCAGCACAAGGTAGGCCAGCAGCCGCAGGGCTAGGAAGAAGATGCCCAAGACCAGGAAGTCCATGTAGAGCTTGGCATCCTCCACATCCAGCGCTCGGAGGATGCTCTGTGGCTCCCGGAACGGGCAGCGTTCCTCTAAACATGTCAGGTCTCCTCGCTCCATGCCATAGATCGTCAGGATCACACCCTCAAAGCCATACCTAGGCAGGCAGGGATATCAGATGGGATACAGCACACAGGGTCCCTGCTCTCTGAGAAAACTGCCAGAGCCCAGCTGCAATGCTGTCATCCCTGGGGTGCAGCCAGGGTGCCCCTGCCCAAAGGATAATGGGGCAGGCAGCAGACTTGGCACAACCCAGGAAGCCCTGGGTATGGACTCCTCCAGGGAGGAGCAGAGGCCAACGAGGAGGGCAGGGGTACTGACCTGACATAGGAGAGATAGGAGCTCCATTGCAGGTAAGTGGGGATGGTCTTGAAGCTGACAAAGAAGCCGGAGAACAAGAGGACAGGGATGGCGGTAACTGGGCCCACAAAAGTGGCCACCTAGAGGGGAAGGGAGGGGGCCAGGCCATCATAGGGGTGACCAGGACAAACCCAGGTTTCCTAGAGCTCCACCCTAACCCTTGCACCAGGCCCTGCTTCCTCCCACAAGACCTCATCCCGCCTTGGGAATTCCCAACTGCCAGCCCTCCCACCTGTAGGGAGTTGGAAGCAGCTCCGATCAGCAGCCCCAAAGATTGGGCCACCAAGGCGGTGGCGGTGGCCAGGGCTGAGAAGAGCAGGAAGCGGCTGGTCTCAGCGGGCTGGCCCGTCATCCAGTACACAATGCTGCAGTAGACCACCGGACACACCACCTGGGGAGTGGGCACGGGCTGGACAGTGGACTTCAAGCCAGGGGCACAGCAGCCAAGACCTCCACTCCACCCAAGGCTGGGCCTCTAGAATACCTATTCCCAGGGTGTCCATCCTGCCTCCACATTCTTGTTCAAGCTGTCCCCCAGATTGACACACGTCCCCTTCCTCCCTGGCCATATGACCATCACTTATCTCGTCTCACGTCTTCCGTTTGGTCCACCCTGACTGCTTCAGGCACGGTGACTCTTCCCTTCCCTGAGCGCCTAAAGTCCTTCCCACCTGGACCAGCTTATTCGTTATATTGTTAAGTAATTAACTCTCCATAGGAGAGCCATTTTGTTCCCCCATGAGCTACCAACTCCTAGGGGGCAGGGTCTGAGCTTACTAAGTACAGTCATCCACTGCTCAAGGGCATCCAACCAAGAGCCAACCAGGCCAAAGGTCCAGCTTGTGCTCTTCTTATTAAGCCAAGCATCCTGTGACGGTGTCCACCCTGAGGAAGGGGCACCTTTTTCTAACTTGCACAGATGTGCCCTATGGATTACTGGTGGCCCTGATGCTTGGAACAGGGTGGTATTGGCGGTAACAACAACCAGCTAACATTTGCTGGGCACTTCGTATGTGCCAAGCACTATTCTAAGTACTTTATATACATTAACTCATTCAATTCTAACAATCCTGAGGTAGATACTATTGTCATTCCATTTTATAGATGGGTACACTTTAGCAAAGAGAGTGATTTGCCCAAGATCTTGCAGGTAGCAAGTGGCAGTAAGAGCCAGAGAGTACACCATTTTCTACTGCCCCTAATAAGAGTTACAGAGTCATTTGTAGGGTTATTGCCCCCAGTAGCTGGGACTACAGGTGCACAACACCAAGCCTGGTTAATTTTTGTATTTTTAGTAGAGATGGGATTTCGCCATGTTGCCCAGGCTGGTGTCAAACTCCTGAGCTCAAGTGATCCTCCAGCCTCGGCTTCCCAAAGTGCTGGGATTACAGGCGCAAGCCACTGCGCCTGGCCCTATAGGGTTATTTTCATCATTTTCTGTTTGTTGTCAGTTGTCCTCACTAAAACATAAGTTCCACATGGTCAAGACTACATCAGTCTAGTTCAATGCTATATCCCTAGGGCCTGGTACAGAGCCTGGGCTATGACAGGTACTCACCATCTATTTGCTAAGTGAGTAGAAGGACAGCAAAGGAAGGAAAGTGACAAGTTTGAGGGAGGCAAGAAAGCAAGGATAGAAGGAGCAAGACAAGATGGAGGCAGTGGGCAGGTGGGAGGAAGAGGCCCACCTGAAAGGGCACGTCAGCCATGGTCTTGGCCAGGTAATACGCTTTGAGGCTGTACCAGTAGTTGAGGTGCTCCCTCATGAAGACCGCCATCTCTAAGGGGACTGAGGACACAGGCTGCTTAGGCACACCCGGCCGACACCCTGGCCCCTGCCCCAAGCCCCAGCACCCACACCCTTGCCCCATGCCCAGGGCAGCTCAGCTCACAGGTGAGCACAGTTGGCATGAGGGCGGCGAACATGAGGAACAGCATGGAGAAGAAGAGGCAGCCGGTGTTGTTGAAGACCTTGCTGGCATCGTCGCCAATATGCAGGTAGAGGAGGCCGATGAGCACGCCAATAACCACGTGGGACATGAACCGTAGGTGGGTCAGGACCTTGGGAGGGGTCATCACCAGGAGAGGGATGTGTTACAGGCCAGGGCAAGCCACAGAGTAGACTTGGAGTAGGAACTCGGAGCTGCCCTCACAGGCACAGAGACCCCACAGGCACATTGCAGGGCTGTGAGGGAGGGTCCCCATTCCCATTTCAGCTGCTGGGATCCTACAGCCCAAAAGGTCAGGCCTGTGCCAGCCTCCTCTCCCCCAGCCTGACGCCTCACCGTGTCCCTGAGGATGGACAGGAAGGTCCTCTTGAAGAGGATGCAGAACTGTGTGAGGGTGCTGGTGGCAAAGGTGTGGCTTTCAATGGGATCCACTTCCTGGGAAGAAGAAATTGGATCGGGATCAGGTGAGCCTACCCCATTCACCCACAGAACACCCAGCTCAGTGAATGAAAAACCTCAGAGCTCTTCCCCAGGGTAGGGGTCCTCCAGGTCTACAGAGAATCTTGTACCATTAAGTTGTGTACCTGAAAGCTAGGCTTAGGGGTATGAATCAGAGCAAGATTCAGACACAAAAAGGGGGCAAAAACTTGGGAGGGAGGAGATGGAAAGAAAGTAATGGACACCCGTGGTGGCTAATAATAGATCGGTTACTTTTTTAATCCATCAAAACACATGAACTCTAAGGGTATAATTCCTTTTTTGTTTTGTTTTGGGTTTTTTTTGTTTTGTTTTGTTTTGTTTTTGAGACGGAGTCTCGCTCTGTCGCCCAGTCTGGAGTGCAGTGGCGCAATCTCAGCTCACTGCAAGCTCCGCCTCCCTGGTTCACGCCATTCTCCTGCCTCAGCCTCCCGAGTAGCTGGGACTACAGGCGCCCGCCACCACGCCCGGCTAATTTTTGTATTTTTAGTAGAGATGGGGTTTCACCGTGTTAGCCAGGATGGTCTCCATCTCCTGACCCACCCGCCTCGGCCTCCCAAAGTGCTGGGATTACAGGCGTGGGCCACTGTATCCGGCCAGGTATAATTCCTTTATGCCACCAATTTTACAGTAATGTTATTTAATAATGATGATAATGACAACAATAACAACAAAAACTAATCAATCTGGTTTTCAGGGGTTACAGTGTCTCATTTAAGGAAGAGAACTAGCACTGGGCAGACGCCTGCTGTACCAGCTACAGTGCTAAGAGCTTTATGTGATTATCTAATTAGTCCTCCCAATCACCCTGTGAGGTGAGTATCATCATCTCTAAGTTAGAGAGAACAGTAAGCCACACTGGCCACTAAGCTGGGGACCATGTTGATCTTGCTTACCAGATGGGCACTATGCCAGGACCGAGGACAGCACACTGTAGCTGCTCAACAAGAACTTGCTGAATGAATAAGTCAATGAGGAAACTGGAGCTCAAGGAGGTTAAATAATGTGCCTAAGGTCACAGTGCTGTTCCTAGTAGGTCGATTCCAAGTCCTAGGTTCTTCCTAGCACCCATTGGTTGCAATGCCTCTGGGGAACAGCCTCTTTGGCAGGGCCACTGTCCATGGTCCAGTCTCCCCTCCCCAACTATGCCTGCTCTGCCCTCTCCACCCCTACTCACCGGAGGACAAGGAGGGCATGGGGCAGGGACCTCGTTCTTCTCAGGGCTGCTCTTCTTCTCAGCCATAGCGCACAGCCCATTCTGCACAGCCCTGAACAACATGGGGTTCAGGTCTCCATACTCGCCAGAGGCCACCTCGATGACTGGGGACACAGAGTGGAGAGCTCAGTTTAGATTCACACTCACTTCCCAAGGGCAAGTCAGTCCCGCCTTGGGTGTGTGGGGAAGGCAGGCGACGGTGAGATCTCTACCCCTAGGAGGCCTGAGTGCAAGACCAGAGACCCCAGGTTCGGCCCACTGCTGTTTCCCAGCCCCTACCAACAGACCCCCACTCACTGAAGTCAGCCGGGTTGTGGTAGGTGGGGCAATGCAAGCCGAGTCCCTTTAGATAGGGGATCAGGTTGGTGACCACGCCTTTGAAGATGCACTGACCCTGGCTCAGGATGTAGAGCTGCAGCAGAAAGAGAAGGGTAAGGAAGGAACAGCGGGCCAGGCACCCCTACTGACCCCCTTCCATCCCTCCATCTCAGGCCAATCCTCCTTGAGGCCTGGAGACACTCACCTTGTCAAACATCTCAAAGAGCTTGGCACTGGGCTGGTGGATGGTGCAGATGATGGTACGGCCCCCCTGTGCCAGGGACTTCATGAGGGACACCACTTGGAAACAAGAGGCGCTATCCAGACCACTGTCCAGAGAGAGGCCACCAGGGGGCCACGTGAGGTGGGTGAGGCCAAAAGAAGGGAGTGTCTGGGGCGGGGCAGCTGCTGTGAAGGGGATGAAGCTGGCAGGAAGAGGGCACTCTGGCCGCATCTGTATCCTTTACGGTTCAGGCACTTGGAGGGATACCCAGAAGCCAAGAGCACTGTTCAGTTTCATAAGCATATATTGAGGACCTGTTGTATGCCAGGCACTGGGATTACAATGATGCATAAATAAGACATAGACTCTGGTCTGGAAGGAGAGAGAGACAAGCACACAGATGATTTTGGGTAATGTGGAAAGTGCTGTAGCAACACTGGGTGAAAGAGGGGGCGGATTCAGCTCAGCTGTAGCAGGTGTTGGAGGGTAGTCAGAGAAGGTTCCTGAGCGAGCCCAGGAGTAAGAGCTAAGCAGGTGAAGGGGAGAGGGCAGGCACAGTGGTGAAGGGCATTCCAGCAGAAGACACAGCATGGGCAAAGCTTAGAGGCATGAAACATGTGGCTTGACCAGGGAATTACAAGCAACTCAGTATTATTAGAGCATAAAGTACATGACTTGAGGCTGGAGAAGTAGGTTCAGACCAGGCCCTTGTAAGTCACCTGACTTTATTTCGAGGACAAGTCAGAAAGGAAACACTGCATGTTTTAAGCAGGGGAGTGAGCACTGCAGACTTGTCTTTAGAAAGTTCACTCTGTCCGGGCACGGTGGCTCACGCCTGTAATCCCAACACTTTGGGAGGCCAAGGCGGGTGGATCACCTGAGGTCAGAAGTTCAAGACCAGCCTGACCAACATGGTGAAACCCCATCTCTACTAAAAATACAAAAACTAGCTGGGTGTGGTGGTACACGCCTGTAATTCCAGCTACTCAAGAGGCTGAGGCAGGAGAATCGCTTGAACCCGGGAGTCAGAGGTTGCAGTGAGCCGAGATTGTGCCACTGCACTCCAGCCTGGGTGACAGAGCGAGACTCCATCTTAAAAAAATAAAAGAAAGTTCACTGTAGCTGCAGTTTGGAGAAAGGATTGACTGGGAGACACTGGAGACAAGCAGATAAGAATCTGTTGCTGTCCTGAACTTAACATCAACATTAGAGATGGGGCAGGGCAAATCTGAGAGATATCAAAAGGAGGCAGAATCAACAGGACTTGGTGACTGATGGCTGAGGGTGACTGGAGAGGGAGGTGTCAATCAAGGAGGACACCTAGATCTCTGCCCAGGCGAAGGATGGGGCAGCTCACAGCAACAGAATTGGCAAGGGTGGAGATGAGGAAGAAGCCCTTATCTTGGCCCCAGGAGGCTGTGAACAGAGGCTCTGGATCATGGAGAAGATGCAGCCTCCAGCCCTGGCTCAGGGCCGAGAGGAGAGGGGTATCCTGGTGGGAAAGGGTGGAGAGAACTACCTGGTGGGCTCATCAAAGAACATGACAGGCGGGTTGTTGACCAGCTCCAGGGCGATGGCCAGACGCTTCCTCTGCCCGCCAGAGAGCAGGGCTGTCCTCGTGTGGGAGCACGACATCAGGCCCAGTGCCGTCAGGATCTCTGTCACCTGGCCCCACCCCACCCATGCCAGGTCAGCTTCGGAGTCTCTGCTTCCCCCAGGCACCACCCCAGCTTCAAAAAGCATCTCCCTTAAGTGCATTGTCTCGGCCTAGGCCACCACTCTCCCACTCCCAGCTCGGGGCCTTGAGCTCAGCAGCACCACAAAAGGGAGTGGTCCCACTGCCTCCCTTCCCCACTCACCAGCTCCTTCTTCACCTCCTGCTTCTCACTCAGCTTCAGGTTAGCAGAGACCTGGGGCCCAGAGAGTAAGCAAGAAAAGTATGTGTGGGAGGGAGCTCTGCCTTGAACCCTCCGCCAATGGTGAAGGTGGCGACAGCAGACAGAGGGGGTTGCTGGGAGGAGGGGTGACTATCCAGCCCTCACCATCATGGCTTCCAACACCGTGAGGTGCGGCAGCAGCATGTCATCTTGCATGATGTAGCAGGACATCTTGCGGAAGGTCCTCAGCTCCCGTGGCCTTCCATTAACCAGGATCTGCCCCTTCATTCCAGACTCCCTGCAGGGATGTGGGTTGAGGATGGGGGTCAATGCCCTTTCAGAATACCTTCTGTGTTCCCCAAGGGATACTTCTTCCTGAGTCCTGCCTCCATTCCACCCCAGTCTCTTCCTTACCTGTATCCTGCCAAGATGTTCATGAATGTAGACTTGCCAGCCCCTGAGGGGCCCATGATGCCAATCAGCTCCCGGCGGCAGAATTTACCTGAGAGGCACTTGAGAAGGGTCTTATAACCTGCAGTGAGGTGGGGAGGAATTTTTAGTCAGGCTGCAGTGAACAGAGGTACCCCCAAAATTCTTAGGAGCAGCCATGGCTATCAGTGAAATAGGTAGCCCCTACTCAGTGTGATTGGGTTAGGATGGAGGAACAACCCTTATAGCCCCGGCAGGAACCCATCCCTCTCATCCCGTCCCCCTAGAAACGACCACCACTAATATCAAAGTACCAGAGGCAACAATCCTCTTCTGAAAGGCGTGGGAAAATCCACACATCTCATGGATGGGCGTGGAGAGGGGATCAAAGCTGTAGAAGACCCTGGTCCTCTTCTGTAATCACAGTGGCCACTGTCTCGCCCCCTCCAGGAAAACTCCCACTACTACAGCCCGAGCTGGCTGCCTATCCCCTGTGTTTCCATAGCACCTCTCCTATGCCAGCATGTTTGTTACTTGATGTGCCTGTCACTTGACCAGCTCTCCCAGCCTCTTAGTCAGTGAGCTCCTTGGGGGCAGTTCTCACTCATCTTGGTAATCTCAGCAGACTGTCTGGCCTGTAGTAGATGTTCAGTAAGTGTCTGTTCCACGAGCGTGAGTTCTCAGAGCTTTTCCCTAATTCAGAAAAAGCCTTCTTCTTTGCGCTCTCTCTGCCTACCAGGCTTGTTTCTCTAGCCCCTACATGGCCCAGTAAAATCTCACCTTTCATTCATTCATTGGAAGGCAGCATATGCATTTAGAGCACGGTTTGGAGTCAGGTGGATCTGGGTTCAAATTCTGGCTCCACACTTACCAGCTGTGTGACCTCGGGCAAGTTGCTTAACCTCTCTGAGCTCCAGGTCCCTCATCTGTAAAATGAGGATGATAGTACCTATCTCATAGGGTTGTTGTAAAGATTCAATGAGATAATATATGTAAAACACATGACACAGTGCTTGGCACATAGAATGCATTAAAAAGTGACATTTTACTATTAATTCTACTTGATAAATGCTTATTGATATCTACTATATACCAAGCTCTGTACCAAACACTGGATAAAAATTGAGGAAGACACAGTTTTTATATTCAAGAAGGTCATAGTCTAAGTAAGACAGAAAAACAAAAAAAATCTATGAAGAAAAATAAAATTAGGGTTATAACAGAAGTACAAAAAATGTGCTGTGAGAACGCAAAGAATGGAATTGACGTGAGTCGGGGGGAAAGAGGAAAATCAAGACTGGCCTCATGGAAGAGGTGGCGTTTGAGCTAAGCCTTGAAGGATGAGCAGGATTCTAAAAGGCAAAGGGAAAGCAGAGGCCTTCTAGGCTTTGGGAGGAAAAGCTCTGTGATATAAAAGTATGTGTATATACACTCACAATCCAAGGAACAGAGGGCAGAGCCTACATGGAGTGACCTGGTGAGACATGGAAGTGGAGGGGAAGGATGAAGCCACCAAGGAGGGCCCTGCCTGCGATGCTGGCAGACCTGCCTCATAGGTGAGGACGTGCCAATCCCTTACCTAGCACCTTGCTCATTGCTGCCCCCTCTAACCCCCACAGAGCCCAAGTCCCTCCCCACTCCACCTCCTTAGTGTCCTTAGTGGAGACAGTGAAGGGATGGCATATTTAACCCTCCCTCCACGACACCCA
Source organism: Homo sapiens (assembly GCF_000001405.40). NCBI lineage: Eukaryota > Metazoa > Chordata > Mammalia > Primates > Hominidae > Homo > Homo sapiens. The sequence goes on along the minus strand of NC_000011.10, from coordinate 119,152,419 downwards.
GGACTGTGTTCTGGGCCCGGCTTTCCCTCTGGATGCTTCCCGTCAGAAGGGGGAGCAGCTCCTGCCCGCTGCCAGGTCCTGATCACAGCAACTGCCTGGATGGTACCCATGGTTTACAAAGCTTCAACTGTTTCTCTAACAACATGGGTGAGGCAACTGGGGCCCAGAGACATCTAGTGACTCACCCAGGGTCACACAGCAAGTTCTTTCCTGGGAGAGGGAAGCCGTGGGCTCTAGCCCTCTGCCTCAGTCCTCCTCGCCATCAATCAGAGACATTTGGTGGCGCACTCCAGCATATGCCTTTCAGAGCCACTCACAGGAAGTGATCTCTTGCAGGAGAAGAAACTGGCAACGACGAACCTTCCCCTCAATTAATTACAGTAGCTGGTTGAACACTGATGCCTAACACAAAAGTCATCTTACATTTGCCTCTCACAGATACCGTCTCAGCTGAGCTTCACACAAGTCTGTGTATTCTTATCATCCCTGTTTACAGATGAGAAAAGCAAGGCCAAGAGCGGGTAGGCAGCCTGCCCAAGGTCACACAGCTTATAAGTGACTAGGAACCCATGTCCCACAACTGCTCAGCACAGAAGAGGCCAGCCAGGCCCTTGGGCTGGAGAGACACTGGTATTCTAGTTCTGCCGCCGTCAGTAGCTCTCTTTGCAATTTTGTCAAGTCACTTAATCTTTAAGTCCTCTGACTCCTCATCTATAAGGGAAGGATAGTAATATCTAATCCCAAGGACTTACAGGGTTATTACGAATGTTAAGTGAGATTATTAAAAATAATTAAAAGGAAGCTGTTTTGAAAAAATAAGAAATGCTATACATAATTAGGGGAGATGATAACAAATCCTTACTTGGGAAAGGTAGAACTCTCCCTCTCTCCATCCTCCTTGCTTTCTTTCCTTTCTGCCTACCCTTAATTGCTTTCTGTCCTCTGGAGAAGGGGAGAGGGATTCAATGGAAAACAGAAGTCATCGAGGGGAGGGCAGGGGGCAGAGAAAGGGACAACGGATGAAAGAAATGGCAAAATGGCCAGTACAGCAGAATGAGGCTGGCAAGGTCAAAAGGAGGGAAGGGCCAGGTGAGGGATATCAATCTGTGGCTGGCACATGGAAGCAACTGGAGAGCTGGCCCGTCTAGACACATTTTAAAAAAAAATCTTAGTTTCTTAAAATTATGAGGAAATGAGAGGGCTAAAGAAATAACAACTGCCTCATGATTTTGCCCAGAGCTGGTCTCAGGACCGAAAGAGGTTGCTTAGGGACAGGGCCCACTGGGCAGGAAGCCCAGATGCCTCAGTTTCCATTGGTTCAGCCATGTGACCTTTTGGTCACTCATGGGAGTGAGGGTTTGGAGAGTGCAGAGGCAGATCATGCTCAGCCCTGCTCTGAAGCACCCCAAACCTATTTGTTGAACCTCAGAGAACAATGTCCCAGCCCCACCCCTGGCCCACACCCAGGCTCTGGGAAACAGCCTCAGCTTCCCTACTAGCAGCTAAAGCTGCTCAGGGTAGGGGCTGCAGGGGCTAGTCAGGGTTCAGGGGAACCTGTCCTCATGGGCGGGAAGAGGGAAGTGATGGGACTGCTGTACAGGGAAGAGAGAGAAAGGAACAATGCATGGAGAGCTGGGAAACCGGGCTTCTGGTCTCAGCTCTACCACTTACTAGCTGTGTGACATTGGTCAAGTTACTCAACTTCCCTGGGCCTCAGTTTCCTTATTAGTAACATGGAGATGACATCTATCCTGCCAAACCGCCACCCTCCCTGCTTCTGAGCACTGTGGTAAGAATGGAATAAGATGACAGGAATGAGAACGTCTTTATAATTAGGTCCAAGGGTATTGCTCAACCCTGCAGACACAGCCCCCTACTTTTTCATACCAGCCCTCACAGGTAGGAATCCTCCATAAACAAAAGAAGGAAAACTCATCAAGGACCACTCAAGGACCAGAGGTCACGGGATCTCTTTAGAAGATACAGCTTCAATAACCAATTGCACCTAGTATCCCATGGTGCTCACAGGTGTGGGGGAGCGTAGATCCTGACACCCCAAGAGTGCACAGTGAGCAACGGGCTGGGGCCCAGATTTTAGTGTTTCCACAGAGCCCACTGGTGCAGGACTTTCCGAACATGGGACACCCAGGCCTCATGCTTCTGGAGAGGCAACTCAGAGAGGGCCCACGGACTCCCCCTACCAGGCTGTTCCCTACCCCTTTTGCGCCAGCAGGGCCCCTCCCGCACGGAATAGGACAGCTCCACGAACTCGATGTCCACGGCTGAGCGCTTGGGTAGGTGGGAGAAGCGCTGGGCTTCAGTGATGTGGTTCTCCACCTTCTTCAGGTGCGTGGTCAGCACAGGGGGTTCCGCCCCGTCCTCCAGCGTCACGGCCATGGCCACAGCCCCCGGCCCTAGTCCACAGCCCACGGCCTCCAGCGCCTTCTCCGCCATCACGCCGCCGACCTGCAAGGGGAGGGCCTGCTCAGTTTGGGGCAGACCACCGAGCCCGGCTCAAAGCTCCCTGGCGTTCTAATGCTTCCCCCGCCCCCACTGCCCACCTCCTTCTCGGGGCAGATCCGCGACTGTTAGCCCCGCACTCTGCCCCCGCCCCCCACTCTCCGCACGGAGACGCTCAGTCCCGGGCAGCCCAGCTCCAGCCTGACCCCAGCCCGTCCCCTTGAAGCCCTCAATCGCTCCTTCCTCCCGGCGGCTTCTCTAATCTCCTTACCCCGCAGGCCAGCAGCCCCTGGGGACTGAAGGAATAGGGGGCGGGGGAGAAGAGGCAGCCGGCAGAGGCTGCCCGCTCTAGGAGGTCGGGGTAGCAGGGTGAGTGCAGGGCGGACCAGGGGAAGGCGGAGAGGAGGAGGCTTCAGGCCTCCGGCTGCGTCCCACTCCCCATCCCTTGGCGCGACGCCCAGGCCGGCCCCTCCCGCCGGCACCCCCGGGCCCGCGTGCCCCGGGCTGTCCCCAAAGCCAGGCGCACCACCCGGACTCAAAACTAAGCGCCCCACGGCAGCTCAAGCCCCCGCCCCATCTCCCGCATGCCTAGTCACCTTGACGCGCCCCCGGGCCGGTGCGGGGCCGGGATGCTCAGCGCTGCCACGGACCGGGGACGGAGAGCCGGGGCTCCCCTTACCTGCCTCGGGCTGCGGCACCCGCGTCCCGGCTCCCGGTCCCGGCGGCCCGGGCCGGGGCGGGGCCGGGGCGGGGCAGGCGAGGCAGGAGGGCCGGCCCTCGGCTCGGAGGAGACGGCAAGGATGGTGAGAGGCGGTTGGGGTCGCGCCCTGACTCTGCTGGGCTGTGCACACCCGCTTCCCAGAGCCTGGTCCCGGACGCTGTGTCCTCCGAGCCCGCGGGGCGACTGCGCTCTCCTACCAGCTACTGCTCGCCGGTCCCGCCGTTCTTAAAGGGCCCGCGCCGCCCGGCAGCCCGCGGGGGGCGAGGACGGCAAAGGAGAGAGCAGCGCTTGCGGCGCGGGGGCCGGAGGAGGTGCAGGGGTGAACTCAGGACTGGGGGTTGATGGCAAAGGGCCGACTTGGAGGCAGTGAGGAAAGGAGAGCTGGAGTCACTCCGTGGGGACAAGTCCCTGGAAGACAGATTAGGCAAGGGTGTTGGGGGTGGGGGAAAGTGGAGGGATTGTAAAGGTGTCAGTCTGTCTTCACACACGATACCAGTCCCCCAACAATTTCCCTCAGTTCCAGCCCATGAATGAGCGCAGGCCTCCCTCCAGGAATCCCCAAACGAGGTGCAAAGGCTTTCAAAAACGCAGGAGCCTTGGGACATTGGAACATCCTCCTGTCTCCCCATTCACACTTTCTCTGAGTTAGGACACTAATAAAGAAGGGAAAATGGCAGCAGCTTTGGGAGAGCCTGCAGTAGCTCCAGAGTTAAACTGGAACCCAGTGCTCAGCCTGCTCCGACTGTAGTCACCTAGCCAGATACAGGCCTTCAAGACAGGCACATGCCATATCCTGGAGGGACCTGTGTGCCAGGGCATGCACAGGGCTCGCAGACATGCCCTGGGCATCTCATGCACCTGCACATTCTCTCCCTTGCCCCCAAAGCCTTCAAATGTAGGTCCCCAGAACACACTTGGGGCTTTCCCCTGCTCTGCCCCTTTCTCAGCCAATTCCTCTTGGCCCTTGCCTGTCCCAGCCACTATGTCTTCAAGGGGTAAGTAGGTTAGCTAGCCAAGACACGTGATCTGAGCTTTTAAGTTCCCACCTGTCACACAGCAGAGACGATGGGGAGGGAAGGCTCTGAGGCTGCTGGTGTGACTGCCACCGCTGAGGCTTCTCCTTACTGCAGCAGTTGAGGGTTACTAGCAGTCAAACCTCTCCCCTGCTGGCCCCCCTCCCAACCACCTCTCCACAGCCCTAAAAGCTGGCGATCCCTGGAGGATTTCTCTAGGCCCCGCCCTGTTACTCTGAGGTTTGTGTGGGGTTTGGATCCAGTCTTTCCTATCTTCCCCCAACTCCATGCCCCACATCACCACCATTCCTCAGGACCAACCTCCTGTTCTCCAGATGGACCCTCCATTCTCCAAGTCAACTTCTCATCAGCTACTATAGACCTCCCCATCCCCCAACAGTTGCATTTATTAACTACTTTGTACCAGGCATTATGTTATTTAATCTTCACAATATCCCTATGCGACAGGTTTTACAACCCCCCTTTAGAGATGAAAAACTGAGGCATAGGGAGGTTAAGCAATAGTTGGTGGCAAAGCAGGGCTTGAATCCCAAAGTCCCTGATTTTACCCTGCTAATTGGGCCTCTCAGAACCTTATTCCCAAATGGACTGTCTCCCTCTATTTTCTAGACAGGCTCTTCATCCTCCTGAGATAACCTCCATGTCTTAATGCCACCCAGCTTTATTCTTTGGCACACAACTTTCTTTCTTTCTTTCTTTCTTTCTTTCTTTCTTTCTTTCTTTCTTTCTTTCTTTCTTTCCTTTCTTTCTTTCTCTTTCTTTCTTTCTCTCTCTCTCTTTCTCTCTTTCTTTGCTTCTTTCTTTCTTTCTGATATAGTCTCGTTCTGTCACCCAGGCTGGAGAGCAGTGGTGAGATCTCAGCTCACTGCAGCCTCTGCCTCCCAGGTTGAAACGATTCTCCTGCCTCGGCCTCCTGAGTAGCTGGAACTACAGGCACACACCACCACACCCGGCTAATTTTTGTATTTTTTGTAGAGATGGGGTTTCACCATGTTGACCAGGCTGGTCTCGAATTCCTGACCTCAAGTGATCCTCCCGCCTCAGCCTCCCAAAGTGCTGTGATTACAGGCATGAGCCACCACACTCAGCAGATTAAGATTTTTTATTCTCAAGAGTAGACTATAGGCCAGGCATGGTGGCTCACACCTGTAATCCCAGCACTTTGGGATGCCAAGGTGGGTGGATCACTTTAGGTCAGGAGTTCGAGACCAGCCTGGCCAAGATGGCGAGACCCCATCTCTACTAATATTACAAAAATTAGCTGGGCATGGTGGCTCATGCCTATAATACTTTGGAGGCTAGGGCACAAGAATCACTTGAACCTGGGAGGCGGAGGTTGTAGTGAGCCAAGATCGTGCCACTGCACTCCAGCCTGGGCGACAGAGCAAGACTCTGTCTCAAAAAATAAAATTAAATAAATAAATAAGCCAGACGTGGTGGTGTGTGCCTGTAGTCCCGGCTACTCGGGAGGCTGAGGCAGGAGGATCACTTGAGCCTGGGATGATAAGGCTGCAGTGAGCCATAATCATGCCATTGCATAGACCATACATTCTTACTTCCCAGGTCACACCACGGTTCAGGCTCATTTCCTTCCCCCAGATGAATCTTCCTTTCCTTAGCAAACGAGGGGAAACTACATTTATTGAATGTCTACTACCTGCTAGGCACATAGCATGGAGATATGGTTGATCTCTGAGTAAGGGGCTAGGCCAGTCTTTCTCCACTACATTCCTAGAACTTGGACACAGAAATTGCAGTCAAAACTGGGTGTGGTGGCTCATGCCTGTAATCCCAGCACTTTGGGAAGCTCAGGCAGGAGGATTGCTTGAGCCCAGGATTTTGAGACCAGCCTAGGCAATGTAAGGAGACCCTCTCTATACAAAAAAAAAATTAAAAAATTAAAAATTAAAAAAAAGAAAATGCACTCCATAAATACCCATTGACTGAACAGTCTAACCAGTCCTTGTAACAATGTTATGAAGTCAGTATTATTCTTCCATGTTTTAGATAAGGAACTGAAGCTCAGAAATGTTAAGTACAAGTATGAAGTACATAGCTAGTGTGATGGATGTAGGTATTCAAATCCAGGTCTCAGTGATTCTAAACCATGGCTTTATCTACGATGTCAAACTTCCTCATTACCTATTGTCACCTTCCCACTTTATAAAGCAGATTTTCTCAGTTGCCCTGAACAGACCTTTCTCATTCTAGGATATAGAACCTTTCCAGCCTTCCAGAGGTCCTAGCACAGACCTTCTCCATCCTAGAGATACTCCCCACTCCCACCACATATCCCCCAAGATGGACCGTTGATTCCTGAGAACACACACTTCCAACTCCTAGAGTAGACCTTGTAACTCAAGAGCAGTGGTCCTCAAATTTGAGCGCACATCCAAATCATCTAGAGAGCTTGTTAAAACACAGATTAGATTACTGGGCTCCACTCCCAGAGTTTCTGATTCAGTATCTGGGGTGGAGCCAGAGAATTTACATCTCTAATAAGTTCTCAAGTGATGCTGATGCTGCTAGTCCAGGGACCACCTTCTGAGAACCATTGCTTAAAAGAACCTTCTTTGCTTAGTCTAGACCTCCCATCCCCAGAACAAACCCTCTATTTCTCACCAGACTTTCCCTCAACGTCCAGGTGGATCCTCCCCTATTCCTCCAAACAGACCTCCTCCCATTCCCTGAGACGGATTCTCCCCTTTCTCTAGGATTCTCCCAACTCCCACCCCAGATCTCCTCACCCCCACCATCAGGACAGAGCCTCCATCCAGGGCATGTTTCCCTAGGCCCAGACATGTAAGGGTTGATGATAACTGGCTTAAGAGGAGCAAGGCAGAAGCAGAAAATTCCCATCTCAGCTTAGTGCCAGGAGCTAATCTAACAGACACAGGCTGCTGTGGGCAGGGATTTGTGGGAGAAGCAGTTGTTAAGCAGCTTTGTGGGCCTATGGAAAAAAAGGAGGGTTAACAGGGTCCTGTGGGAGCTGGAAAGGAATTCGACTGGGGGGATATTGGAACTGACCAGTTCTGCTTCCACCATCCCAGGTCTCTCTTCCACTGTGCCTCCCTTGCCCACCATGACGGTCTGTCACCTCTGGACAGAATGGTTTTAAAGTGTATTTGTTAATGAAGGCCCCTCTGCTGGTCACTTGGAGAGATGCAGCCCAGGACCAGGAAGGAGGGGTGGATAAAGAGGAGACTGACTACAAACCCCCACCCTGCCCCACCCACTCAGCTGGCTTCAGGGTTCCTGCCGGTACGCAGCAGCAAAGCTCTCCAGTCCTCCTGTGGCTCCCCAAGGCAGAAAGGAAAAATGTGCATAGGCGCTGGAGTGGAGGCCGTGGAGGGGTAACTATTGATTGCCTCTCCCGACCCCTCAGAGACTAGACAGAGTCTCTGCTGTTGCTGTTGCATTTTTAAAAAATTATAGGCTGGGCGCAGTGGCTCACGCCTGTAATCCCAGCACTCTGGGAGGCTGAGGCGGATGGATCACCTGAAATCAGGAGTTCAAGACCAGCCTGGTCAACATGGTGAAACACTGTCTCTACTAAAAATACAAAAATTAGCCAGGTGTGGTGGCACATGCCTGTAATTCCAGCTACTTGGGAGGCTGAGGTAGGAGAATCACTTGAACCTGGGAGGCAGAGGTTGCAGTGAGCAGAGATCGCGCCACTGCATTCCAGGCTGGATGACAAGAGTGAAACTCCATCTCAAAAAAAAAATTATAATAACAACAAAACAAAATCAAGCAATTTTGAAGTGAATTTTAAAAGTGCAGTGTTGCCGGGCGCTGTGGCTCACGCCTCTAATCCCAGCACTTCGGGAGGCCAAGACGGGTGGATCACAAGGTCAGGAGGTCGAGACCATCCTGGCTAACATGGTGAAACCCCGTCTCTACTAAAAATACAAAAAATTAGCCGGGCGTGGTGGTGGGCGCCTGTAGTCCCAGCTACTCAGGCGGCTGAGGCAGGAGAATGGCATGAACCCAGGAGGCGGAGCTTGCAGTGAGCCAAGATCGTGCCACTGCACTCCAGCTTGGGCCACAGAGCAAGACTCTGTCTCAAAAAAAAAAAAAAAAATGAAATAAAAATAAAATAGAAGTGCAGTGTTTGTCTCTCCCTCTCTCTCCTGCTATGTACCACCATTTCCTTTGATAATTATGTACCACCATTTCCTTTGATAAGAAGAAACTGGGGTTCTCCAAAGCTGCAGAATGCCAAGGGTCTCTGCCGAAGTCTCTTATCTCTTTTTCTTCCTTCTCTTAAAACTTGAACTCACACCACACCTCTTGGCTGTATCTTTTGGGTGGAACCAGCCTTACAGATCAGGTGTCTCCCCAGCTTTTCTCTGGGCCCTGTTCTCCTACCCCTAATACTGGGTTGAGAATACACAGAAATACACAAACTCAGTTTCTCTTACTATACTCTCACAACACTCTTCTGATGCCAGATGTGTGGGTGTTTTGCCCCACACTTTAAGCAAGCAATCAATTCTGCAGTGGACGCCAGCTGGTTGTCCTCTAATTCAATTCAATTCCAACACTACCTGCCTGGAGATAGTGTCAGATGCCACAGGTTGAGGGCTCAGTCCCACAGACTACCCCCCACTTCCAATGCTAATCACAAGCCGCAGGTTGTTTCTGTTCATGCTTCTGACCAACTGGCTATAAATCAGGGTTCCCTCAACTCCCTCACTGGGTTTGATTAATTTGCTAGAGTGGCTAATAGAACTTGGGGAAACACTTTACTTACACTTATCAGCTTATTATAAATGATATTACACAGAATACAGACAAAGAGAGGCAATGGGTGAGGCATGTGGGAAGAGGAGAGAAGTGGAGAACTTCCTTTTTTTTTTTTTTTTTTTTTAGACGGAGTCTAGTTCTGTCGCCCAGGGTGGAGTGCAGTGGCGCGATCTTGGCTCACTGCGAGCTCCGCCTCCCAAGTTCACGCCATTCTCCTCCCTCAGCCTCCCGAGCAGCTGGGACTACAGGCGCCTGCCACCATGCCCAGCTAATTTTTTTGTATTTTTAGTAGAGACGGGGTTTCACCGTGTTAGCCAGGATGGTCTTGATCTCTTGACCTTTTGATCCGCCCGCCTCGGCCTCCCAAAGTGCTGGGATTACAGGTGTGAGCCACCGCGCCCGGGCTTCTTTTTTTTTTTTGAGACGAAGCCTTGCTCTGTCGCCCAGGCTAGAGTGCAGTGGTGTGATCTCAGCTCACTGCAACCTCCGCCTCCCGTGTTCAAATGATTCTCCTGTCTCAGCCTCATGAGTAGCTGGGATTACAGGTGCATGCCGCCACGCCCGGCTAATTTTTGTATTTTAGTAGAGACGGGGTTTCACTGTGTTGCTCAGGCTGGTCTCGAACTCCTGAGCTCAGGCAATCCGCCCACCTCAGCCTCCCAAAGTGCTAGGATTACAGGCGTGAGCCACCGCGCCCGGTAAGAGGGTGGAGAACTTCTATGCACTCTCCAAGAACCCTCCAGGAACTCCAGGAACCTCCACATGTTCAGCTATCCAGAAGCTCTCTGAACCTCCTTTGAGTTTTTATGGAGGCTCATTACATAGGCATGGTTGATTAAATCATTGGTCATTGGTGATCAACTCAACCTTCAGCCCCTCTCCCCTTCCTGGTGGTTGTGGGGTGGGGCTGAAAGTCTCACCCTTCTAATTCTGCCTTGGTCTTTCCAATGATCAGCGCCCATCCTGAAGCTACCTAGGTGCTGCCAGCCCTCAATCAACTCATTGGGTCACAAAAAGACACTTACACTGTGAAGAGTCCAAGGATTTTAGAAGTTGTATGCCAGGAAATGAGGAAAAGACCAAATATTGTACATTTGTACAGTCGTCCCTCAGTATCTGTGGGAGATTGGTTCCAGGACTCCCCTTGGATATCAAAGTCCACAGATGTTCAAGTCCCAATATAAAATGGTATAGTATTTCCACATAACCCGTGCACAGCCTCCCATATACTTTATATTTTTTTAATTTCATGTATTAAAGCAGACTTTATAGTAGTTTTGATCTGATCTTTGAAAGCTGGCTTTGAATTCCCTGCACACATACATAAATATTACGTATAATATTTATATATTATATATACTTATATAAAAACATATACTTATATATTTTATATATACTTATATATTATATATACTTATACATACATAAGTATATACTTACATATTTATATATACTTAAATATATACTTATATATCATATATACTTATATATAATATATATATATATATTTTGAGACAGTCTTATTGTGTCACCCAGGCTGGAATGCAATGGTGTGATCTCGGCTCACTGCGATCTCAGCTCACTGTGATCTCTACCTCCTGGGCTCAAGCAATCCTCCTGCCTCAGCCTCCTGAGTAGCTGGGATCACAGGCACGTGCCGCCATGCCCAGCTAAGTTTTGAATCTTTAGTAGAGACGGGGTTTTGCCATAATGGCCAGGCTGGTCTTGAACTCCTCAAGTGATCTGCCCACTTCAGCCTCCCAAAGTGCTAGGATTACAGGCATGAGCCACTGCACCCGGCCCTTCCCATATACTTTAAATCGTCTCTAGATTAGTTATAATACGTAATACTATGTAAATGCTATGTGAATAGTTGTTATACTATTCTGTATATTTTTAGGGAATAATGACAAGAAAAAAAAGTCTGTACACGTTCAATACAGATGCACCTGCCATTTTTTTTCCTGAATATTTTCAATCCGAAGTTGGTTGAATCCATGGATGTGAAACCCACGGATATGGAGGGCCACCTGATATGTTTCACAGTATCATAAAGATCCACGTCACTGATGGGTGGGTCAGAAAGGTCACTCCTAGTAGGCATTCAAAATGCCTTATTTCTCTTGGTCTATTCTACTCCAGTGACCTGTCTCCCTTTAGCAGCCTACTTCCCTGTGGACGTACTCTAGACTCTGAATAGCTCCATTTAAAAATGTCCCCTTTCTGGGAACGCTAGTACACTGTTGGTAGAAATGTAAATTAGTACAACCACTGTAAAAAACAGTATGGGACGGGCACGGTGGCTCACGCTTGTGGTCCCAGCACTTTGGGATGCCGAGGCAGGCAGATCACTTGAGGTGAGGAGTTCAAGACCAGCCTGGCCAACATGGTGAAACTCCGTCTCTACTAAAAATACAAAAAATTAGCCGGGCATGGTGGCACGTGCCTGTAATCCAAGCTACTTGGGAGGCTGAGGCAAGAGAATTGCTTGAGCCCAGGAGATAGAGCTTGCAGCGAGCCAAGATTGTGCCACTGCACCCCGGCCTGGGCGACAGAGTGAGAATCCGTCTCAAAAAAAAAAAATCAGTATGAAAGTTTCTCAAAAAACTAAAAATAGACCTACCATATGATCCGGCAATCCCACTGCTGGGTATATATCCAAAAGAAAGGAAATCAGTATATCGGGGAGATATCTGCACTCCCATGTTCATTGCAGTACTATTCACAATAGCCAAGAAATGGAATCAACTTCAGTGTCCATCAGTGGATGAATGGATAAAGAAAATATAGTACATACACACAGTGGAATATTATTCAGCTATAAAAAAGAATGAAATTTGTCCAGGCACGGCAGCTCACGCCTGTAACCCCAGCACTGTGGGAGGCCGAGGCGGGTGGATCACCTGAGGTCAGGAGTTCGAGACCAGCCTGGCCAACATGGTGAAACCCCATCTCTACTAAAAATACAAAAATTAGCTGGGCGTGGTGGTGCGCACTTATAATCCCAGCTCCCTGGGAGGCTGAGGCAGGAGAATTGCTTGAACCCGGGAGGTGGAGGTTGCAGTGAGCCGAGATCGTGCCACTGCGCCACTGCACCCTGTCCTGGGCAACAGAGCCAGACTCTTGTCTCAAAAATAAAAATAAAAATAGGGCGCAGTGGCTCATGCCTGTAATCCCAGCACTTTGGGAGGCCGAGGCGGGCGGATCACCTGAGGTCAGGAGTTCGAGACCAGCCTGGCCAACATGGCAAAACCCCGTCTCTATTAAAAATACAAAAAATTAGCTGGGCATGGTAGCAGGTGCCTGTAATCCCAGCTACTTGGGAGGCTGAGGCAGGAGAATTGCTTGAACCTGGGAGATGGAGTTGCAGTGAGCCAAGATCACACCACTGCACTCCAGCCTGGGCTACAGAGCGAGACTCTGTCAAAAAAATAAAAATAAATAAATAAAAAGAATGAAAGTCTGTCATTTGCAGCAACATAGATGGAACTGGAGGACATTGTGTTAAGTGAAATAAGCCAGGCACAGAAAGACAAATATCTCATGTTCTTACTCATATGTGGGAGCTAAAAAAGTTGATCTCATGAAGGTGGAGAGTAGAATGATGGTTACCACAGGCTAGGAAGGGTAGTGAAGTGAAGGGTGGGGGATGAAGAGATTGGTTAATGACTACAAAAATATAGTTAGATGGAAGGAATAAGTTCTAGCATTCTACAGCACAGTAGGGTGATTCTAGTTAACAGCAGCTTATTGTATATTTCTTTTTCTTTTTCCTTTTTTTTTTTTGAAATGGAGTCTCGCCCTGTCATCCAGGCTGTAGTGCAATGGTGCAATCTCAGCTCACTGCAACCTCCGCCTCCTGGGTTCAAGCGATTCTCCTGCCTCAGCCTCCTGAGTAGCTGGGATTACAGGCGAGCGCCACCATGCCCAGCTAATTTTTTGTACCTTTAGTAGAGATGGGATTTCACCATGTTGGCCAGGCTAGTCTCGAGCCCCTGACCTCGTGATCGCCCACCTCGATCTCCCAAGGTGCTGGGATTACAGGAGTGAGCCACTCTGCCTGGCCACTTATTGTATATTTCAAAACAGCTAGAAAAGGATTTGAAATGTTCCCAACACGAAGAAATGATAAATGTTTGAGGTGATGGATATCCTAATTACCTTGATTACACATTGTATGCATGTATCAAAATATCACATATTACCCATAAATATGTATACTTATTATGTATCAATTAAACAAAAGTTCCCTTCTTGACCACAAACTTTCCTTTCTGCCCACTAATCTTCAGAAGCCTCACTGGAACCTCCAGTGGTGTGACTGTAACTGCTGTACTACCTCCAGCTTCCTAGGCCCTCACCGTCCAGTCTGGACTTCATGATCCATCTCTAGCTGCTCTAATTGCCTTGCTCCTTGGCCCTGTGCAACCCATGTCCTGGCCACCACACCATTGCTGTGATACACCCAGTGGTCTGTTTTCTGTTTGTGTTCCAGGGGTGCTCCTGTCTGCTGAAAAAAAAAAAAAATTCTATGGTTGTATTGAAGTTGCCCCTGCCTGATCTTGGTCTTCAATTTCAGCTGGGTCGTCAGGTCTTCTATCTCATTCTTATATCTGTTAATGGCATTTCTAAAATGTGTCAATTTGTATAAATCCTTAATCCAACAGATTATCTTCAATAACTTTAATTCCTACTTTATCAATGAAATAGAGACCACCAAGCATGAAATCCCCCTTATGCCTATGAACAAAATCCATATCCACTCCCATTCCTACCTTCTTCTCTCTACTTCATTCCTTTCCAAGTTTTATTTATCTACTTGTTCTCTATATTCTTCCCACCCCAAATCTAGGGGCTTTACCCTATCAAATATCCTCGCTCCTGTATTTTTCTTTTTTGTTGTTGTTGTTGTTGTTGTTGCTGTTTGTTTTTTTAGACAGAGTCTGGCTCTGTTGCCCAGGCTAAAATGCAGTGGCACGATCACAATTCACTGTAGCCTGGACCTCCCAGGTTCAAGCCATCCTCCCATCTCAGCTTCCCGAGTAGCTGGGATTATAGGCACGTGCCACCATGCCCTGCTTTTTGTAGTTTTTTGTAGTTTGGGTTCTGCCATGCTGCCCTGGCTGGTCTCGAACTCGCGGGCTCAAGCAATCCTCTCACCTCTGCCCCTGCCTCTGCCTCTGCCTCTGCCTCCCAAAGTGCTGGGATTACAGGCATGAGCCACCGCACCAGGCTTCTCTTGTATTTTTGAAATCTTCTCTCACTGGCTTCTTCCCCTTGGCCTCTAGTCTCTTCCCCTCAGGAAATTAGCCTTAAGTTCCACGAGGGTGGGGACATCCCCATTCCTTTCCAAGTTTCATCTACTTTCTTGTCCTCCACATTCCCTCCCCAGCCAAGAAATCCAAGCTATTTAGCATGGTATGAAGAAGCTTTCACCATCTCCTCCACCCTTCCCTCTCAGCCTTAAGTCTCTCTGCTACTGTACATGAAATGGATATGTTCCTCATTTGATTCCTGATCTTGAGCAAACTTCATTTATTCATTTAACATGCATTGAGTGTCCAAATTCACTAGGTCATAATCTGACAGTAATTATTTATTCCCCATGACCATTCATCATTCCTCTCCCTTCTCATCTTGGAGAAATCATTTTTCTTTTTTTTTTTTTTTTTTTTTTGAGACACTGTTCTGTCATCCAGGCTGGAGTGCAGTGGCACAATCACAGCTCACTGCAGCCTCAACTTCCCCAGGCTCAGGCAATTCTCTCACCTCAGCCTCCCAAGTAGCTGGGACTACAGGCATGCACCACCACGCCTGGGCTAAATTTTTGTATTTTTTGTAGAATTGGGGTTTTGTCATGTTGCTCAGGCTAGTCGCGAATTCCTGGGCTCAAGCCATCCACCCACCTCGGCCTCCCAAAGTGCTGGGATTATAGGCATGAGCCACTGCACCTGGCCTCTTTTTCAATTTTCCTTTTTAGTTGACACTTTTTTTTTTTTTTTTTTTGAGACAGTCTTGGTCTGTCGCCCAGGCTGGAGTACAGTGACGTGATCTCAGCTCACTCCAACCTCTGCCTCCCAGATTCAAGCAATTCTCCTGCCTCAGCCTCCTGAGTAGCTGAGACTACAAGCATGTGCCACCATGCCCAACTAATTTTTGTATTTTTAGTAGAGACAGGGTTTCCCCATGTTGGCCAGACTGGTCTGGAACTCCTGACCTCAAGTGATCCGCCCACCTCGGCCTCCCAAAGTGCTAGGATTACAGGCGTGAGCCACCATACCCGGCCATAGTTGACACTTTTTTATATCCACCCAGTTCTTCTAAGTCCTCTGTGGTTGTGGACTTGCCACAAATAAGAGAAAAGAAGTTATCTGCTTCCAACTCCTGGGCCACCTGCCTTCTCTCCTATCCCTACCCCCTTTAAGGAAGACTAAGACAGGGTGTCTCCTTAATCTTCAGACACCATGATGCTGGGACCAGGGTTGACTCTAGGTGAAATTCTAAGGTAACCAAATTAGTATCATCACCCTCCTCCCTCCAGGAGCCCACTGTCACCCACCACAGCCTTTAGTATCCTTCCAGAGGCCTCTGGCTGCCTAGACTACTCAACAGTGACCCCTCACTCCTGGTCCAGTACTTTCTAAGCCATGCATACTGAGTCCAGGATCCCAAGTCACCCCTCCTCCTAGGGAATGGAATCACATGGTAACAGACCAGAATCTCTTCTGCTGTCTCCATGGTCCAGATAGAGCAATGCGATTTGGTGTGGGCATGACTGAGAAGACTAGTAGGGAAGGTCCTTTTCATAGAATGCTGGCCTGCTCCCGAAGACACTGCTCATGGAAGAATGGATAGAGTCATTAGTGCTGCATTACTCAAGGGACACCCCACGCCAGTGCTTAGACACCAGCAAAACTGGGGAACTGAAAAATAAAAGAAAAAATTAGAAACAGAATTTGATAGTTAATCTATATACAATATATGTTTTAAGTATAATCATGTTGAACTTTAAATGTTTCATGGCTTAATATTTTCATTCTGATTACATATGAAAAATGGGACACCACAATCTTTTCAGAGTTTAGAACCTTTAAAGTCTTCATCTAGTCTTGGTTAGGTGGAAGGTCTCTTCCTGGATGAAACCTTTCCTGATCCCTTGCCCAGGTAGTACCATTACTCCTATTTGGAGCCTTCTAAATGTACCCTGATTAACTTCTATCACTCAGCTTACCTAGTCTTTCCTTGCTTCTGCATTGCAAGTCCCTCCAGGGAAGGTCCTGGGTTTTATTCATCTTTGTATCCTTAGCACCTGTGCCTGGACTATAGTAGGAACTCAATAAATGGCTGATGGGATTAATGAAGAGATCTTTTTCTTTCCACAAATAGACACACACAGTTTTTCTTTTCTTTCTTTATTTATTTATTTATTTGAGACGGAGTCTCACTGTGTCGCCAGGCTGGAGTGCAGTGGCATGATCTCGGCTCACTGCAACCTCAGCCTCCCGGGTTCAAGCAATTCTCCTGCCTCAGCCTCCCGAGTAGCTGGGACTACAGATGTGTGCCACCATGCCCAGCTGATTTTTATATTTTTAGTAGAGACGGGGTTTCACCATGTTGGCCAGGATGGTCTCCATCTCTTGACCTTGTGATCCGCCCGCCTCAGCCTCCCAAAGTGTTGGGATTACAGGCGTGAACCACTGCATTCAGCCTTAGTTTTTCTAGTAATAGAATTAGGTCTTACAAAAAAAGGCCCAGAGATCCTTTTTGGGCAGCTTCCTGTCCCCAAGACTATTTCCTTGACCTCTCCAGCATAGCAGTAGACCATAAAAATGGACACAGGGTGCTGAGAAGCAGCTGAACCAGACGAAATGATGATTCTTATTTTGGGAGGTTTCAATCTCTTTGATAATCTAGCAAAAAACAGATCCTTTCCCCAGGAAAATGCACATTCAGACACACAATTTTCTAGTTTGGTTCCTGGACCACTTGATTGCCTCCCTTCCCTGGGAGGCTTCCCAATCCTCTCCACCCCCCAGCTTCCTTCCCACTCCCAGGTAAAGAACCCCTACCCTAGAGGCACTGGGTTCTAATCAGTATTCAGAGTGAGGCCATGGTCAGCTGCCCTATCCTCCCAGTGAGCCCATTCTTGTTCATTCTATAGCACCACTACTGCCCACTCACAGCCAAACACCTGGGACCTCCATGGAAATGGCATACGCTCTGAGAATAGCGAAGTTTCACCAAGGGGAGGAGGAGAAGACAACAGGACAGTTAAGCAAACAAAAAACAAACCACCTGAGTCACCAGAAGGGGAACAAGCCTAACTATTCAGCTCCTCTTCTGGGTGGCTGTATCTCCTCATTACCTAGTAAACTGCCACCAAATGTAAGAAGAAATAAATAAGAGTCCAAGCATTTATTTTATTACCAAAAACAATTTGTTAATAAACACGCTCAATGCCTCCAATCCTGTCCCTGAGGATAATCATGAAAGTCCTTGGGGTTGTAGAGGAAACCTTAAGAGGAAAATGGCTACTTGGTTATCAATGCCTTGGCTGGTGACAAAGAAAGGACCCTTGCAGGGACCAGTCACATGCCATCCTTGGGCCTAAGGAGCCCGAAAGATGGGAATGGATGTGAGCTAAGGATTTAATCACTGTCAAGCAGATCTTGAGGGTTATGGTTAAGCCTGATAACAGCCTCTTTAACAAGAACACACACATCCAGGATCCCCTCAAAGAATCCAGAGTCCTCAGGCTCCCCACAAAATGTAGTCTGGCAGAAAAGGGAAGTCTTTAGAGTCTGCAGAATGATGCAAACCCAGGCCAGAGTGGACCACACTGCTCTCGGCACCACTCCTAAAGGCATCCATTGGCAACGGCTGCCCACTAGGGGCACTGCCACTTGCCTGGCTCAAACTTCAGGACCTGGGGAAGAAATGGTCTGGCTCTGCGGCCTTCAAACCATCTGGATCTCTGGCTCCTCAGCTATTCCTTGAAGCTTTTCCATGATGCCCCCTGAAGGTGGCTCAGGGGCTGGGGGAGGCTCCCCTGGGGCTTCAGACAGCACATAGTAGACGATCTCTTGCTGGCCTTGGGCATTGGTCTGATTCACCACGTGGATGACAGAACTGGGGTTGTCCTGAGAGGCTGAGAGGGCTGTCCCTTCGCTACCCTTGCCCTCCTCTTCCTCTTCCTTACGTCCTGGCTCCCCTGGCACTGTTTCTAGAATAATGCCCTGCAGGCTGCTCTCGTTCAGCGACGTTCCCAGGCCCGATCCCTCTTGTGGTTGCCGCAGCAGTTGCTGTGTCAGCTCTACACTCTCGTAGCGAACCAGCTGCAGCCGCATATAGCCATCTTCATGTTCCTTGTACCTGGTGAGGTAGGAGCATAAAGGGCAGCAAACCCAGGCAGGGGGATACAGAAATGGCCGAGGCTGGCAAAGTAAGGAACAAACATGAGGGATGGAAGAAGTCCTGGAATCCAAGTGACAGGAGTTGAAGACAAAAAAGGTCTTTATTGGAATATGTAGAAGAAAAGGCAAGAGGGAAAGATCATTACTCAAAATGGAAAGTTTTATATAGAAACCCAACCAGAAAAACAGAGACTGACTGACTGTGTTGGAGGGTGAAAGTGTCAAAGGATTTATGAGAAGGCCTTGGAGCTAAGGATCAGAACCCTTAGACTCTAGCTCTAGTTCCAGCTGCAGGACTTTTTGGCACCATTTATTGGGTTTGGCACCATGCCTTACAAGATTCAAAAAACAGAAAAATAAGCTTTGCTCCACCATTATTCTTAGGATTCTTTGAATCTAAATGGAAATGGCAGACATAAAACCACCATCAAATTAAGGTTTTATTTATTTATTTATTTATTTTTGAGATGGAGTCTCGCTCTGTCACCCAGGTTGGAGTGCAGTGGCATGATCTCAGCTCACTACAACCTCCGCCTTCTGGGTTCAAGTGATTCTCCCACCTCAGCCTCCCAAGTAGCTGGGACTACAGGCATGTGCCACCATGCTCAGCTACTTTTTGTATTTTTAGTAGAGACGGGGTTTCACCATGTTGGCCAGGCTGGTCTCGAACTCCTGACCTCATGATCCGCCCACCTTGGCCTCCCAAAGTGCTGGGATTACAGGCGTGAGCCACCGCGCCCGACCCAAATTAAGGTTTTTAAAACTGGTTGAAAAGGTATAAAAACAAGTGTGTTAATCTGGGAAGGAGGGTTGAGAGACATACCGAAAACGGGGATGCCCTGAGGGCCACTTGAACTGGTGCTTCTTGCGAAGGTGCACGGTGAGGTTGTTGCCCCGTGTGAAGCATTTGTCACACACATGACATTTGTACCTTGGCTCAGAGTCTCCCTGATGGGGAAGGAAGGGAGAAATGAGACCAGCTCTTCACCCCAGGGTCCCCCATACTTCCACTAGTCCTTCCCAACACCAGCCCCACTCACTTCATGTACTTTGCGGTAATGGGACTTGATAGAGCAGAGGGATCGGGCACTGAAGGTGCAGTTCTCAAAATCACACCTGTAGGCTGGCTCCTCGCTGTGGGTATCCAGGTGCTTCTGGAGGTCAATAAGATTCTTGCAGCTGCCATGAGAAATCAGGAGGGATTGGAGGACATGGGGAACACTGGAACATGAGCTGTTTTCTGGTCCCTGGTCCCCCTTACCTGTAGTCACAACAGTCACATTTAAAGGGCCGGTCCTCACTGTGACGAAAGCGCATGTGGTTGCGGAGGGAGGAAGGCAGCGGGCAGGTCATGTCACACAGAGGGCACTTATAGTGATTCACTGAGAGAAGCAGAGAGGAGGCTGTGATGTGAGAACTTGTGGAACCTTGGAGGGCAGGAGGGAGGCTGTGGGCCGCAGGCCACTCACCATGGTTGCGCATGTGGTCCCGCAATAGCCGCTCTGTGGCAAATCTCTTGGAACAGTGAGAACACTGGAAGTGCTGCTCTGGGGTGGGGCAGGCAGAAGAAAGGAGGGCTGTAGGTGATAGTGGAGAGGCACAGAAAGGAGAGGGGAACCATCCCAGGCAGAAGGGAACCACCCAAGGAGAAAAGGAGAGCTTAGGGAGCTATGAATGGACACAGTATCATGGAAAGAGCATGGGACTTAGAGAACCTGAGTTAGAATTCCAGCTTCACCACTTACTAGCTGTGTGATCTCAGGTAAGTGATTTAACCTCTCTGAGCCTCAGTTTCCTCATCTGCAAAAAGGGGGATAAGAAGCCTACCTCATGGGGCTGTTGTGAGGATTCCCTAAGTAACTGATACGAGGTACAGTAAGTACTGAATAACAATGCCTACGAATCTGAATCAGCAAAGAGACTATGGGAGGTGCCTGAGCCCAAAAAGAAGAGGCAGCCAAAAGGCAGGTCTCTTCAGTGGCCACCCCCACTAGAAACATGCCCCTAACCCATTCCAAGCAGGACAGCCTGCATCCACCCCACTTCCTCTGACTACTTACGATCCAATGAGGTCTGGCGACGGATGTGATCTAAGAACTTGGTATTGTTGGCAAACATGCCCCCACAGGTGGGGCAGGCTACCACTTTCTCCTGGGTATGGCTGCGGAGGTGCTCTCGAAGTTTACTGCGGTCCTTGAAGGTGCAGGTACAGCCTGGGAAGGAAGCCCTATCAGTCTCCTGCCACAAAACCCCAGTTTTGCCTAGGATCTGGTACCCCTGAGTCTCTCCAGCCGGCAGTCAACCTTGCCCCTGTAGGACCCCTATCCCTTTCTGTCCCAGCTCTTCAGGAACCCCAGCGTTTCCTCCAGAAGCCACAAGTTAAGAAGCAGCCCTACCTTTCCAGCCACACAGCACCACCGGGTTGTCCTTGCCGACTGCTTCGTATTCACAGCACAGACTGTGTGCTTCCACATGCCGATAAAACCACTCAGGATTGTCGAAGGAATTCTGTGCCAGGGGCAACTTGGGGTGAGGACTGAGGGTGGGTAGAGGGACTCACCCCTATGTGCCCGAAGAATTCTTGGCTCTCTCCCAAATTAACTTGATGGGGATGGGAAATTTTGAGGAAAGGCACTGCACAGAAATGGAGGAGTGGCCGGGTGCGGTTGCTAAACCCTGTAATCCCAGCACTTTGAGAGGCTGAGGCAGGAGAATCACTTGAGGCCAAGAGTTCGAGACCGGCCTGGGCAACACACCCAGACCTTGTCTCTACAAAAAATTTAGAAGTTAGCAGGGCATGGTGGTACATGCCTGTAGTCCTAGCTACTTGGGAGGCTGAGGTGGGAGGATTGCTTGAGCCCAGGAGTTCAAGGTTACAGTGAGCTATGATTGTACCACTGCACTCTAGCCTGGGCTTCAGATCAAGAGCCTGTGTGTAAAAAATAAACAAATTTTAAAAGAGCAAAAGAAATGGAAGAGAGATACTAGCAGGAATCTTGGAAATATAAGGCATCCCTGAAAGGGACAAGGCATCAGAGTTAAGACCCCCAGCTTCCTTCCACCCCAATTACTGGCACTGCCTGCTGACCTCACAGTGCTCCCACAGACACAGGAAGTGGTCAGGGATATCAGGGATGACGTTCCGGCTCTGGAAGTCCAGGATGCAGGGGCCAAGGTCAGCCTGGCTTTGCAAGGCCTGCAGCCCCCACTGTTTCAGCTTGGTGTGGTAGCAGTGGAAGTAGACATGGCGGATGAGGTCAGCAGAACTGTCCAGAGAACAAAAGCCACATTCCTGCCACAAGCAGGAGAATTCTTCCTCTGTAGAAAGGGGTTTAAAAGGAAGAGTCTGACACTTTCCAAGGCTCAGGTCACCTTCCACCTGCAGCACTAAACAGAGAGTGAGGAGGCTGGACTCGTGAGGAGGCTGGACTCTAACCAAATTACCAGGGTTCATTTAGCAAATACCAGTATTTAATGACCATAAATTGTGTGCCAGTTAGAGGGACTATAACAAGTAAAAAGTGTCCCACTCCTTGCCCTCACATAGCTTTCAGTCAGGGAGAAAGCATATTCATCAAATAATCAGATCTATAAATATAAAACTGCAACCAGTGATGAGTGTTACAAAGCGGGGATATACATGGTGCTATAAAAGCATTAAACAGAGGTCATTTGACATGGTGTTCTGAGAAACGTCCCCATGTTGAACTCTGAAGTACGATGGATGAGTATCTGTAAATAGGTGAAGAAGTGTGGTCTAGGCAGAGGTGAGAGTGTGTGCAAGGCCTATGCCAGAAACAGACAGCAGAAATGGCCGGCACGCAAGTCCTCTGACTTGAGTTTCTGCAGTTCCTGATGAAGATGCTGCCTCTCGATCTGACACCTCCCACTTCTCCTTGTAAAACCACCACTCCTCCTTCCCCTCATGTTTTGCTCAAGATCTGCCTTCTCCAAGAAGGCCCCATCAACTCTTCCAATCCATTTCCTATCTCTCTAGCATCCCTAAGCACTGTATTTTCAGCGCTTTATATAAGTTAACTTGTTTTGAAACACAGATACTTTAGAAAATATAATCATTCCCCAATTTTGCCTTTGTATAAATATGACTTGAATTTTGAAACTATCAATTATGGTTCATAGTCATCAGACTTAAAACAGAATTTGGGGTGGGAGAAGGAGAGCTGCCTCCATATTTCCTGTAGAATAGAGTTTTTCAGACTGTGTTGTGACCCACTAGTGGGTTAGGAAATCAGTTCAGTGAACTATCAACCACATTTTGGGCCGGGTGCGGTGGCTCACGCCTGTAATCCCAGCACTTTGGGAGGCCGAGGCAGACAGATCACGAGGTCAGGAGATCGAGACCATCCTGGCTAACACAGTCAAACCCCGTCTCTACTAAAAAATACAAAAAAAAATTAGCTGGGCTTGGTGGTGGGCGCCTGTAGTCCCAGCTATTTGGGAGGCTGAGGCAGGAGAGTGGCATGAACCCGGGAGGCGGACCTTGCAGTGAGCGGAGATCGAGCCACTGCACTCCCACAAAAAAAAAAAAAAAGAAAAGAAAAATGTATTCCTGCCAGATGCAGTGGCTTATGCTTATAGTCCCAGCTGCTCAGCATGCTGAGGCAGGAGGATCACTTGAGGCCAAGAGTTTAAGATCAACCTGGTAACATAGCAAGACTCTGTCTCTAAAAAAAAAGTGGCTTTGGTCGGGCGCAGTGGCTCACGCCTGTAATCCCAACACTTTGGGAGGCCGAGGCAGGCAGATCACAAGGTCAGGAGTTTGGGACCAGCCTGGCCAATATGGTGAAATCCTGTCTCTACTAAAAATACAAAAATTACCCGGGCGTGGTGGCGGGCACCTGTAATCTCAGCTACTTGGGAGGCTGAAGCAGGAGAATCACTTGAACCCGGGAGGCGGAGGTTGCAATTAGCCGAGATCATGCCATTGCACTCTAGCCTGAGCAACAGAGTAAGACTCCATCTTACTCTGAAAAAAAGTTTTTTTTTTCCTTTTTCTTTTAA
Organism: Homo sapiens; assembly: GCF_000001405.40. Classification (NCBI taxonomy): domain Eukaryota; kingdom Metazoa; phylum Chordata; class Mammalia; order Primates; family Hominidae; genus Homo; species Homo sapiens. The sequence continues at coordinate 119,129,020 of NC_000011.10, read as the reverse complement.
ATCCTGCCACACTTATTAGTACCGTGACTTTGGGCAAGTTATTTTATTCCTCTGTGCCTCCGTTTCCTTATTTGTAAAATGGGTATAATAATAGTGCCTATCCCATCCTGGCTAACACAGTGAAACCCCGTCTCTACTAAAAATACAAAAAAAAATTAGCTGGGCATAGTGGCATGTGCCTGTAATCCCAGCTACTCGGGAGGCTGAGGCAGTAGAATTGCTTGAACCTGGGAGGTGGAGGTTGCAGTGAGCTGAGATCGCACCACCACACTCCAGCCTGGCGACAGAGCAAGACTCCATCTAAAAATAATAATAATAAATAATAATAATAATAGTGCCTATCTCATAGGCTCTTTGGGAAATAGTGCTTTAATGTAGGTTTAAAAAAGTACTGGCCGGGCATGGTGGCTCACGTCTATAATCCCAGCACTTTGGGAGGCTGAGGCGGGCGGATCACCTGAGGTCAGGAGTTCAAGACCAGGCTGGCCAACAGGGGCATCCTGGCTAACATGGTGAAAGCCTGTCTCTACTAAAAATACAAAAAAAAATTAGACGGGCGTAGTGGCACGCACCTGTAATCCCAGCTACTCGGGAGGCTGAGGCAGAAGAATCGCTTGAACCGAGGAGGCAGAGGTTGCAGTGAGCCGAGATTGCACCACTGCACTACAGCCTGGGCAACAAGAATGAGACTCCATCTCAAAAAAAAAATAAAGTACCCAGCAATACTTAACACACAGTAGGTACTATAGAATACAGTTCACTATTGTTATTGTTTTCAGATTGGATTTTATTAAAATCCCAGTTATTTGCTATTGATAAAAGGCATACCTAAAACATAAGTCAGACAAAGGTTAAAAAGTGAGAGATGGGGCCAGGTGCGGTGGCTCACGCCTGTAATCCCAGCACTTTGGGAGGCCGAGGTGGGCGGATCATGAGATCAAGAGATTGAGACCATCCTGGCCAACATGGTGAAACCCCATCTCTACTAAAAGTACAAAAATTAGTTGGGCGTGGTGGCGCGCGCCTGTAGTCCCAGCTACAAGAGGCTGAGGCAGGAGAATTGCTTGAACCTGGGAGGCAAAGGCTGCAGTGAGCCGAGATCGAACCATTGCACTCCAACCTGGCAACAGAGCAAGACTCCGTCTCAAAAAAAAAAAAAAAAATTGGAAGGTGGGAGTGGGGTTGGACTTGGTGGCACAAGCCAATAGTCCCAGCTACTTAGGAGGCTAAGGTAGGAGGATTGCTCGAGGCCAGGAGTTTGAGATCAGTGGGCAACATAAGCAAGATCCTGTCTCTAAAAAAAATTTTTTTAAAAATTGGCGTGTGGTGGTGGTACATGCCTGCAGTCCTAACTACTCGGGAGGTTGAGGCAGGAGGATCCCTTGAGTGTTGAAGGCTGCAGTGAGCTATGATCATGACACTGGACTCCAACCTGGGTGACAAGATGAAGCCCTGTCTCTAAAAAGTAAGATGTATTTCTGACTGGTTGCAGTAAAAGAAAAAAAAAATTGGGAATACTAGAAGAGTAAAAAAAAAAAAAAAAAAAACACAACAACAAAACACAGGTTGCCAACAACTTGTACAGAATGATTAAAAAAAAGCACATTCATCTGTATTTAAATATATGTAAACACAGGCAGAGAGATGTCAAAAACAATGTTCACTAAAGTACTGTCAGCAATTACTTCTTGATGGCAGGATGGCAGATTTATTCCTTATATCCTTGTTGACTGAGTTTTCTATAAATGAGTTTACAATGTTTTTATATACAACAAAAACACAATTAGGAAAATAAACCACCATTCTCTTAGGCCGCCTTCTCCCTCTAAGGAAAAGAAAGTCAGATTTTCCACCTTTCCTTGAGCTCCTCCCCTTCCTGTGTCCTGCTCTCTTACCAAGTGGGTCATCCTCCTCTTCCTCTTCCTCCTCCTCCCCAGAGCCATGCAGGTGCTGCTGCAGGTGCTGAGTGACATGCTCAAAGAACTTTTCCATGGTTGAGCACACAAAGGAGCAGGACCCCCACTCACACTGTAGCCACAGATTCTCCTTTCGGGGAACTTTCCCAGGAGGCGGCATGGCCTTCACCCTAGAGGAAGAGGAAGAAATCCACAGCTGCAAGAATTCCACCCAGGTGCTGCTGAGGGCAAAAAGCTGGGCAGGCAGCCTGCCTAGAATCAGCACGTGTTGTTCCAGTGACCCATGAGAAACCCTGCCCTTTTACAGTAAGGATGGAGTAATTCCTTAAATCCCTGGAAGATGTCTGGTGTTTGTGGAAAGGGAAAACAAAAACTAACACTATTGAGTGTGTGCCAGGCACTGAGCTAAACGCTTTAACAGACATTTTCTCATGAAGCTTCAGAGCAACCCACCAAGAAGGAATTATTCCTCTGTGAGGCAGAACAATGCTCAGGTTCAAACAGATGGCTTTTGAGAAGGATCAGGGTTCAAATCCTGGCTCCACTGTCTACCATCTACTAGCTGTATGACCTTTGTCAAGAACTTAACTTCTGAATACTCTCATCTGCAAAATGAAGATAATAAATCTTTTTGTTTTTAATTTCACACTTACTATATGTCAAGCACCACAGTAAGCATTTTATTTGCATTATGTCATTTAATTACCAACACCACCCTTTGCCGTAGGTGCTTTTTTTTTTTTTTTTTTTGAGATTGAGTTTCGCTCATCTCCCAGGCTGGAGTGCAATGGCTCGATTTTGGCTCACTGCAACCTCCGCCTCCCGGGTTCAAGCGATTCTCCTGCCTCAGCCTCTTGAGTAGCTGGGATTACAGGCGCCCGCCACCACGCCTGGCTAATTTTTATATTTTTCGTAGAGACAGGGTTTCTTCCCCATGTTGGTCAGGCTGGTCTCAAACTCCTGCCCTCAGGTGATCCACCCACCTTGGCTTCCCAAAGTGCTGGGATCATAGGTGTGAGCCACCACGCCCAGCTGGTAGGTGCTATTTTTAACCTCATTTATAGATAAACACCTGAAGTTCCAGAGGTCAACTGACTTGCTCACGGCCACACACTAGTGGTAATGGTAGGGTCATGTTGGGCTGACTCTAGTCCATATACGGTTCTACTCCATAGAGCCTACAGATGAGCCTAGAAGCTCCTTATTTCTTATTGAATCATAAGTCCCCTGCCAGACTTTCACAGTGCCATACAATCTGCCTTTACCTAACCTATCCAACGGTTTACTCCACCACTCTGCTAATACCTTCTGTTAAAATGTAGATTCCATTTGAACATAAAAAGCCGTATCTGTGTAGTTTATACTGCACCTTGGGTGTCTATACACTGCTAGGCATGCTTAGGCATGTAATAAATATTTTTTTTCTTGAGACAGAGTCTCACCCTGTCACCCAGGCTGGAGTACAGTGGCACAATCACAGCTCACTGAAGCTTCGACCTCCCCAGGCTCAGGAGATCCTCCTACCTCAGCCTCCCAAGTAACTGGGACCACAGGCATGCGCCACCACATCTGTCTAATTTTTGTTTTGTTTTGTTTTTGTAGTGACAGGGTTTTGCCATGTTGCCCAGGCTGGTCTCGAATTCTTGGACTCAAGCAACCCATCTGCCTCAGACTCCCAAAGTGTTGGAGTTACAGGCATGAGCCACTGCACCCAGTCTGTAATAAATATTTATTGAAGAAAGATAAACATGAAACTGAAGGTTCTCGGCTGTGCGCACTGGTGCACACCTCTAATCCCAGCACTCTGGGAGGCCAAGACAGGTGGATCATCTGAAGTCAGGAGTTCAAGACCAGCCTGGCCAACATGGTGAAACCCTGTCTCTACTAAAAATACAAAAATTAGCCAGGCGTGGTGGCACAAGCCTGTAATCCCAGCTACTCGGGAGGCTGAGGCAGGAGAATCGCTTGAACTTGGAAGGCAGAAGCTGCAATGAGCCGAGATCGTGCCACTGTACTCCAGCCTGGGCAACAGAGTAAGACTCTGTCTCAAAAAAAAAAAAAAAAAAAAACACACACACACACACAAACAAAAAACTAAAGGTTCTCAATTTTATTTCATTTTATTTTTATTTTTTGAGACAGAGTCTCGCTGTTACCCAGGCTGGAATGCAGTGGCGCAATCTCAGCTCACTGCAACCTCCACCTGCCGGGTTCAAGAGATTCTCCTGCCTCAGCCTCCTGAGTAGCTGGGATTACAGGTGTGTCACCACGCCTGGCTAATTTTTGTATTTTTGCTAGAGACAGAGTTTCACCATGATGGCCAGGCTGGTCTCGAACTCCTGTCCTCAGGTGATCCACCCGCCTCAGCCTCCCAGAGTGCTGGGATTATAGATGTGAGCCACCATGCCCAGGTAGCTCTCAATTTTAGATCTGCACACGAATGTAGTTATCCAGCGCCTGCGTGAGAAGTTCGGATTCAGGAAGGCAGGAGTTAAGCCTAGAAATCTGCCCTTTTAACTCAGCACCCCAGTTGTGATGCAAGCAGTTCCAGAAGCATACTTTGAGTAACAATTAAAGAATAAACGAAACACAGAACAGAGGGTGACGTTGCAAGCAAAATTTCTGCTAGAGAGAGGACACTAGCCGGCCTTGGCTCTGTCTCCTGAGTGTCACCTTCTCCTCAGGAATTCTCACGGATTCTTGCTGACCCCACCATGTTGCTCTCTCTGGCCTACCTGAGACAGGTGGGAACTCTGAAAAAAGGCCTTTACTGAATACTAAAAGGAAAAAAAACAGAAAATACGAAAAAACAGAAGATCCTTCATGCCCCCAATACAGGCTTTTCTGAACCCACTATACCTACTGTACCTACATAGCCTTTTCTCCTCCTCAGAGAAGAATCCAGTCATCCTTAACACTCTGGGGTGCATATAGGGTTGCTGAGCTGCTCACAGACTACTAGTGAATCCCTATTACAAATATTGACTGCTGGGCCGAGTGCAGTGGCTCACGATCTTAGCACTTTGGGAGGCTGAGGTGAGCAAATGGCTTGAGCTCAGGAGTTTGTGACCAGCCTGGGCAACATGGCAAAATTCCGTCTCTACTAAAAATACAAAAATCAGCCGGGCGCAGTGGCTTATGCCTGTAATCCCAGCACTTTGGGAGGCCGAGGCGAGGGGATCACAAGGTCAGGAGATTGAGACCATCCTGGCCAAATACAAAAAATTAGCTAGGTATGGTGGCACACGCCTGTAGTCCCAGCTACTATGGAGGCTGAGGCAGGGGAATCACTTGAACCCGGGAGACAGAGGTTGCAGTGAGCCGAGATCGCACCATTGCACTCCAGCCTAGTGACAGAGCAAGATTCAATCTCAAAAAAAAAAAAAAAAAAAAAAAAACAGCCGATGTGGTAGCATGCACCTGCAGTCCCGCTACTTGGGAGGTTCAGGTGGGAGGAAGGCTTGAGCCCAGGAGGCAGAGGTTGCAAAGAGCCAAGATCACACCATTGTACTCCATCCTGGGCGGCAGACCCAGACCCTGTCAAAAAAAAAAAAAAGAAGAAAGAAATATTGAATATTGACTGCTTTTATAATGTTGTGGTAAGAAAAGTAGAAAAAAGCTTCAAAAGTCATAAAATCCCACACCTCCTCTGACTATTACAGTATGAAATGCAAGGCTCTTCTCAAAGTGGTCTCAATTTTACTTCTCCAGTTCTAGGTAGGGAAACGAACATCTATTGAGAAGCTACAGTGTGTCAGCCCTGTGGTGAGTCCTCTCTACACTTCATCTGATGTAAGAGCACCCTCATTCCAATCCAAAGATCATGCTCTTTCTCCCACATGATGCTGTTCTCTGGCTTCCTCACCCATACTTCATTCCCTCTTCCTCTGATTCAATCATCTTTGTCTCTGAATACTCTACATTCTCCTAAAACTCTCTGCCTACGCAAGTTCTTTTTTTTTTTTTTTTTTTTTTTGGAGATGGAGTCTTGCTCTGTCGCCCAGGCTGGAGTGCAGTGCTGTGATCTGGGCTCACTGCAACCTCCGCCTCCCAGGTTCAAGCGATTCTCGTGACTTAGCCTCCGAAGTATTATAGCTGGGACTATAAGCACGCACCACCACGCCCAGCTAATTTTTGTAGTATTAGTAGAGACGAGGTCTTGCCATGTTGGTCAGGCTGGTCCCAAACTCCTGACCTCAAGTGATCCGCCCGCCTCGGCCTCACAAAGTGCTGGGATTACAGGTGTGAGCCACCGCGACAGGCCTACCTATGCAACTTCTATTCGCCTTTCAAACCCCAAAGTCTTCTCTTTGATGACCCCCTTCCCAATTCATCCAGGTACAGCTGGCATATCCCATCTCTTGCCCACGGCATCCACACACATCTTTGCTATCAATGCAATGAAACTTGTTTCCCCTAGACTAGGAGTTTCTCAGGACAGTGGCCATCACTTATTCACTTCTCATTCTCAGATTCAGCACAGAGCTTTGCACACCCCAGGTACTCAATAAATATCAGGAGATAATCACATTCCGGGAAGCCTTCCTAAACTACCCCATCCCTGAATCTACTCTTGCTCCTTAGTTCTATGGCTGGCACAGCTGACACCATAAAACTTCAACCCTATTTTCATGTTGCCATGGTCGTTTTATGTGTTCTAGTCTCGTTTACCCAATTGGACTATAAGAAGCTTCTGAGCAGAAACCATATCACACCTGCCCGTGTCCCTACACTGTGCCGAGCACAAATATTCTAAACATACACCTGCTGTTAGACTGGTGGGTAAGTCCAAGGAGGCAAGCTAGCTGGCGATACAGAATGATCTGAAACCTAGGCAAAACTCCCTGACGCTCTCTGACTGTCCTCCTGTCTTCTTTAATTTCTCTTTCTGTGTCTCTTGTTTCTACTCTGAGGAGATAGGGGCATGATCTTCACTCTACCCTCTTAACACTTAAGAGGGCATATACTGTAACGCAAGACAATGAATGAACTGTGGTATTCAAGAAAAAAAGGGTCCTAAACGCCTAAGAACTCATAATTTGGCCAAAAAGATAAGACTGATACGTGAAGACAACGACCGAAACAAAGTACCCGATGAGGGAGACCAGGACAGAGAGACACCTCCGCGGTCAGGCGAAAAGGAAGTCTCCCCTAAGCAGTGGGGCCCGCACCACGCCTCGAAGGACAGGTAGAATTTGGACAGAAGGAAGGAGACCGTCCCGTTGGGCAAAACCTCTCCACTCGCAGTCCCGCAGGCTTCCCGGAATCCTTCACGCTAAGGCGTGGCGGCGACCGAGTCTCAGCCGCAGCGAAGCCCCTAGACTAGAAAGCAGGGAGGTTCCAGTCGGGGTGAGGGGACCGGACCAGGGCAGACCAGCGTGGCCAAGCGGCAAGAATACTCGCCGAGGTGGCTCGGGAAGAGCTTGGCCTCCTGCAGCCCCTGCAGAGCACATACCCCAGCTTACCGTCTGTCGGCTCCAGGTCTCTTCAGCTCTTCTCCCACCTCAGACCATCTCCGGAGAGGCGCTTGAGGGACGGTCAAGGAAAGCCAATCGTCGTTCTCGGATCCGACTGACAGCCAATGGTAGCTGTGTCTGGCGGAACCCGTGCGCACCAAAACACGGAAGGGGCGGGAACAGTGGGTGGGGCTAGGCGTCCCGGGCGGACAGAGGGGCGACAGGATACGTGCAAAAGGTAGCACGTGACCGCGCCTCGCTGCTCAGGGCAACGCAAAGGCGGGGAGCCTATGGGCCTGAGTTCCCCTAACTGCGCAGGCTCGGCCTCCGGGACCCAACGGGCATGCGCAGGGCTCGCGCCTGGTGCGCAGTGGGGTCTCCCTCACGTGGTTCTTCGCTTTAGTTGGCTGGTTGCGTGGGCCTCGCGGAGAAAAAGGCGTGGGATGCTGCCCAGCGCTGTCGGCCCCGCTCGGCTCAGATTGAAGGTTCTACCCTTTCCTTCAGCCTCTTAGTCTTATTATGTTTTAAATGTTGGTATTATATGTTTCTCTTTCCCCCCAAAACTCGGCTTCCCTTCATCCACTCGTTCAGGTCAGAAAGCTGGCAGTCATCACTGATTCCTCTCACTTCTCACATCCAATCCATTGCCAAGTTCTGTGGATTCTACCTCCTTTTAAAACAGGATATTTCAAATTTATCCCCTTTTGTTTATCTTCACCGCCTCCCCCACCTCCCCTGTCCAGTGATGACCTCCAGGCAGGATTTATACATTAGTCTAATGGGTCCCGCTGCGTGCACACTTGCTTCCTTCCAAAGCATTCTCCACTTTGCAAAAAGCAGACCTGATCAAGTTACCATCTGCTTCAGACAATTCAAAGGCATTCTATTGCTTTCAGGGCAAAGCTCCAAAACCATACTGAGGTTTTCTAGACCCTTCAGCATCTGGGCTCTCCCTGTCTACTTTTTTTTAGTCCTTCTCGACCATATTTCTTGCTCTCCAGTCGCAAATTTCTTTCACCTTTTCCACCACACCAAGCCACCTTTTACCTCTCAAGCCTTGAACTTGTTTTCTTTACCTGGAATAATCCCTTTCTCCTCCTCCCACATTTATTTGACTGACTCCTACTAATTTTTATGGTCTCAGTGTAGATGCTTCTTTTTCCAAAAAGTCTTCCTGATAGTCCTTTCTTGTATTTAACAATACAGCTCAGTCACATTGTATTTGTCTGTTTACTCTCAGTCTGCATTCTTCACTAGACTAGTTCTTCACCTTTATAACTCCATCAGTGGGCCGGGTGTCGTGGCTCACGCCTGTGATCCCAGCACTTTGGGAGGCCGAGGCGAGTGGATCACATGAGGTCAGGAGCTCAAGACCAGCCTGGCCAACATGGGGAAACCCCGTCTCTACTAAAAATACAAAAACTAGCTGGGCATCGTGGCGGGCGCCTATAATCTCAGCTACTCGGGAGGCTGAGGCAGGAGAATCGCTTGAACCCAGGAGGCACAGGTTGCAGTGAGCTGAGATGGCACCACTGCACACCAGCCTGGGCAACAGAGCAAGACTCTGTCTCAAAACAAAACAAAAAACAAAATAAAACAAAAAACCCATCACTCACTTAGCCCAGTGGCTGAAACTCAGTAAGGGTTCAAGACATACTTGTTAAATAATATACCTTAATAAAGTTGGTTAAGACTGATATTTTATTGCATTGTAGTTTTCTGTATCTTCTAATCTAAAAATAAACCTATATAATTTGTACAATCAGAAAACACATTAAATGTTCAATATATATAAAATAAAATTTAAAATGCCATTAAGATAGTAAAGTCATACTTGTGCATAAATTTTGGTTTTAACAACAGTGAGTTATAACTTGGTCCCTATTTTAAAATAGGGTTTTGCAGGGCGCGGTGGCTCATGCCTGTAATCCCAGCACTTTGGGAGGCCGAGGCGGGCGGATCATGAGGTCAGGAATTCGAAACCAGCCTGGCCAACATGGCGAAACCCCATCTCTACAAAAAATACAAAAATTAGCCAGGTGTGGTGGTGGGTGCCTGTAGTGCCAGCTACTCAGGAGGCTGAGGCAGGAAAATCGCTTGAACCTGAGAGGCAGAGGTTGCAGTGAGCCAAGATCACTCCACTGCACTCCAGCCCGGGCAACAGAGAGAGACTCTGTCTCAAAAAAAAAAAAAAAGCGTTTTAAAAAATGTAATTCAAAAGTAACAAAATATATCTTACCAACTTTATTCATTCAAAAATGCATATAGTAGTACTTCATGAAATGCCATCCTCATTTTAATTCAGATTTACACCACTGAAAATAGCTTTTAGCTTTATTTAGCAATTTTATGAAGAAAAAGTTCATTCACAGAGCTGTGTAAACTCAAACATAGGTTACAGAGCAAAAATTTCAGGATTGCTCTGGGATCCATATATATGTTTCCAAAATTTAAAGCAGTGTCATTCTGTCTAGCATAGTTTACTTCTATCTCAATCTGCTTCTCTTGAAAACAAGCCACAATTTTGGCTGGGTAATTCAGACATATCCTGAGATTTGTTCTTTAAAAGCTGCCACAAAAACTGAAAGCATAATTCATACTCATTAAAAGCTGTGGATCCCTTCTGAAAGTGTGAAATGGATTAAGTTGATGAAAATATGTTTCGTATTTTTTTCATTCATTTAAAAATTCCCTATTTTTGAAACGTGATCAGGCTCTTCTTCACTAAAATATGTGATTCCATGGAACTCTGGGCAGCTCAGTACTGGAAGCTCAATACAGATTCCAGTTACCATCTACTCATTCCCCAGGTCCTGTAGAACTCTGAATACCTGTTCTCCCATCAACAAAAGTTTCTTGTGCAATCACAAGTTCACTGTGTTTGGTTGTCGTGTCATACTGGTAGAAAAACTGTTCCTCTGTGAACCACTAAGAGTTACATTTCTTAGACTGGGGAAACAGCTTGAAAAATCTCTTTGAATTTTCATGACTTAGAATTGAACATTTCACTACATAAAAATCAACCAAATCGATGTGTCCATCAATGGAGGATTGGATAAAGAAAACGTAGTTAATGTAGTGAGTGATAAAGAAAATGCAGTTTATAAACTCCAACTTGACTTTAATAAATTAAATTCCAAGCTGTCACACAGCAATGGACATCATTATCATCGCCCAACACACACACACACAGTGGAATACTACTCAGCCATAAAAAAGAATGAAATCATGTGTTTTCCAGCAACATGGGTGGAACTGGAGGCCATTATCCTCGGTGAAATAACTCAGAAACAAAGTCAAATATGGCATATTCTCATTTATAAGTGGGAGCTAAATAATGGGTATACATGGACATATAGAGTGGAATAAAAGACATCGGAGACTATGAAAGGTGAGAAGGTGGGAGGAGGGTGAGGGTTGAAAAACTACCTATTGGGTATGATGTTCACTATTTGGGCGATGCGCACACTAAAAAAAGCCCAGACTTCACCTCTATGCATGCAATATATGCATGTAAGAAACCTGCACTTGTCCCCCCAAATATATAAAACTAAATTATCTAATTGAAAAAAAAAATCTATACCCTCCATTCTTCCCGGATATCTCATATTTGGTGAGTAGTGTGGACAGGAGCATGGGGAATAGTAACAATTTCCACATGCTATCTACCCAAAGGCATGTGCCCTAAACACCCTGAGATATAGGTAGTCATAGAATGTCAAGGCTGGAAGTGACCTGAATGTTTATCCAGGTCACCCTTATTTTAGATATGAGGAAACTGAGGTCCCCAAAGGAGAAGTTGCCTGCTCAAGATCACTTGGTTTGTCTGTGGCAGACTCAGTTTTCTTGCTTCCTGGTCCTGCATTCTGCCCAATATCCTGTAGCAGCTTACCTGGTTCAAGTCCTGTATAAGATCTCAAGCACGGGAACCAGGGACACAGTTTGCTAGGATCTATCAATCCCTGAAATTTGCCCACATTTCAGAATGAGAGAGCTTTTATTATGTTGAAACACTTCTAAGACTTCCCCCTCCCAGTTTCTTCTGAGGCAACAGTTAACACTCAGCACTTCATTTACTTCTCATCCACAACCAAATGATAGCCATGATGATTGAAGTTCCCATTTTACAGATGAGAAAACTGAGGCACTTAGAGGTTACATAACTTGCCCAAGGTCACACAAGTAATTAGAAGAGCTGGGACTCAAACCCAGGCAGGCAGTCTAGTTACAGGGTCCAAGCTTTGATCTCCATTACATCCTAGAAGGAGCAGCCTGTTCCAGAAAGGGGAATGAAGACTAACCTGTACTAGTTGATTGAGTTTTTTGCTACAATTTCATACTCCAGAGCCTCCTGTCTCTTCCATCCTTTCTCTGCACACCCCTTCTTCCCTGCAGGAACTTCTTAGCAGATCCACAATGTGTGTCATCTACCCAACCTCATTATCCGGGCCCCTGTCTCATCCTCCCACACCATCCATGTCACAGCCTGGCTGCCTACTGCCTTTCAAAGGATAACCAGTTGTCCAGTTTATAAACTCCAATTTGACTTTAATAAATTAAATTCCAAGCCATCACACAGCAATGGACATCATCATCGTCTCCCAACACACAGAGGTGCAGCCTTGCGTGGCTCCATCATCACAGTCTTTAAATAAAGCCCCTAAAGCCATCTCTCTGGGGAAGGCTTCCCACCAGGCTCCCGGCTCCCTCCTTCCCACAGAGCCACTGCTCACAGAGAAGGCATCAAGTACAAAAAACGGTAATAAAGGGGGAGGGAGGGATGAGGAGCAGGAGGGGAGGCAGGAAGGTGGGGAGTACCTGCCCCCCATCCCGGGCCGGCCCTGCTCTCTGTGAGCTGCCAACATTCTCAGAGGCAGACACTGGTGCTGGTCTGAGTGGGGACCTGAGGGAGGTGTGGGAGCCCCATCCCAAAGGGAATTACCCACCCTCCTGGGACAGAAAAGAAGGGTCACCTGGGAGAGATGCCCTCTATCATCTGTTCACGGAGGGTCCTAAGCCACACATATAAATAGAAAAGAGAATAAATAAGGGAAGAAGGGTCAGCTGAAGAGCTGAGCACCCTGGGACTCCGCTCAGGGACCAGGCTCAGCAGGAGGCAAATGCTTCTGGGGAATACCCACACATGCCGGACAGGGCCCTCCTCTCCCTCCCAGCCACCAGTCCCTCGTCCATGTCCTCGGCACCGGGTGCCCACCTCTCATGTGCTTCCCGTTCCAAGTATCCTTCCAACCGGCCCCATGGCCCAGGGTGGACGGGGCTTCCCGGAACCCAGAGGGCTTTCCTGGCCCAGGCACTGGAGATCCAGGAAGGGGTATGGAAGGGGAGGTGGGGAATGGGCTGAGAGAACTCGTGCCCTTTCAGAGCTGGGTCCTCAGAGCTGGGGGCTGGGGTTACCATTGGCCTTGGGTTTGGATTTGAAGGAAAAGCGCTTGATAAGGCGGCGAGAAAAGCTGCCGGCCTTCTTTCGGACACTGGGCGTGGCCGTTGCGTTGGAGAGGTCATCGTGTGATTGGCTCAGGCCAGCTTCCTTCTGCCTAGGCCTCCGGCGGAAGATGAGCTTAGTGCCGCTGCGCAGGAAACTCACTGCAGGGGAAGAGGGGAAGCTGAGGCAGAGAGGGGCACGGGGTGGGGTGAGACGGGGGCAGAGACACGATGGAGAATGGAGGGAAAGAGGATGTGGACAGGATCAGTCCCGTGGCCCAGAAGCCAGGCTTCCTCAGGAAAGAAAGCAGAAACATACTTCTCCATAAGGCTTCGTGAAAAAAAGAAAAAAGAAAACGAAAGCAGAAACAAACATGTGCTTTATCCTTCCTGAGGCAAAAATCGTGGTACTTGTGGGGATCTGTGTACAATCTTAACTCTGCCCGCAAAAGAGATATCACGGAGCTGGCCGCTTTGTGAGGACAAACTGGGATTGGGCCTCTTTCCTATGGGAAGACAAAAGCTACCAGAAGGTACTCCCAAAAGTCTATAAATCATGAAGGGAAAGGTAGGTTGACACTGACTTGTTAACCGAATTCCAGGCTGTGAGCAGGAAGTGGTGCATCTAGAAACTTCAAAGAGGTAAATTCAGAACCAGTATAATGAGCAAGGTGCTCACCCAGCAGGCTTTGGAGGTAGAAACCTCATTATCTCAAGAAGTGATGCAGGCTTAAAAAATAGATAGATAGATCCATGGTTGATAGTCTCACTGGTAGAGGAATGAAGATGTTTTAGGGTGAGCCTCTCATCTTTTAAAGTTAGAAGAACTACCACCACTGGTCACTGCCTGTCTTGCTGCCAGATGGATAATCCAAGGGTAGGATTTCTTATACTCATTGGGGAGAGGGTGCAGATTGAAAGGGAAGAATTTTTTTTTTTTTTTTTTTTTTTTGAGACAGAGTCTCACTCTGTCACCCAGGCTGGAGTGCAGTGTCATGATCTGGGCTCACTGCAACCTCCAACCCCCCAGTTCAAGCGATTCTCCTGCCTCAGCCTCCCAAGTAGCTGGGATTATAGGCGCCTGCCACCACGTCTGGCTAATGTTTGTATTTTTAGTAGAGATGGGGTTTACCCATGTTGGCCAGGCTGGTCTTGAACTCCTGACCTTGTGATCCACCCGCTTTGGCCTCCCAAAGTGCTAGGATTACAGGCATTAACCACCGTGCCCAGCCATGGAAAAAAAAAATTTTTTTTGAGACAGGGTCTCACTCTGTCACCCAGGCTGGAGTGCAGTGGCACAATCACGGCTCACTGCTTCAACCTCCTTGAACCTCAACCTCCCAGGCTCAAGGAATCCTCCCTCCTCAGCCCCCTGAGTAGCTGAGATTACAGGTGTGTGCCACTACGCCCAGCCAATTTATTGTATTTTTAGTAGAGATGGGGTCTCGCCATGTTGCCCAGGCTAGTCTTGAACTCCTGGACTCAGGTAAGCCACCCGCCTTGGCCTCCCAAAGTGCCGGTGTGAGCCACCACACCCTGCCTAGGAATAAATTTTTATAATTTTTTTTTAAAGGGCAGGAAAAATGGCACTTAGACTCAGGAAGAAAGAACAATGGAGGTAAAGGGAAATAATTTGGCATCCCTTCCTATCACAAGCATGTCAGATCTAGGCCAGGAACCAAGGCACCAAGATCCCCCTCTAGGCTAGCTTGGCTGAACTAGGCTGGGAATCCGGCTATCTCTTAGGGGAGGAAGGAGAAGGCACACTGGCTCGAGGTCCCCCAGGTCATGATATGTGTATAAAAGAAGAGATGAGGGGCACCCTGCCAACGTCCCCCTACCTTTGTGATCCTTGAGGCTGCGGGTCTCCAGGGCACCAGTGGACCCCGTTTCCGACTCAATATCATCCACAGATGGCCTCTCAGAAATATCCGAACGGGTTGTCTCGTCTGCTTCCTGGACACTTGTGGGACTAGAGAGGGCATCTAGCGGTCCTGGAGACATGGCTGGTGGGTCTGAGGGAGGTGAAGAGGGGCCTCCGCTGGTCCCTGCATCATCCTGCACTGAGGCTTCCAGGGATGCCGCATAGCCCAGGGATAGCGCCAACTCGTCCTGAGCAATGGGCACCTGGCAGGAGGGACGGGTTTTAATGGGCAGGAGTGACCGACCCATTAGGGCTTTCTCCCCATCCCAGCTCCTCTCCCCAGAGCCCTGTTACCTTGGAAACACCAGAGATGATGAGAGTGCTGCGCTTGGTGGGTGTCTTCTTGGCCACCCGCCCACTGGGCTCTGTCAGCTGGCGAATCGCTGTCTCTGCTACAGGGTCCAAGCCGTTGGAAAGGTGGCTGTCCCCTGCTAGGGGTGCAGAGAATGAATAACCTGACTTCTCCCTGGCTCTTTCTTGGATTGGAACTCCTCCTATCCCACCCAGAGTACTTTTTGATGCTGGGGCACCAGGGCCAACCCACACTCATGCACCCCATTCCCCACTCACGGCTGCTGCTATGGGAGGTATTGCTGGGGCCACTGCTCTCACTCAGCACAGTTGTCGTCTTCTCGGTCACCTCCACCTTGGACGGGGAGCGGGAGGGGGAGTCTGGTGGGTGGGGGAGGGTCAGTGAGCTGGGAGTTGCTTCAGAGTGGCCCCCACCCCTACTGTCTTTGTTGAGATGCAGACTTTGGGTGACTCAGAGGGCAAGAATGATTAAAGGGTGATTAATCACAAGGGTGATTAGGAAGATGCCGTGGGGACTAAAAGACACCCCAGGAGCTAATGGGAGTGTAGGAAAGTGCCATGGGGCCTGCTGAAGGTGTGGGGAGATGCTATGAAAATATGGAGCGGGGACAGAGGGGGTACTGGGGCTCCCTGAAGTTGGGGCAATTCAGTGGGGCCCCTATAATGGCAGAAGTGCCATGGGGGCCCACTGAGTGGGGTAGAAATGCCACAGAGGCCTCTGGGTTTGTTGGAGGACCCCAGGGGGTGCTGGAGGGCTGAGGGTAGCAGGATGGACAATTATAGTCAGCTGGGGCTAAGGACACCTGTGAAAAGCCAGAGGGGAAGCTGGAAGGTAGGAGTGCAACAGTCCTGTATGAGGAGGGGCAGGAGGATCCAGAAGGGTGGCAGAGTGAGAGGAATTGCTGGGGAAATGGCAGGAGGTAAGGGAAAGTTTGGAAGAGACAAAGATTGGGAGGAAGATGTGGTAGGACTGGAATGGAATGTCTGAAAACAGGGGGAGTTGGAATTAAGGCTCTCTCCTCTTTCACTGTCCTGCCTTGGGTCTGCAGTCCCGGGCCCCTGGCTAGAGCTGGGCTCCCAGGCTCCTTCTCTTTACCTAATTTGCCGTCTATACGGGGCCGGGACTGGACAGTGGTGACTGTGGTGACAATGGTGCCATCGGGCATGATGGTCCGGTCAAGCTCAATCTTCTTGGTAGGTGTGATGCTGGGGCGTGGAGTGGAGGAGGTGGGAGTACCCAGGTTCCGGGGAGAGCCCTCCTCATAGTGAAGCTGCCCAGGGGTGGGAGAGAGAAGAGACAGAGCCTCGGAGACTGCCCATCCCCTGTGTCCTCCCACCTACCCCAGGGGTCAGCTTCTCACCTCCACTGCCATGGTGGCTGCTGGTCCCAGGGCTTTCCCTGGCCCTGGGGTGAGTGGGCACAACTGTCTTCGAGACAGTGGTCTGGAGGGGGAGCCCACAGGCAGTGTGGCCTGGCCTAGGAGTTCGGCTGGGGAAAGGGATGGCACTGTGAGCTGGGCCCATGGCCAGACCCCACTCTGTACCCACCCAGGGGTGCCCCTCCCACCCCTCACTTACTGTCTCCACAGCTGCTGCTCCTCAGCACTTTGAGGGTCAGCTCCCGGCTCTGGGGGCCCAGATCCCTGTGGGACAAGAGGAGATGGGGCAGGAAGGAGAAAATTAGCAAGCTGAACCCACACTTGAGTGGATCACAGGCCAGAGGCAGAGAGCTGTGTACATAAATAAAACGGCATAAATGCTCCAATCAGATTCTCCTGGCCTCCAAATTCTCTCTCGTCCCAAGAGAAAGGGACAGGGCCTGAGTGGAAACCATGCTTCTCAGCTATGCATTCAAATCCTCCCTGGTCCTGCTCTTCCTGTCTTGCCAGTCTCTCAGTTGCAAGCCACCCTCTTTCATTTGCTCCAGCTCTTCCCTCTGCCGAGAATACTTTCACACTCTGATGAAATCCTACTCTTGCTCTAAAGTGTGGTTTAAATGTCATCTCCTCCATGAAGCCTACTCTGATCCTTATTCCCTCATGGGAATTAATCTCCCCCCCACCTAGGCACTCTGACGGCACATTACATAAACCTCAACTGGAGCGGTTTTACCATCTTCTTTATGTACACCTGTCTCTGCCTCAAGCTTGTCATTGACCCAGGGGTGGGGGCTGTATCTTGGTCAAGTCTGTATCCCTAAGACCCACGCCAGGGCCTGGCATACAATAGGAGCTCACGCCAAAGGCTACTGAAAACAGAGCTGATTCCTGCAAGGACTGTGCTGGAAAGGTTTGATCCTCTCTGCTCTGGAGCATGGGGTCGGGGCAGGGTTACTCCTTACAGTGCCAGGTCTTCTGTCCACTCCACCTCGGATCCAGCCCTCGCGGGCTTGGTCCACTTCTGCTGCATGGGGTTGTCGAGTTCAGCTACACAGCACAGTTCCTCGGTGCCTGTGATGAACCAGAAGTTAGAAGATGCTCAGATCAGAGATGGGAAGTCACTGCAGAATAAAGAGGCTGTACCCTTGGCAGAGGGGCAGAGAGCATCTGCAACCAACCATAGCCTTGGCAGTCCCGCAGCCACTTCCAGCTCTCACCTTCCAGCTCATTTCCCAAGTGAGATGCCCGAAGCTGCCGTAGGAATAACCGGTTAGGTCTGGGGATGGCTGGCTGAGCCTGGGGCATCATGGGTGGCTTCTCACTGGGTACCTAAGAGCAGAAGAAGGTCCAAAGAGCAAGAATCCTGACATAGCACCCTAGGAACAAGGTGCATGCAAATCTTTTGCTTTGGGTGCCAACTCACCAGGCCTCCTGGGGCAGAGCAAGCCCTGAGGTTGACCATCATGGCTGGCTGGGTGCTGACTATGGCATCCTTGATCAGTTCCTCAATTGTGGAGAGCTCCACTTGTTCTTCACCTCTCTGCAGAGAGAAGAAGGGAACAACAAGGAGGTGGATCCCCCACCTCTGCCTCCCTCCCCGTTCTGCCTCTTCTCTGCCAGCTCTGCCTCCTTACCTCCCTGGCCTGAAGCTTGGGAAGCACCGTTAGGCTGAGATCTGGGCGATCAGTGAAGGCCCAGGATATGAGCAGCCCCTCACCAGGGATTTCCTCCAGGTTGACTTCCAACTACAGACAGGAACAAAGTGACTGGGCTGACTTGCCCCATTTACCCAAGGACTCCTAATTCGAGGACTCTCCCTTCCTGAATTCCATCCCAGAGAGGAAACAAATGGAAGAAGCTGAGCCAATGGAACCGCCCCTGCCCAACTCAGTTTCCCACATCCCCTTCTACCTGTGTTGGTGGCAGTGTCAGAGTGACGTGGTAGGTCTCCATGGAGACGGCAGCGGGGGACTGCTGGGTCACAGAGACTGGGAACCGCACCTCCTCAGCAGAGAGCTGGCAACGCAGCACCTGAGACCGGCGAGGTGGGTCAGATGTGGGGGAAGGGTGCTCACCCTGCTTTGAACTGCCCTGTAATAGTTCAGCAGACCCCTCCCCACTTCCGTTTTCCTAAGGACTTCATGTTTTCAGGATCATAAATCCCTAAAAGAATCAGATAAATGCCAAAGACTCCTCTCCCCAGAAAAATGCATATAAACACACATCCAACATTTTGCACATAACTTCAATGGGATTCTCAGACTTCCTGAAACCAATCCTTAGATCCATAAGGCATTCACAGACTCCAGGTTAAGAACCTCTGGACTAAAGGGAGCCCTTGGGGTCAGTCCTTCTTGGACCCCAAAGAGGGCAGTGCCCATCAGACCCTTACCATGGTATGCTCAGATTGGTCTACGCAGGTCACATGACTGATGCTGGCTCTGGGTGGGAGTTGGGGCACCTCCTCAAAGGCGATTTGGATGGAGCTCTGAGGGAGTAATGTGGGCATTGGATCAGGTCTCTGGAGCTGCCCCCCACAGGGTTGGCCTGCTCAGTTGCTGGCTGGACTCTGCCACTGCGGAGGCCTCAGCTGCAGGCTGGCTTCTGGCCCCTCCTTGGCTCAGGGCTTTAAGACAGGAGGTAGTCCCCTCAAGGCCTGCCTCTCCAGGGGCCTGTAGCTGCTAGGAGCCACTGAGCAATGGGGAGGTAGTCCACCTCAGAGACTAGATCACCTTAAGCTGAAGACCCTGGCTTCCTCCTGGAATACCAAGAGCTTCCTTCTTCTTCTCCCTGCAATCCCTTTCATCCCCTACCCTACCCCCTAAAAAAACAAATAACAAACAAACAAAAAATCCTACATAGAAAAAAGTTAAGGTGCTGGTTGCCACCTATATATAATAGCTGGGCAGAGGGAAAGGGCTAAGCCCCGGTAAAGGTGGTAGAGCCACCTTGTTCAAGATAAGAGCTGCAGAAATGAAGCTAAGCCTTCTTCCAAATAAATAAGATGTGGAGGCTTCAAGAGTATGATGCTTCATATTCTTGGAGATGAAGATGAGCATGGCCTTGGGGATCCGTACCAGGGGGACTGGGAAGAGATACAAGCTCAGAGGACCCAAGAGTCCAGGGGCCTGGCTAATTCCTCAAGGCAGATAGCAGGACGGTATTAGAGAGCAGAAAGCTGCTTAGATCTCAAAAGAGCTGCTCCCTAATTCGTCCACAGTAATGGAAGCAACCTACCGCAGCCCCACCTGGAGAGCAGTGCGGACACAGAATTGAGGAAGGGGCACAGAATTGGCTGGCAACTCTTCCTTGGGTCTTGAGATGGAGGAAACAAATCCATAGGGTTCATTTGCTTGGCAAACCAGGGGAAGCCAACTCCTTTGCTCTGGTAGCTGTCTCATTCAAAGGCTAGGCCAAGGAAGATGGGGAGATGGATGCTTGAAACCTCAATCTCCCCACCCTCTGCAAGGGAGGCCAATGTCCAGTTGAGTCAGCTATCCTGGGGAGTTGCTTCTGACCGAGGGACAAGGTACAGGGAGAGTTGGATGAAGAGGTGGGTTCAAGGTGTAAACTGACAGATGCCATCTGGCTTTTAGCCAGCCAGCTGGACAGAGTAAATAGAGCAATTTCTTGTGGACATTTCTGTTTCCGGCATCTGGGGAACTAGTAAGGTAAAGCCTCCAAACTCATAGTGGCTGGAAATAGAGAACCCTCTGAGCAAGGAGCTGATGGACTGTGAGAGCAAGGAGAGATTGCTGGGTCAGGATGGGAGGGAGCTCCAGAAAAGAGAGACTTCTACCTCCCACCTTATCTCCATCTCATGACCACGCTTCCTGCCCCACTTCCTGGGAGGCCAGATGCCCATGGTGCAATGGGAGGAAGTAGGCTGGACTGGTTTGTGACTGACCCTCAAGGGGCAGTTCCAAGCTCATCTACTGGTAGGGGCACTGTCAATCTGCTCTCCACCTGAACACTCCCCAACCCCCAGTGAACCACAGGCCAGCATGGAGGAGAAGGATGTGTTTGACTGTAGCAGTGAAATTACTGTCGGGTAGGGGGGTGATTCAGGCTCCTTGGGGATCTGCCTGACCACACCAGGGATTTGGGGCATGAAATGTTAAATGGGTGTGGTGGCATGAGAAGCAGGCAAATTCCTTCTGCAGGTGCACCTGTCTCCCATGCCCCAACACAACCAGCACCCAGGCAAGGCGGAAGTGCCCTCAGGCACAGGGATTAGCGTTGCTATGAGAACAGCAACTTGTGCATGGGTTTGGAACCAGAGTACCTTGCCCACAGAAATGGAAGTCTGGGGACCCAGTTGGATTTCTACAACCTCCAGCCTTAGCGGCACCCTTTTCTCTGATCCGGGAGGGGAAGAGAAGCCATAGGGTTCCCCAGTTTATGCCCACCCTCGTCTGGCCTCCTAGCACGAGCAGTCAGTCCCTCCCCTGGAAGGAAAGGCTGAAGGGACCACCCAAGCGCTTGGTCCAACTCACCCCGTTTCTGCAGGCCTGCTCGTTCAGCGCTCGCACCCAAGCCCGCTGCCAGTTCTCCCGGAAAGACTTGAAGGCGAAGAGTGACGCCAGGAGGCCCCGGACTCCTGGCTCCTCGGCGGCGCCAGCCCGAGTCGCCCGCAGCCGCAGCAGCGAGCGCCACACGCCCAGCTCCCGCAGGGAACCCGCGGGTTCCCCGGCTAAGGCGGGTCCCGGGCCCCGGTCCCCGCGGGCCCGCGCCAGCCACAAGCCCCGGGCATATTGCAGCAGCCAGGCGAACACCGTGAGCAGCGAGGCGGCGAAGAGGATCAGCAAGGCCGCCCAGCCCACGTCCCGCTGCCCCCAGCCCGGATCCATGCTCCGCGCGGGCTCCGATCCCGGTCCCGGCTGGGGCTCACCCGCTGCCCCGGGGGAGCATGGCCCGGGCGGGCCGCGGGGAGGAGGTGGGCTCCCCCGGGGCTGGGCGCGCGGGGTCGGGGGCTCTCCGCGGCTGAGTGCCCAGGACTAGTGGGTGCCACAGGGCGAGGAGAGGAGGTCCTCGGGGGTCGCGATGCCGGGGTCTCTGTCTCCGTGGTCCGGGTCTCTCCTAGCTTGGTCAGCAGTCGGACCCGTTAGTCGCCGGCCAGTGCCCGACTCCTCCCACCGCGCGGGCCCCGCCGGACCCTGGAGGGGACTGGTCTGCAGAGACGCTGGGGCTCGCGGGCCGGCACCGGCTCCGGGAGGGCTGCGTGCGCAGAGCTGACACTGACAACACCGCCGGCGCCCCGCCCCCACCCGCCCTTAAAGGAGCCGCACCCGCGCCGGGCGGGGCCAGGACAGCCTGGCGCTCCCTCGCTGGAGGAGGGCGGGAGGGCTAGCAGCGAGCGGAGGAGGTTCCGGGGTTGAAAATAGGCGGGATCTTTGATCACCTCGCCCCATCTTGCAATCGCGGTGCTCCCACACTCAGCTCAAGGCAAGAGTAACTTCACTTACCTAAGATGCTGCCTTTGCTTTCCCCTATGCTTGTTAGATTTCCACAGGTCGGACGCCTGTGAGGTTAAGAAGGAGGTGACCCCTGTGGAAATCACCGCCCCCTTCTCCCAACACCCCCAGACTCAGCGACTTCTAGCTTCCCATTTCCTGGGGGAAGCTAGGCCCAGGGTAAGGAGACGCAGAGCGTCCCTCCCAGATAGAAGTGTCTGGCAGAGGTCCAGCTGATGTCAACAGAGAGAAAGCAGAACCTGAAGCTGGGAGAGGTTGAGAGTAGAACACCGAATTTGAATTCCCCCCACCATCATCACCCTCCTTCCTCTTGGAGCTTGGACCCAGAAACAGCCCCATTAACCTCCTTGCTCGTGTAGGTTTGTTCTGGAGATTCCCAAGCCCAGGCTGTGTGTCTGTTTTTAAAAATAATGTATTTCCATAGTAACAGCTCCTGCCTATGGAGCACGTGTAGAGGGGGTGGTAATGACAAGGGAGCTGGCAATGTAGCACTGGACTATCAATAGATTCAGCCACAAGACCTTGCCACTCTAAGTATGTGATATCCCAACAAGCTCCCAAGAAATGGTGCTGTAGGTACACTGCCCAACCTCTGGCCTCAGAAGCCATCTTTTCCTAGACTCAAGGAGTTGATTCAACCTCTACAGGACTGGGGCTCATCAATGCTTGCTGAGGACAGGGGAAGGAAATACCTGCAAAAGGATTCAAAGGAATCCTGGGGGAATTCACATTCTCCCAAGAGCCCCTTCTTCATACATGTGGGAAGGTCTTTGGCACACAGTCCCTTTCTTAAAGAGGTAGGATGGAAAGGTGTTAAGTATCTTTCTCCCAAACCCAAGTAGTTGTCTGAGGAATGAGCACATGAGAATAAGAGAATAAACAATGCCTTCTGAAGTGTGGGATGGCAGGGCTAGACAGAAACTGACAGGTCAGCAACAGGTTTGTCTGAGCCAGAGGAGGTGGTGGGGTAGCCTGGGCCTCCCTAGATTTCCCTGTAAGGAATGATGGGGAGAGGTGGGGGTGAATGAGGTAACCTCCTGTGGCCCTGCCCATGCATTGTCACTGGACTGCCAAATCAGTGGAGATTCCTAGAGTCTGGGTTTCTAATCTCAAAGGGAGGAGAAGACATGAAATCAAGGGAGGAGAGAACTCAGGGCCAGAACCAGGGATGCAGGAGGAAGCTGTCAGTGGGAAGAGCAGCTAGGGTTTAGGGGAGCAGGTTATGCAGGAAGTTGTCCAGGTAGAAGCTTTCCCTATGAAGACCCTCTTCCCCCAAGAATCCTTCAGGAACCCTCAGACCCCCTAGTGATCTCCATTCTCTGACTTCTTTGATTTATTCCCTCAACTTCTCCACTGAGTGCTTGGTCCTATGCTGCCAGATACTGCTTCACAATTCAGTATCTGAACTGTGAGTCTACCTAGTTACATGAGTCTCCCTAGTTAGTCCTCCCTCTTTTTTTTTTTTTTTTTCTCTTTTCTTGAGACAGAAAGTCACTGTTGCCCAGGCTGGGGTGCAGTAGCGAGATCTTGGCTCACTGCAACCTCCACCTCCCAGGTTTGAGTGATTCTCCTGCCTCAGCCTACCAAGTAGTTGGGACTATAGGCATGCGCCATCATGCCTGGCTAATTTTTGTTATTTTTAGTAGAGACAGGGTTTCACCATGTTGGCCAGGCTGATCTCGAACTCCTGACCTCAGGTGATCCTCCCGCCTCGGCCTCCCAAAGTGCTGGGATTACAGGTGAGAGCCACTGTGCCCAGCCTAGTCCTCCTTCTTTCTTCCATTACTTAGACCTCTAGCACTTACATTCTGCCTTAGAGTCTAGCTGATTGTTTATATGTCTGCTTTTTCCATGCATCAGGAAGCTGCCTAGGGGTGGGAACCATGTCTTAGTCATCTCTTTTCCCTCAAATTCAACCAAGATGCTCCAAATATGCTGAAGTAGACTCCCTGGGGGCAAGCAACTGCAATTATATTAGTTTGTATCCTCCACAGTACTGAAGAGCTTCCTATGCACATAGTAGGGATTAACAAACTTTGTAATTTTAAGAAGTCTAACAGAAAATACTCAAGTATGCTTTGAGAATTTCTATGCCATTTCTGTCTTTTGAAATATCATTCATGCCATACCAGTGGAATGGGAAATCCTGGGGCTTGCTTTTAATTAACAACTTTTTTCTAGACTAAGAGGGGAGAGGTGGGAGGAAAAGGAAAAAGAGTGATTCAGCTGACTGGACAGAGCCACAGATAGAGTCCTGCAAGTATCACAGCCCCAGACTATCCAGAGGGGTCTCATTGTCTTTGTGGCACTATGAAACATTTTTGGGACAGGCTTTGTCTAGCAATCACATTCAGTGGATTGGCCTTGCTCATTGGGAGCCACTCAAGGCTACTTAGAAGAGGTGTGCATCTCAAACACTGTCTGCTCAGTCCAGGGCCACTGACAAGTCAACTGGTCTGTGAATCCTAGGGCCGGCTTCAGCATTCAGGAAAACGCTTTGAACTTTTACCAGGGAAGGCACACAATTTCAAGTGAAGCCAAAAGTCATGTGTTTGTTTCTCCTTCTGATTAGTCTGATCATCAACTGGGACTTTATCATCATGGGAACAAAAATACTCAGATTATCTGACAAGTATCTTAGTAACCATTTTCTGATAGTAACATGTATATGTGGATGATGAATCCTTAGTCTCTCTTGTCTTTGATTACATCCTTCCACCCTCCCCAGGAGGGTGGTGGTAGGGAGGGCTAATGATCTCTGGAGAAGAAAGAGATAAAGCTTCCCAATACCAGGCTGGGAAGGAAGATTTATTAGGATTGGCCTCCTAATAAAAAAGGAAATAGATACAGACTGGCTCTCAGACCTCCAGGGAGTCTCAGTATACTCGTCATCAACAAGATAACTGAATGCTGCCTCCTCTGGGATCCCACAAGCTCCTCCTTTCCACCAGCTTCTGGTGTCTCACTGTCGCTGCCTGTGAAAGGTCCTTCTACTCTTATAATCTACTGAAATGATACTTCTCTTCCTCAAGACCACTTACTCTGGTCACAACTAATTGCTCCCTCCATATGCACCTATTGCCCTCAGTCCTCCTTTCAGCCTCAGCCTCATTATGTGTGATGATGCCTTCCTTGTACACAGATGTCTGTGTTCCTAGCCCCATGGGGACACCCTGTGGAAGAGAAAACACTTGCCTCCCGGGAGTTTCTAGTTTAAAAGGGGCACACGTGCATACACACAACACACACAGAAAAATAATAGCAGTGGGATAAGTACTGAAAATCTGGTGGAATACTAGCAAGTAAATTACGAAAATTTATGTATTTTATACATATCTGGGTTTTTGTTGTTGTTAATTAGAGCCATTTTCAAGTAGAAAAGCCATTTCACATCTGATTTAGTTTGTTTGTTTGTTTGTTTTGAGACAGTTTCCCCTCTGTTGCCCAGGCTGGGATGCAGTGGCATGATCGCGGCTCACTGCAACCTCCTCATCCCAGGTTCAAGCGATCCTCCTGCCTCAGCCTCCTGAGTAGCTGAGATTACAGGCATGTGCCACCACACCCGGCTAATTTTTGTATTTTCAGTAGAGACGGGGTTTCACCGTGTTGGCCAGGCTGGTCTCGAACTCCTGACCTCAAGTGAGCCACCCACCTTCGCCTACCAAAGTGCTGGGATTACAGACGTTAGCCACTGCGCCCGGCCTCACATCTGATTTTGAGGGAAAGAAGAAACTATCTTCGGCTTAAAAACGGTCAACATGACCCTGACTCCTGGAACATGCCATAGAGGGAAGAGTGGACAAAGCGCTAGGCTATTGGAGTCCTTTCCCTAACTCACTGGTGGTGACTTCCTCTCTGACAAATGGAAATCATTTGCCGCCTAAGAGCCTGTCGGGGAATGAAAGGTAATAAAGATGCTGGTGAACTGGCTGGGCGTGGTGGCTCACGCCTGTACTCCCAGCATTTTGGGAGGCCAAGGCGGGCAGATCACCTGAGGTCGGGAGTCCCAAACCAGCCTGACCAACATAGGGAAATCCCGTCTCTACTAAAAATACAAAATTAGCCGGGCGTGGTGGCGCATGCCTGTAATTCCAGCTACTGCCTGTAATCCCAGCTACTCGGGAGGCTGAGGCAGGAGAATCTCTTGAACCTGGGAGGTGGAGGTTTCGGTGAGCCGAGATCGCGCCATTGCACTCCAGCCTGGGCAACAAGAGCGAAACTCTGTCTCAAAAAAAAAAAAAAAAAAAAAAAAAAAAAGCTGGTGAATTGTTGTTTGCAGGGGAACAGGCCAAGCAAAATGCACAGCAACCTGCAGGAGGCCAAGCAAAATGCACAGTGACCTACAGGAAGAAACCTGACTGGGAGTTCCTCAGACTCACAGGAAATCAGTTGTGGGTCTGATTCCTCTCCCTCCTCAGCTCTTTCCAGAGCCTCAGCCTGGAAATCTCCATCTCCTCCTTGTGGGAGCTAGGTACAATGCAGTGATCCACGGCCAAGCTGAAGTCTCGAGTTAAATCCAAGACCTGAGGGTACTCCCAATCCCTCAGTGAAGTGCTGCGCTGGGTTGCCGGGCAACTAACTGCTACAGCTGGGGCAGAAGGTGGGTGGGATGCTGAGAAAAAAATACCAGAATCGAGGACAAGAAAAACAGAGTGGGAGGGGCTTTTCAAGGATCTACGCTTTAGAATTTACACCATCCTTCCAAATCGTAGCTTTGTTTCCGGGAACTGAGTTGTGTTTACCTTGGCTTCCGACTATGTTGGCAACAGGTTTCCTGCAAGAAACAGGCGCGTCTCCACACCCTCGTCCCTCCTCCCCACCCCCTGCCTTTCAATAGCCATCTTCCTGGAGCCGGAGGCATCCCAGATTAAGGGAGAGGTACGGGCCCTTTAAGCTTGACCTATGGAGGCGGACGGAGCTAAAACTGACGTGGAACCGGAATGTGAGCGGTGTCAGACACGTGGTACAAGGAGGCATTCATCTTGGAACCGGGCAATTGGCATTTCCGCTCTGGGTAGTACATCTTTAACATAATGTTAGGGAAGTATCCGTTCTTGGCTGCCTTTCTTTAATTGCGTTTCCAGTACTCTCTCGGTGATTCTACTCTTGAACATAGGATGAAATTTGGAATCACACTTCTCTTCCACTTCCATCCCCACCCTCTAATGCCCATATTAAAAATGGCGGCCGCCGCCTTCCGCAGTAATGGTTGTTCAGCGAACAAGATCCGGGCGGAAACAGTAGATAGGCGGGTGCAGCGGGGCAGAACATAGGTTGCCTTAGAGAGGTTCCCCGGTGTCCCGACGGCGGCTCAAGTCAGAGTTGCTGGGTTTTGCTCAGATTGGTGTGGGAAGAGCCTGCCTGTGGGGAGCGGCCACTCCATACTGCTGAGGCCTCAGGACTGCTGCTCAGCTTGCCCGTTACCTGAAGAGGCGGCGGAGCCGGGCCCCTGACCGGTCACCATGTGGGCCTTCTCGGAATTGCCCATGCCGCTGCTGATCAATTTGATCGTCTCGCTGCTGGGATTTGTGGCCACAGTCACCCTCATCCCGGCCTTCCGGGGCCACTTCATTGCTGCGCGCCTCTGTGGTCAGGACCTCAACAAAACCAGCCGACAGCAGATGTGAGCAGCGGCACACGGGTCCGGGCAGGGGGCAAGGGCTAAGGAAGGAGTGGCTAGGGCAGGGGCGGGAACCGGGGTGCTTGACCACACGTGAAGACTCAGAACTAACCCAGGCAGCCTGGAACTCGGAGAGGTGATGAGCAGAACTTACTCGCATTGGGGAAAGGATGGGTAGGGACCCTTGGGTATATCTGGGACTCTGGCAGTGGTGCTTTCCTCCCTCCGCCCCCCTCACCACTTACCAGAATAAAAAACCGGGAATGAGAAGACCACTTTGGGTTACTGTAACACCTGCACTAGTGAGTGACCACGCCCCCTTTCCTCTTCCCCCTCGCCCCCTTGCTGCTGGGCCACAGCCCAGAATCCCAGGGAGTGATCAGCGGTGCTGTTTTCCTTATCATCCTCTTCTGCTTCATCCCTTTCCCCTTCCTGAACTGCTTTGTGAAGGAGCAGTGTAAGGCATTCCCCCACCATGAAGTAAGTGGGTTCGTGGGGGTGATTGCCTGTGGCTGGGACCTGGGAGGTACC
Source organism: Homo sapiens (assembly GCF_000001405.40). NCBI lineage: Eukaryota > Metazoa > Chordata > Mammalia > Primates > Hominidae > Homo > Homo sapiens. Next base: position 119,100,966 of record NC_000011.10, on the reverse strand, counting down.
TGAGAGAACTGGGGTTATTTGGGCTTGTGGGGAGGGGCTAAGAAATTATCAGAAAAGACAGGAATTCTTAAAAGGTGGAATGGGAGCAGGCTTGAGTCATGGACCTGCCCGAGCCTCCCCCAGTTTGTGGCCCTGATAGGTGCCCTCCTTGCCATCTGCTGCATGATCTTCCTGGGCTTTGCGGATGATGTACTGAATCTGCGCTGGCGCCATAAGCTGCTGCTACCTACAGCTGCCTCACTACCTCTCCTCATGGTCTATTTCACCAACTTTGGCAACACGACCATTGTGGTGCCCAAGCCCTTCCGCCCGATACTTGGCCTGCATCTGGACTTGGGTAGGTAGTCCTACCACTGCTGCCCCTATGGCACCTACTTCAGGGAACCCTTCCTGGTGCTCCACATTCTCCTCCAAGTGTTCCTTTTTTGTCTCTGTGTCTTCCCAGATCCTTTCTGGTAGCCCTTCATCCTATCGTCCGTCCTCACCACTTTTCTAAAAATTCTTAAATCCTCCTCCCCTAGGTGGCACTACTTCTTTTCCTACCATCTCTCCCCGCAGGAATCCTGTACTATGTCTACATGGGGCTGCTGGCAGTGTTCTGTACCAATGCCATCAATATCCTAGCAGGAATTAACGGCCTAGAGGCTGGCCAGTCACTAGTCATTTCTGCTTCCATCATTGTCTTCAACCTGGTAGAGTTGGAAGGTAGGTGGGATTGGGGGTGGGGAGAGAGAAGTCTGAGTGTTAAAGGTGTGGCCTGATATATGACTTTGGGAAATTCAGGGGAAAAAAGCAATATGCATAGTAATTATAGAAGATAAGGGAAGCTACTTACTTTGCAAATAACAATGCAGATTTATTAAAAGTGAGAAAGAAAAATAGTAGCCCTGTCATTTATAGCTGGATTGGCACTAATAGCTAGGCCATGATCTTCTCCCATTGAATATAAACAGTTTCACAGAACCCCAACGTTACACAGGGTCATTCTGTGACCGTGATGGAGCAAGACTAAAACTAGACCCCTCCCTCTGTAATCATGTTTGAGCACAGGCAAAACCACAAGAACACTGAGCAACCCACAAAATGGCCAAGATCCCCTCTCTCGGCTAACATGAGCGACTGCTGCTGCTCTCCAATAACAACTCAGTTCCTACCACTTCTTTTTTTTTTTTTTTTTTTTTTTTTTGAGACAGGGTCTCCCTCTGTCATGCAGGCTGGAGAGCAGTGGCGCGATCTTAGCTCACTGCATCCTCTGACTCAAACGATCCTCCTGCCCCAGCCTCCCAAGTAGCTGGGGCTACAGGCATGTGCCACCACACCTGGCAAATTTTTGTATTTTTTGTAGAGACAGGGTTTCACCATGTTGCCTAGGCTGGTCTTGAACTCCTGGGCTCAAGTGATCTGCCAGGCCTCCCAAAGTGCTGGGATTACACTCTTGAGCCACTGTGCCCAGCCAGTTCCTACCATTTCTTAAATAAACATTAAAATGCTTGATCATAGAATTACTCTTGCTTTCTTTTCTTTTCTTTTTTTTTTTTTTTTTTTGAGACGGAGTTTTGTTCTTGCCCAGGCTGGAGTACAATGGTGCGATCTCGGCTCACCGCAACCTCCGCCTCCCAGGTTCAAGCGATTCTCCTGCCTCAGCCTCCCTAGTAGCTGGGATTACAGGCATGTGCCACCACGCCCAGCTAATTTTGTATTTCTAGTAGAGACGGGGTTTCTCCATGTTGGTCAGGCTGGTCTCGAACTCCTGACCTCAGGTGATCTGCCTGCTTCAGCCTCCCAAAGTGCTGGGATTACAGGCGTGAGTCACCGCACCCGGCCATGAATTACTCCTGCTTTCTAACAGCACCCAGTCCAGAGCAAAACTACTTTCTTTCACCCTCTCCCAAAATACCCAAAACAAACGCTACTACAAGCCCCTCCTAACACCCTCTTACTGAGACATTCCGTGGTTCCCAATGGTGTGTGGTTTCTGAAGTCTCCCTTTTTACAACAAGTCATTAAACCTAGCTTTGAACTATAGATGTGTTTCTGATGGTCTTTGGCTGATGAACATCAACAAGTGTTTATTAAAGCTAAGTACTTTTTAAACACTATCTTATTTAAATCTTGTAATGGTTTTATGTGGCAGATGTTATAATCAGCCCTGTTTTACAGATGAGAAAACAGGCTTAGAGAAGTTAAATGTGTCATGATCAAGATCAAGGTCACAAAGCTAAGAAGTAAAGTTGGTATCCAAACTTACATCAGAATGGGCTAAACCAAATTTAAGATAGTAACTAGTTTGGAAGGCTGCACGAAAGAGGTGGAATATTGGGAATTGCCTTGGGTGACATAAAAGGAGTATTGAGTTCTTAAAAGTGACTTGGGTGAGGTGGATGATAACAGCTGTAAACAGAACTTAGACAAAAATAGGACCAAGGTTTGCAGAGGAAGTGGGTATTAACTTTTCCTTCTTTCTTCCTTGCTTCCAAAGGTGATTGTCGGGATGATCATGTCTTTTCCCTCTACTTCATGATACCCTTTTTTTTCACCACTTTGGGATTGCTCTACCACAACTGGTAAGTAGGCCTGTGGATAAGGGGACAACTACCTGAACACATGGCAAAGATGGCCCTTATCATAACCCACCTTGTGGTGGTGAAGCTAAACCTGCGCATACCTCTATGGAGTTTTCTGCGTCTTCAGTTGGTCGTATTCTGAAATTTCTCTCTACCCAGTAGTAGTTAGGGATGAGTGCGTGGAGGCCCCAGGAATAGATGAATTCAGGGCCTTGGATCCTGCAGAGTTGCTGCACAACTGGAGTCTCCTCTGAGTCAGAACTAGGGTCAGGGCTAGTCCAGTGCCCATAGGGTGTGATGTGAGAGAAGGGATTGGTAATGCCTCTTGCCACTGGCTCGGATCCTCTTCCCCCACACAGGTACCCATCACGGGTGTTTGTGGGAGATACCTTCTGTTACTTTGCTGGCATGACCTTTGCCGTGGTGGGCATCTTGGGACACTTCAGCAAGACCATGCTACTATTCTTCATGCCCCAGGTGTTCAACTTCCTCTACTCACTGCCTCAGCTCCTGCATATCATCCCCTGCCCTCGCCACCGCATACCCAGGTAGCCGCTTTTTGGCTTGAAATGGACATCATAGCCTTTTCACTTGGGATATCTAATGCCAGCCTATACATTTGCTGTGCAAAGGGAGTGGGCCCAAAGAAGGGCTATTTCCATGTGAGTAGCCCTTTATAACTTACAAAGCACATTTATTTGCATAATCTGCTACAGTGGTTCTGATAACAGTAAGCAGCAGAGCCAGAAATAGATCTCAGGTTGACTCCACATTCAATGCTCTTCCTATTAGCCACAGGGAGGAGGGTTCAAATAGTGGCCCAGTCACATGAAGCTATCTTCCCCCCGCAGACTCAATATCAAGACAGGCAAACTGGAGATGAGCTATTCCAAGTTCAAGACCAAGAGCCTCTCTTTCTTGGGCACCTTTATTTTAAAGGTAACAGGGTAACAAGGAGGTAAGGCCCTAGGCTGCCATCCTGACCTTGAGGAATGGGGAACCTAGTCCTACATCAGATCCAAGGGGAACTTGAAAGCATTAAATAGATCCACATTCCTAAAGCATAGGTATTAGCTGAGGTTCTCTTCACCTCTGGTCCCTCCAGGTGGCAGAGAGCCTCCAGCTGGTGACAGTACACCAGAGTGAGACTGAAGATGGTGAATTCACTGAATGTAACAACATGACCCTCATCAACTTGCTACTTAAAGTCCTTGGGCCCATACATGAGAGAAACCTCACATTGCTCCTGCTGCTGCTGCAGGTGAGGATGGGAATCGAGTTTATACCTCCGTGTCTCCCTTTCTGCGTGATTCTTACTCCAGTCCATTTCTCCTTGCAGATCCTGGGCAGTGCCATCACCTTCTCCATTCGATATCAGCTCGTTCGACTCTTCTATGATGTCTGAGTCCCTTGATCATTGTCCTTTACCTCACAGTCTCTAGGATTCCTGACTCAGGCTGACCTCTCTCTCTGGTCCCAGACTGCCTCCTTGCCCAGGCCTCTCTCACTCTTCATACTCCTCCAGATTTTGTTCTCAGCATTTTCCTTTCTCTGTGATCATTGGCATCCTGGGCGTTTCTTGCCCTCTGCTGACTACTGATTGGATTTTACCTATGGCTTTCTGCAACTTGCTACTCTCTCCCTCTCCATCCCATCTTTGCAGCCTCATAGGGTGGGATACAGCAGCTTTTTTTGCAGTTATCCACACTCACATTTCAGAGTCCTGACTCTCAAGGAACCACTGGTTTTTGGGATAGAACTTGGGCCAGGGCTAGGAACACAGGCTCCACGGTGACATGTCATTTGATTGTAAATTAAGTGTTCTGATTAGTAAGAACTAAGCAGGGGGCCACATGCTCTCAATGGAGACAATAAAGTGTTGTCTTTTTCTTATTGTTTATGTAGGTATATTTCCTATATGGGCATTTTTGGGTAGATTGGGAGGGGTGGTGGGGGTACTTCCTCCAACAGGATGCCTATCTCTCTGCCCCATCAGACCCCGTCTAACAAGAAGTGAACAGAACTGAGACCAAACAGAACATATTGAATAAATATTTAAATCCTGATACTAGAGGTGGCATGGAGGGCCACAAAATTGAAGTTATCCTGTTTCCTGGCATGGGAACAAACTTTCAAAGAGTCACCGGGTGCAGTGGCTCATGCCTGTAATCCCAGCACTTTAGGAGGCTGAGGCAGGAGGATTGCCTGAGCCCAGGAATTCAAGACAGCCTGGGCAACAAAACGAGACTCCGTCTCTACAAAAATAAAATAATTAGCCAAGTGTGGTGGAGCACTTGTAGTACCAGCTACGAGGGAGGTTTAGCAGGGAGGATTCCTTGAACCCAGGAGTTCGAGGCTGCAGTGAGCTGAGATCACACTACTGCACTCCAGCCTGGGTGACAGAGCCAGTGACACCCGGTCTATTAAAAAAAGAAAGAAAGAAAAAAAAGAAAACTTTTAAGGGGTCTAATTTCTTCACTTTTCCATTCTCCCTTTGTCAGGTAGGAGAAGGGAGTAGGGAGTGACTGGACCTGGAAAGGAGGGCTGCAGTAGCTATAATATTGACCCCTTTCCTTTAAAAATCCTACGCCGGCACAGATTTCCCAGACGCTCTCTAGGTGGCCTCAGACTCCACCCCTTTGGTCTTCCGCTTCTGGTTTCCGATTGTAGTGTTTAAATCTCGCGCGCTTTACAAGGATTGGCTACATCAGCGGATAGTTGGCAGTCTGCGTGCTACCCCTCCTCCTCGCCTTTTCTCCCCGGGCAAAAGGTTTTCAAATTCGACCAATCAGCGGGCGCGCTCCCTCAGCCGAGCCGCGACACCCAAGGGTTAACCGCAACCAACCGGAGGCGGGTATTGGAGAAAAGAGCCAATCAGGAGGGCGCAGAGGTGTGTCCTGGGGGCTTATAAAGGCGGCCTCGCGGCGCGCGCGCGACAGCAGTTACACTGCGGCGGGCGTCTGTTCTAGTGTTTGAGCCGTCGTGCTTCACCGGTCTACCTCGCTAGCATGTCGGGCCGCGGCAAGACTGGCGGCAAGGCCCGCGCCAAGGCCAAGTCGCGCTCGTCGCGCGCCGGCCTCCAGTTCCCAGTGGGCCGTGTACACCGGCTGCTGCGGAAGGGCCACTACGCCGAGCGCGTTGGCGCCGGCGCGCCAGTGTACCTGGCGGCAGTGCTGGAGTACCTCACCGCTGAGATCCTGGAGCTGGCGGGCAATGCGGCCCGCGACAACAAGAAGACGCGAATCATCCCCCGCCACCTGCAGCTGGCCATCCGCAACGACGAGGAGCTCAACAAGCTGCTGGGCGGCGTGACGATCGCCCAGGGAGGCGTCCTGCCCAACATCCAGGCCGTGCTGCTGCCCAAGAAGACCAGCGCCACCGTGGGGCCGAAGGCGCCCTCGGGCGGCAAGAAGGCCACCCAGGCCTCCCAGGAGTACTAAGAGGGCCCGCGCCGCGGCCGGCCGCCAGGCCTCCCCATGCCACCACAAAGGCCCTTTTAAGGGCCACCACCGCCCTCATGGAAAGAGCTGAGCCGCTTCAGACTGCGGGGCAAGCGGGCCGCGGCTCCCTTCCCCTCCCCTCCCCTCGCCCGCCTTCGCCGCCCGGCCTCGAGTCCCCGCCCGCCCCCGCTCCCGTCCCGCACCGCCTGCCGCGTCGGCCTCGGGCCCTGCCCTGTCCGCCGTCCGCCCTCCGGTAGGGTTCGGGCCTTCCGGATGCGGCTTGGGCGCTCTTCGGGGACCTCCGTGGCGCGGAAGACCCGAGCCTGCCGGGGGGAGGCCGGCGGCGCCGCACCTGCCCGCCTCGGCGTTCGTGACTCAGCCGCCCCATCCCGAGTCGCTAAGGGGCTGCGGGGAGGCCGCAGCACCTTCTGGAAGACTTGGCCTTCCGCTCTGACGCAGGGCCGAGGTGGGCAGTCCAGGCCGAGAGGCCGGCGGCCCTGAAGGTGAGTGAGGCCCTCGGCAGCTGCAGCCGGGGTGTCTGGTACCCCCCCGGCGTGGTGCTTAGCCCAGGACTTTCAGACGCGGCCGCTGGCCGGGAGGCTTTGGTGGGAGAGACGCGATCGCCGATTTCGGTCTGGCGCCCCTTCTGCGGCCGGGACCCAGGCCTTTCACATCAGCTCTCCCTCCATCTTCATTCATAGGTCTGCGCTGGGGCCGGGACGAAGCACTTGGTAACAGGCACATCTTCCTCCCGAGTGACTGCCTCCTAGGAGGACATTTAGGGGAGGGCAGAGGCCTGCAGTTTGGCTTCACGGCTGGCTATGTGGACAGCAAGAGTCGTTTTCGCGGAAGCCGACTGGCAGCCAGGCCTGTCGGGCCCCCCGACGCCGCCCCATTTCCCTTCCAGCAAACTCAACTCGGCAATCCAAGCACCTAGATACCAGCACAAGTCGGTTAATCCCTGTCTGGACTGAGCCTCCGTTGGCTTCTGAACTGGAATTCTGCAGCTAACCCTTCCACGACTAGAACCTTAGGCATTGGGGAGTTTTAGATGGACTAATTTTATTAAAGGATTGTTTTTTTTTTAAATGGAGCGTTTGTTTTCATTTTGCAAGAGAGTTGTAGAATTAGTGACTTTCTATACTTTCCTGATAATAGGGGTGGGAGGGGCCATGCAATATAAACAGGCTCTACTGTTAACTGAAGGGGCAAACCATAGGAATTTAAGATTGTGGCTCTGTTTCTTGGTGTTCCTGGGAGACAATTTATTCTGTGTGAAATGAAAACTATTGAGGCAGAAGCAGAAAGGACGTACCAGGAGAACTCTGGGCAAAAGTCCCAGCCTCTGAGGTAAGGATGAAAGGGCTTTGTGTTTGTTCCTATCTTCCCGCCAACTCCACACGCGCACACACAACACCTTCAGAACTGGTTTATTAGTAGGATTGGTTACATTCAAAGGCTGTTGCTTGGACTTCTCTAAAGAGATGAAGCCCCCACATACTGAGGAGGCAAGGCAGTCATCAAGGCCCCAAGGTGAGGCAAATCCCTGGAAGGCTTGAACCCTGCAGTTCAGTCTCCCGGGGTAATCACTCCCCAGATAGCAGTGAGAATGGGGCACTGAGGCCCGGGATGTAGGCACTGGACAGCAGCAACCCAGGCATCTGTGCCCCACAAACCAGTTAATGGGCATCGTTAAGCTGCCGTGCAACATCCAGGATGTTTTTGGCTCCTTTGCTCAGCAACAAGTTGGCCAGGCTGATGCCCAAGTTCTGGGCAGCCAACTGGGGCCCTCGTGGAATGTTACGAGCAGTGATGCCTACCAACTGTGGGTCATCCTCAGGGCCATCTTCATGCTGTATGAGGGAAGGAGGTGGGATTTGGTGAGAACAAGAGATTATATGCACTCTTGTTTATTACCCCCTCGCCCTCCAGCTTTGGTACCTGGGCAGGGACATGGATGGTAGCCTGCATGGTCTCTTGTATGCTATCTGAGCCGTCTAGACTCCAGACTCCTCCAGTCAGGTACAGCTGGGGAAGAAAACAGTTGCCTCAGCACAGTCTGAGAGGGGACTACCTAGAAACCTGGGATGCACAGGAAGAAATGCCACAGTCCTCCTTTCCCTGGCTTCCCGCCCATTTCCCCCCACTTACTTGCCCATCCTTCATAGCTGTATGCACGGCTACTGGCACACTGCAGCCTCCTTCCTGTAACAAGAAGTTCTTGTGAGCTGCAAGGGCTCTTAACACCACCCTGTGACCACAGACCTGAGGACATCACTGAAAAGGCAACTGTGGGCCCAGACCTGGTCCTATCCATACACAACATTCAACAAGAATGAGTTAGCACTGTATACAGAGCATTCATGTAAGAAATCTTCCCTGCCACCTTTCCCAGCTCTCCAAGTCCCCAGCCCTCCACAGGTGGAGCACAGGCCCTACCAGGTGCCTCAGGAAGGCCCTTTCAGCGATGCAGCGAAGCAGAGTCTCGGGATCGTGCAGCACACCCACCAGATCCAAGATGTCCTGGTCCTTGGCTCGCACTTCCACGCCCAAGGCCCCCTGATGGAAAAACATCCTAGGACATCAGGCCTGATCTTTCCCCAACCAATGGCGCAAAGCATGGGACCACCTCTATCTACTTGCTCCCCAGCGCCTTTTGGACCGGTAGCATCCCAAGGTCTGCCCCTCCCTGAGAATGCTATTCTGGGGAAGCAGATGCAGAAGGTTGTGAGACAAGCTTCTTGGTTGAGAACAAAGGGAAGGCATATGTCACCATGTGGCTTCCCTGGTCAAGTGTACCTGGCCCACAGCATACATGCATTCCTCAGGGTGCAGGATCTGTGGAGGCGGAACAGGGAGTCAAAAGGGTGGACACGGGGGTGTCTAAAAGCACCTGGCAGTGAGATGGGAGTTCCCTATCATCTAGAAAGCCTGGGTAGGCCTAAGTGTGAGTCTGGCCTCTTTTTTTTTTTTTTTGTAAATTTTCTCCATGAAAGCCTAGAGTCTGGCCTCTGATTCACAATCTTCCCAGCCTACGGTGTTAGAGGTGGGGTGGTCAAGAAGTGAAGACAGATGGTCCTTGACTTACAATAGGGTTACATCCTGATAAACCCATTGTTAAGTTGAAAACAAGCTGAAAATGCATTTAATACACCTAGCCTACCTTACATGTGCTCAGAACACTTAAGATTAGCCTATTATAGTTGGACAAAATCATCTGACACCAAGCCTGTTTTACAATAAAGTGAATATCTCATGTAATGAATACTGTACTGAAAGTAAAAAACAGAATGGCTGTATGGGTACTAAGTACAGTTTCTACTGAACGTATATCGCTTTCACACAATCATAAAGTCTAAAAATCCTAAATTGGGGATGACTGTAAGGCAGAAAGGAGATGCAGATGAGCTGGGGAGAGGATAGGGGCAGGCCCTACCTGCCCCACCCGGTTGTGCCAGCCCATGCGCTGCAGGCCAGCTGTTGCCAGGATGATGGCACTGAACTCCTGCTGCTCGTCCAGCTTCCGAAGCCGGGTGTTGAGGTTTCCCCGCTGTGGAGAGTTGCTAAGGACCACAGTGTCGGGCAATCTGGGGCCTCGTGCGGTTCCCTCTGCCTGAGTCTGTCTTTCCCTCTCTAGCTGGCTGACTTTCAGTCATCTTCCAGCTCTCAGCTTAATGTTAACAGCTAACAGTTACATCATACTTACTACATGCCAGACACTGCTCTAAAAGTACTTTCCATATGTCAGCTCATTTCATCTTCACAACAACCCTGTGAGGAAGGTAGTATTATTATCCCCACTTTACAGATAAGGAAAATGACATAGGGAGGCTAAATAACTTGCCAAGGTTACAAGACCTCTGAGAAACCTTCCCTGACACCCCAGACTTCTGTGTTTAGATGTTCCAACTAGAAGTTTCCAGAAAATTCCCAACTTCACTTATTGGAGCACTTAGCACATACTATTTTTAAATTTAGTTTTATGAAATGTACTACATATTCATTGTAAAAGTCAAGACAATATAGTAGCATATAAAAATGGAAGTACTGACCGGGTGCGGGGCTCAAGCCTGTAATCCCAGCCCTTTGGGAGGCCGAGGCTGGTGGATCACCTGAGGTCAGGAGTTTGAGACCAGCCTGACTAACATGGTGAAACCCAGTCTCTACTAAAAATACAAAAATTAGCCAGGTGTGGTGGCACCTGTAATCCCAACTACTTAGGAGGCTGAGGCAGGAAGATTGCTTGAACTCAGGAGGCAGAAGTTGCAGTGAGCCTAGATTGCGCCACTGCACTCCAACCTGGGCAACAGAGCGAGACTCCGTCTCAGAAAAAAAAAAAAAAAAAAAAGGAAGTACTCCCTATCCCTCCAGAAGTAGTCACTATTCAGTTCAGTATAACTGCATTATCCCTAAGTAAGACGTAAACTCTACATATGCAGGGAAATGTTTATCTTGCTCACCATTATCCCCAATGCCTTGCACTCTGAACACTTGTCTGGGGCTAAGAAAACATTAGACTGTAAATGAGTGGACGGATGAGTGCATGGAAAGACAGACAGGCCACTGACCCCACGGGCTGCTTGCTGGAAGCCCCTTCCACTCTCCGGACTCCCAGAGCCCTCTAGACCTTGTCTTTTTCCTTGGCTGCTGTCTCCGTCACTCTTCCAAAAGGATCCGTCACTCTTCTAAAAGGATACAATACTCCTGAACTCCAGATGCGGGAACTTTCTCTGCAGCTGGGCTGCTCTTCGCAGGGAGCTGGTTCCCACCACACTGCCCAGAGAGAAGTTACAATGAGATTTTAACACTAGGCAGTCACTGTTCCTTTCCTCCTCCTCCCATCCCTGCATCTTCTGGGCACATCCCACCAAGCTGCCTATCCAGGCCCCACTTACCTCTTCTCTGGCAGGGTTTCTAGGGTCTTCCCAACAAATTTTGGGTGAAAGACAACAGCATCATGAGGGTTTTCCCGCCTGGGGGAGGAGGGAAGGGCACAGAATGAGGGAAGAGATTTAAGTTCAGATCACCTCTATTCTCTCTCGATTGCCAACTCACTGGTATTTCTTGAGTTTTCTGCCACCAGTCAACACTCCTCAGGGCAGAGGAGATAACCCTGAAGCAGAGGGTCAGGCCCCAAAGGGAAAGGCAAAGGTTCACATGATGCCTACCCCTGCCCAAGCCCCTTACTTGCAAGACTCTTACTTGCAGATGGCTCCGATGGTGAAGCCAGGAGGAAGCACAGTGGGCAGGTCCTTCAAGGAGTGAACAACCAGGTCCACTCTATAGAGATGGGAGAGGGGGGCAAAGAGAAAGGGTATGAGCAGCCAGCCTTCACCCCTTCTCCACCCACCCCTGCCTCTACTTCAGTGGTGGAGCCTAGGGCAGTTCAGGAAGCACACCTTCTCAAGATCTCAGGAGCATGAAAACTGCTCTCCTCTCACTCTCCCTCCTACTCTCCCTCCTACCCTCCCTCCCCCAGCCATTCTTGCAGTCCAGGCAGCCAGATGGCTCAGAACCAGACACTCTCCTTTTCTGAAGCCTGAAAAAACCCACCTATGAGCTGCCTTCAGCCTCTCTGAGGGTTTAAGCCCAGCAGCCTATCTGACACCCCGGGTCCCAGCAAGAGACCTAGCATACTAGGGTCCCAGCAAGAGACTGGGAGGGCACCACACTCTCCTATCTTTACTTACTCATTCTTCTCCAGGGCATGTTCAAGCTCCTTGGTAAACAGGCTTTTCTCTCCAATCTGCCGGACAGAAAGAGCCTGAGTGAATCCCTTCAGGGAAGGAAAGAAGAGTGGGGACAAGAACTGGGGAGGAAGATGTTGTTACCTTAGAGAGTGCAGTATCAAGAATCTTGTCCCCTGTGGTGGACATAGCAACTGAGGAGAGAGTCAATCAATCAGGTGCTCATTATTGATCAGCATTTACTGAGCCTAGCGCTGTGCTACGATTCATGATGGGGACAGAGGCACATAATCCCTGGTTCCTGCCCTCTGAGTATATACAATCGAGCAGGAAGACCAGAAACACTCATAAAAAGACCCAAAGCTCAAGATGTTAAATGCCAGGCTAATCCAGGTAGTCAGAGCTGGAGGTATTCAGAGGAAAGCACCTTCAGAACTGGGAGCAGCCCAGAAGGAATCTCGGGGCAGCGGGACGGGCTTTAGCTATAGGCAAAGCCAGAAATGTTGTGTTCTCTCCTCTCGGGGTACTGGGCTTCCCATTAGCTTCCACTCCTTTCCAGAAAACTCACTGATTTCAAACTGCAGGCCAGGGTACGAGGCTTTCAATGTTGCCACCACACTGTCCGTCTGTATGCGAGCAAGCTGCGGGTAGAGACTTGGATTAGTCCTGCCCTTCCCAGCCACGGCTCAGACTCTTTAGACTGTCACAGGTTAGGCAGATCCTGAAGGGACTGGAATTTCCATCTGGGCATGAGAAGGGGCTTGGGAGCCCTCTGCACTCCAACAATTTTCCCAGCCTAGGGATGATCTTGCCATAGAATGTAATCTGCCATTTCCCGGGGAACTTAACGCCCAGCCACCCCATCTCCTTCATACTAGGAACTAACCCTCTGAGTCCCCCAATTTGTGATGCTGTGAGCATCATAACTGTTCTGACAAACCTCCTCCACCCCGGCTCCTGCACCCACCTGGCTCTTGCGGGTACCCACGCGAATCACTCTCATCTTTGGGCTGTTTTCTTCCTGCAGAAAAAGTCCCCAGGTCACAGTCCCCTCTGTTTCTAGTGTTCCTCAACACCTTGTCCAAGAACCAGAATCACTGGCTTGGAAGAAAGGAACTTCAGAACCTGGCCTGTGGCCAGCTGAGTCTCAGAGTGGGGAAATACTCCAAGGCTGGTCCCTTTAACCTTCCTCAGTACCTTCTGCCCTCCTCAGGGATCCAGAGAAGCAGAGACTAGAGGGAGGCGATAGTAGGACCTGCTGTTGCTGCCGCTGCAGTAACCAGGACACTGAGCCCTGAAGCCCACCTTGACCAAGGCAGTTGTCAGTGGGAGTGCTGTGCACAGCCAGGTGGGTAAAGAGATAAGGCCCATCAGCCTGGCCACAGGAAGGGTGGGGCCTGCAGCTGGCAGGGGCAGGGCAGCCAGGACCACACTGGGGAACCTGTGCTGAGTCACTGGAGGATAGATTCATTATCTACAACAGACAAGGCACTTGAGAAAATTTCAGTGCCATCCAGATGCCACATGGAGTAGACTAGAGTCTAAGAGCAGCAAGCTGCCACCTTCTCCAGCAAGAGGCCCAGATGTCTGGCTACAAAAGAAGTCAAGAGGATGAAGATCCCACAGTGGGGAAAGCTGACAGTATTAAGGGTCCCTTAATCTGGCTGGACTGCATGCATTAAGGACTGAGGTAAACGGATCTGACGTACAGTCCTGCTCAGCCTCTTGGCTGGGTGACCTTGGGTACACTGTCCCACCAGGATCTGTTTGTTCATCTATAAAATGAAAAGGTTGGACTCAGGTTTCTTCTGCCTCAGATGTTCCATAAGACTAGGAGGCTGCGCTGCCTAAAGTTCGTGCACCTAGAGTGCTGCCTCTGGTTTCACCAACATGGAAATATTAACAGGCCAGAGCCCAAGTCAAGAACTCAAGAGGACACGCCTCTTCCTCCTGCCAGAGTACCTTGGACAAAAGTATTCACTGCTAAGCACGTAGAACTGAATTCTTCAGTCTAAGACGGAGGTCCCATTTCTCTCTTTTTTTTTTTTTTTTTTTAGACAGAGTCTCACTGTTTTGCTCAGGCTGGAGTGCAGTGGCGTGATCTAGGCTCACTACAACCTCCACCCCTGGGTTCAAGCTGGAACTACAGGCATGTTCCACCATGCCCAGCTAATTTTCACATTTTTAGTAGAGACGGGGTTTCACTGTGTTGGCCAGGCTGGTCTCGAACTTGTGATCCTCCTGCCCCAGCCTCCCAAAGTGCTGGGATTACAGGCGTGAGCCACCACGCCTAGCCTGATCCCATTTCTTTCTACATCAGACAGTAGCCACTGTAGATACTGATACTGTCGACAGTCAACATTCCCTGATCTGGGATGTTCATCCTATGTAGTTCCTTTTTTTTTTTTTTTTGAGACAGAGTCTCCCTCTGTTGCCCAGGCTGGAGTGCAGTGGCATGTTCTCAGCTAACTACAACCACTGCCTTCCAGGTTCAAGCGATTCTCCTGACTCAGCCTCCCAAGTAGCTGGGACTACTACAGACGCACACCACCATGCCCAGCTAAAATATGTGTGTGTGTGTATATATATATATATATTTTTTTTTTTTTTCTTTTTTTGAGGGGGAGTCGCGCTCTGTCACCCAGGCTGGAGTGCAATGGCGCGGTCTCGGCTCAGTGCAACCTCCACCTCCCAGGTTCAAGCGATTCTCCTGTCTTAGCCTCCCAAGTAGCTGGGACTACAGGCGCATGCCACCACGTCGGCTAATTTTTTGTATTTTTAGTAGAAACGGGGTTTCACTGTGTTCCCTAGGCTGGTCTCGAACTCCTGAGCTCAGGCAATCCACCTGCCTCGGCCTCCCAAAGTGCTAGGATTACAGGCATGAGCCACTGTGCCCGGCCTAATTTTTATATTTTTAGTAGAGACGGGGTTTCACCATGTTGGTCGGGGTGCTATGGAGTTCTTTTGCACCCAGACATCTGGGGCCTCTATTGCCGAAGCAGGTGACAGCTTTCTGCCCTCAGACTCTGGTCTACTCCATGTGATCACTCCAATAAATTAACCCTGGGAGACCCTTTGCAAATTAGGCTAGGCTTGATATTAAACGTGGCCACCAAAATTCTGGGCCACAGGGAGCCCACAGAAAGGACTCTAAGGTCCCAGAACTACTAGGTTCAAACAATTCCTTAAGTTCATTGAATGTGCACAGCATATCCAAGTCAAACCGTTTCATTAAAAAATAAAACACTGAGCACTTCTATGTTGAAGCTATTGCTTTTGCATATTGTTGTCGTCTCAAAAATCCTATCAGGTGGACAAGACAGGCACCTTTGGGACCATGTTACAGAAGCAACGGGTGGCATCAAGGGATGAGGTGACTTGCCTAGGGTCACAGAGCTAATAACCGAAAGAGAGTTGGGGCCACAATTCAGATCTTCCTACTCCTAGTCCAGGGCTCTGGAATGACTGCAAGAGCAAAGATCCCAGCCCTCACCAACAGGCTGGACAGGGGGAGATTAGCAGCTCCCCATCTCTTTCTTATCTCGGCCTGGCAGTGGCCTCCACCAGCTCTGCAGTTTGTCTGTGCACAAGCCCAGGGCTCGGCAAGCAGGCTCGTAATGGAAAGGCCCACGGCGGCCTCCCACCCACGGTAGTAATTCAGTAGGTGTGTCACAGCTGGGGACTTGGAGCGTTGGCTGTGGCTGGGAGACCACTATAACACAAAAAGAAGGCGCACTTCTAAGACGTTTGTGTGCAGTTCGGAGGCTTGGCTGATACTCTCTCCTATGAATCAAAAGTGGAACGTGTCTTCCCAAAGGGGCCGTATCTGCATCCGCCTCAGCCCAGCCTCGAATGAAAGGACCCCGTCTGTGTAGACGAACGTTCTTGGTCTGGGTCACTAAATCTAGAGCCGTGCATCCCAGGCCTGATGGGAATCCCACCCAGATGCCCGCAGGGACCGGAGTTCCGTTCCAAACAATCCTTCCACTCTTAACCCAGTATCACCGCTCTCTGATTTCCCCATTCCTTCCGGAGGGCAACCGAGCTACTGGCCCTTTAAAAGCTACTCGGACCAAAAAAAAAAAAAAAAAAAAAAAAAAAAAGATAGCCGTTCTGACCAATAGACGACTGAGGATGGCAACCTGGGGCCAATCGCTGCACGGCTCGTCCAGAAGCCCAAAGTGTGCTGGTCACCGGCTCAGCACTCACCGCCGTTGCAGCCGCATTGCCGTTACCAGACATGGCTCCGCTTGGAAAGTAGGCTGTGTGTGGGTGCCGCTAAGGTCCCCCGGCCCCGGGAAGCCGGGGGCTCCGGCCGGCGAGTACCGGGGACACGTGGGACCCGAGGTCGTCCTACAGTCTGACTCCTGGTCTCCGCAGAGCCTCGCGTCACTTCCGGCGCCCTCCCTCGAAGGGGAGGTCCCTCCCTCTGGGCGGGAATTGGAACATTGCGACAGTGGACCTCCCCATTCGACCACCCCATTCCCCAGCTGTGACATGAGCAAGTAGTGCAGCTTCTATGGCGCTTCCTTTGCTCTGTTCAAACTTAGCTTTGCTACAACCTTGAAATAGGCAGCATTTTTCTTTTTGATACGGGGTCTCACTGTGTCCCCAGACTAGAGTGCAGCGGCATGACCACGGGTCACTGCAGCCTTGACCTCCCGGCTTCAGCGATCCCCCCACCTCAGCCTCCCAAGCAGCTGGGACTACAGGCGCACATCACCACGTGGGACTAATTTCTAGATTTTTTTATAGAGACAGCGGGGAGGTGGCCTCACTATGTTGCCCAGGCTAGTCTCGAACTCCTGGACTCAAGCAGTCATCTCGCCTTGGCCTCCCAAAGTGCTGGGATTACAGGCGTGAGCCACTGGCCCAGCCAGCATTTCAATTCTTAAAATGAGGAAACTGGTTCAGAGAGATTAAAGGTCATGCCTAAAGACAAGTAACTGAAGTGGGAGCACAAACGCTACATGTAGTGAGAAAAGGGCTTGTTAGGAAAAGTGCTTTCCCATGAACATAATTTTTTTTTTTTTTTTGAGACGGAGTTTCGCTCTTGTTGCCCAGGCTGGAATGCAATGGCACGATCTCAGCTCACTGCAACCTCCGCCTCCCGGGTTCAAGCAATTCTCCTGCCTCAGCCCCCCGAGTAGCTGGGATTACAGGCACGCACCACCACACCCAGCTAATTTTGTATTTTTGGTAGAGATGAGGTTTCTCCATGTTAGTCAGGCAGGTCTTGAACTCCTGACCTCAGGTGATTCGCCCACCTCGGCCTCCCAAAGTGCTGGGAGTACAGGCGTGAGCCACCGCGCCTGTAATCATGAACATAATTAACAATCATGATTATTAATAATCACCCAGCTAGGTGCAGTGGCTCACACCTATATTCCCAGCACTTTAGGAAGCCAAGGCAGGAGGATTGCTTGAGCCCAGGAGTTTGAGACCACCCTGGGCAACATGGTGAAAACCTCATCTCCACAAAAAATACAAAAATAGCCAGGTGTGGCGGCACACACCTGTAGTCCCAGCTATTCAGGAGGCTGAGGTGTGAGGATCGCTTGAGCCCAGGAGGTCGAGGTAGCTGTGAGCTGTGGTGGTGCCACTGCACTCTAGCCTGGATGACAGAGTGAGACGCCCATTTTTTTTTTTTTTTTTTTTTGAGATGGAGTTTCACTCTTGTTGCCCAGGCTGGAGTGCAATGGTGCAATCTCAGCTCACCGCAACCTCCACCTCCCGGGTTCAAGCAATTCTCCTGCCTCACCCTCCTGAGTAGCTAGGATTACAGGCACCTCCCACCACACCCAGCTGGTTTTTGTATTTTTAGTAGAGACGGAGTTTCACCATGTTGGTCAGGCTGGTCTTGAACTCCTGACCTCAGGTGATCCGCCCACCTCAGCCTCCCAGAGTGCTGGGAATACAAGCATGAGCCACCGCGCCCGGTGAGACCCTGTCTTAAGAAGAAAAAAAAAATCACCCATGTGCTCAGCACTGTACAAAGAACTGAACACCTATTTGATCCTTAGGCTTTCATAATAGCCACACAGCATAGGTGTTATAATCCCTAACGTACAGATGAAGACACAGGTTGAGGGGGAAAGGGTGGGAGCAGGGTGAGGGATAAGAGACTACACATTGGGTACAGTGTACACTGCTTGGGTGATGGGCACCAAATCTCAGAAATCACTACTAAAGAACTTATTCACATAGCCAAATACCAACTGTTCCCCAAAAACCCACTGAAAAAAATACATCTCAAAAAAAAAAAAAAAACATGTTGAGAAGGTAAGATGTGCCTTAAGTCAAACAGCACAACTAGGATTCAAACCCAGCTCAGTAGATGCAAAGTCTACTCATAGCATAGCAGCTACAATACTGCCACTGTTTTTTAATTTTTTACTTTTTGAGACAGGGTGTCTGTCACCCAGGCTGGAGTGCAGTGGTGTGATCAAGGCTCACTGCAGCCTCAACTTCCTGGGCTCAAGCAATCCTCCCACCTCAGCCTCCTGAGTAGCTGGGACCACAGGCAAGCGCCACCAGGCTGGGCTAGTTTATTTTTATTTCTTGCACAGACGGGGTCTCACTATGTTGCCTGGGTGGCTGGTCTTGAACTCCTGGACTCAAGCGATCCTCTCACCTCAGCCCCGCAAAGTGTTGGGATTACAGGCATGAACCACCGCGCCCAGCCCATGGCAATCCTAAATACTACCTAAACCACAGTGTCAAACTTACGTCCTCCAATTAAACAACGTAGAAGATGAAATTAGGTGAGGCTGTGGGGAAAACGACAACATAGGAGCAATTTTCAGACAGGCAGCACCACCCAAATTACACGGGGACACCTAGCAACATAAACTTTAGCTGACAATTTCAGAGAGGGAAAGGTGTTTCCAGAAAGGACCTTTTATCCCGTTTATCATCTGGTATTAAGTATAGCAAGACACCAACCTACCCATTATTTAAGGTAGGTTAAGCCCAAAGCTCCCTACCAGAATCTGCCTCCTGCTTGAATATTTTGCCCAAACTACAGCCATAGAGACCAGGAAGAGGAAAGAGTAAGAGCTGTTTTGGGGGTCTTGGTCCAGGCTGCTCCTGGAGCTCAGTCATTAGGTCTTTTGCAGAGGTTCTTCAGTAAATTGAACTGTATGCGATGCCACAGGCCCCACCCATTACCAGAACGAGACTGAGTCAACATGGTCTCCAAGAAAACCGTAGGAGGGAAGTGGAACGCCAGGAGAGCAGAGGGAAGGAAGTCCATCATGCAGTTAAGAATCACCAGGAAGTCCCCAGAAAAAAATCCTTAAGCTCCCAAATCATTATATTCTTTTATTTATAGACTCTGAGAGCAAGGACCCAAGCACAGCCTGGTGCTCTTGGATAGAGAAGAAAGCAGCTATTGTCCACACTCAGAGGTTGCTGAGGTGCCCTCCCCCACTGATCTGGAATGATCTACACTGCTAGTGAAGAGGAGGGATGGCAAGCTGACTAAATAAGAAGGCAGGGAAAGAAAGTCCGCTTTAGTTCTGAGGGCTGTGACATTAGATGAGAGTGGAGCCCTGGGCATGTCAGCCAGCCTTCTGTGTAACGCCCGCCCAGGTCCCATTGTGTCTGTTCTCTTGGTCCTCCACTGTTGCCCACATCTTCCTCCAGGCTGCTTAAGTGCCCCTCCTGGAGTGCATGAGTAGGTCGCGTTGCAGCCCAGCCTCCAGGCTGGAGGTCAGTCTGGCTGTGGGAGGGTCGGTCAGCAGAGTCAATTTGTTGAAAACACCTCTGCCAAAGTAGTCAGCAATCACAGAAAAGCTGTCATTGGAGCACTTGAGCTGCAGGAGAAGAGGAGGGAAGGAATACGAATCAGAATCAAAGTGCTTGTTTCTTAAATGAGGAGGTGATAAGGAAACAAGCCCTCCAGTGACTCTGTGACACTAGTGGGAATCCCCTGGCCCATCTAGCCCACTCATCCCCACCTGATGCTGGAATTGATCATGGAGATCTCGTTTCTGTTCCTGGGCCCGGATCATATCCATGACCTTCCGGTTTTCAGGGAGGCAGGTGGGGCAGTCAGCATCACTTTCCGAGTAACTCTCAAAGCAGTGTTGGTGGAAGGAGTGGCCACACAGGAAGTGGACTGAGGGCAACTCCAAGGCACTGTTACAGATGCTGCACTTGGTCTTTTGGAAAATCTTAGGACTACAGGGAAGAAAGACCAGAAGTGAGTGGCAAAAGTGAGGGCAAGGCCAGGAGTCAAGGATGAGAAAGAAGGCAGCTGAAGTGCACAGGGCAAGGTCCCTGGTAAGGCCCCTGAAGGCCCTGCCCTGCTCTTCTTATCGCCTTAAGGGAGTCAAATGAATACAACAGCCCTGGACCTGCAGTGAGTCTCAGCATGCTCCCAACAAGGCCAACTCAGCCTGGGGATTGTTTCCTCTGTCTCCATTTTCACAACTGCCACTAAATTAACTTTCAGGTCTGTACTCAGATGTGACCCTTTCACTGAGGCCTTTCCTGGGCCACCTTCTCTAAACTTGTTAACACACTTCTCCCACTCCCCTTGCTCAATTCATTTGCCACTCAGAACTTATCACCACCTAACATACTACAAAACTTTGTCTATTTGGCTGGGCACAGTGGCTCACACCTGTAATCCCAGCACTTTGGGAGGCCGAGGCAGGTGGATCACCTGACGTCAGGAGTTCTAGACCAGCCTGGCCAATATGGTGAAACCCAGTCTCTACTAAAAATATAAAGATTAGCCAGGCATGATGGCAGGCACCTGTAATCCCAGGTACTCAGGGGGCCAAGGCAGGAGAATCGCTTGAACCCAGGAGGCAGAGGTTGCAGTGAGCCGAGATTGCGCCATCACACTCCAGCGTGGGGGACAAGAGCGAGACTTCGTCTCAAAAAAGAAAAAAAAAATTTGCCTATTTGGCCGGGTGCAGTGGCTCACGCATGTAATCCCAGCACTTTGGGAGGCCAAGGCAGGCAGATCCCCTGAAGTCAGGAGTTCAAGACCAGCCTGGCCAACATAGTGAAACCCTGTCTCTACAAAAATACAAAAATTAGCCAGGCATGGTGGCAGGCGCCTGTAATTCCATCTACTCAGGAGGCTGAGGCAGGAGAATCGCTTGAACCCAGGAGGTAAAGGTTGCTGTGAGCTGAGATCGCGCCACTGCACTCTAGCCTGGGTGACAGAGTGAGACTCTATCTCAAAAGAAAAAAAAAAAGTTTGCCTATTTAACATGTTTGCTGTCTGTCTCTTCTACAACATAAAGCTCCATGAAGGCTTTTTGCCTGTGCTGTTCAGAATAGTGTCTGGGACACCACAGAGGCTCAATATTTGTAGAATGAAGAAACTGTTGTTCTCTAATAAATATTTTACAGAATGTTAAGGGCAGGTAAGATTTCAGAGTTGGGATTATGGCCGGGCACCGTGGCTCATCCCAGCACTTTGGGAGGTCAAGGCCGGAGGATCACTTGAGGCCAGGAGTTCGAGACCAGCCTGGCCAACATTATAAACCCCATCTCTACTAAAAATCCAAAAATTAGCTGGGCTTGGTGGCACACGCCTGTAATCCCAGCTACTTGGGAGGCTGAGGCGGGAGAATCACTTGAGCCCAGGAGATCAAAGCTGCAGTGAGCCGTGATCACACCCCTCCACTCCAGCCTCAGTGACAAGATCCTGTCTCAAAAAAGAAAAACACCAGAACGGCTTCCAACCACAATACGGATGTGTTTAGAAGTGGTAGAATACAGGCATATAAAGAACAAAAAGTACCTGCTACAAAATAATATCATCCAAAGCCCAATAAATAATGATCTATGTAATAAACCATTTTTTGGAATTCCTCAATTAAAACACAACTTGAAGAATCAAAATGCTCAAAAGCACTCCATAGTATCCTCTACGGAAAGTACTTAGTAATGAATACCCTGTGAAGGGCAAGTTATCCCCTGGACTCCTCCACATATCCATGCCCCGGGTACCTGGCCTTGAGCTCTTGGATCTCCTGGCGGATACGGGTGGTCTCCTCTCGGTACCGCCGCACCCGCAGCTCATCCTGTGCAATCTGCTGGCTCTGTTTCTGTAGTTTTTGGACCAGGTAGTCCCTGATGACGGAGAGTGTGGCTGTGGAGTTGTGGGCCAGGGTCTGCACCACTGAGATTGGGGTCCAAGAGGAAACAAGACAATCAACCACGTGTGGCACTCTCTGGATAAAGGTGAAGGGCCCCTGCCACAGAGCCCAGCTGTCAGCAGCTTGTCACCCACCCATCTGTCTTCCCAAGTACCTAGAAGAGGTGGCATGAGGTTCTTGTTCTCGATATGCTTGAGGACAGCTGCCACATACTCCTTGCAGTCCTCCTCCTTGCGAGCGAAGTAGCTGAGGGCCTGCTCCCACAAGGAGGGGTCCTGCTCCCCATGGCGCTCACACACGCTGATGACCTGCCGGTACTGCTCGTGCTGCATGTGGTAGTGCATGATCTGCTGGAACCTGCGGCCGGGGCAAGGGCACACCTCAGTGGCTGTCTCTGGAAAATGACTTGGATTCTTCCCCTTTCCCTGAAATTCCCCAAACTCTTACAGCTTCCCCTGCTCATAAAGGTAAAGGACACCATCCTGGAAGTCGTGCATCTGGCACAGGACCAGGGCCTTGTCAAAGACGTCGCAGAAGCGACCACTCTTCAGCAGGGAAATGGCCTCTGCGTGAAGCTTCTCTTTGACCTGGAGAGGAAGGAGGGCAGAGCTGCTGGACAAAAGGGGAAAATCACAAGGTCTCTTGGGACAAAGCCAGTCAACTCTTTCCCTCAGTCCATTCCCTCTTCACAGAGGACCATTGAGCCCCGAGGTAAGGTGTTACTGGTCTAAGGAATGCAGTGAAAGGCAGCCACCAAGACGGAAGAATGGAGACGGCACGAACTGTCTTTTCTCCTGAAGCCCTGGCCAGGCCTCACCTGTGGATCCTTCTCGTGGGCCCAGTTCTGCAGTCGCAGCTCAAGGAGTGTGTCGTAGATCCCCTGGGGTGAGTCTGGCTGCACTTCACTCATGTGCTCTAGGAAGGCTTTCAGCTCTCGCGGGTTATTGGCAAAGATGGGGATGAACTCCTCAGAGTTGGCCTAGGATGGCAAGAGAGGAAAAAGGAGGCTGAATGAGTGGGCGTGATATACAGGAAGCCCTTAAGGTGATCCCCACAGTCTGAAGCTCTTTTCCCTGCAGCCTCACCCTGCAGCCTGGGGCCTCCCTATCGCTGCGGCCTTCGAGGCTGGGCCGATAATCAGTACAAAGTCCCTTCAGCAACTGAGTTGTCTGCTCTGGTATGTGGTGCATGAGGATCTTGCCGTAGCGCTTCATGTTGCTCTCTGCCTGCTCAAAAGGCAGCTTGCCGATGTATCGAAGGGCTTCCTGATAATTCTGTGGAAAAGTAAAGGGCAGAATAGTGTATACTCCTGCCTCAGCCACCAGGAAGCACTTTCACCATTCTGGAGATGTCTTCAAAAACGACAGGGCTCTGCCCAAGTTGAGAGTCTCACCTCCACTCAGGAGGATGGGGTGGGAGGATCACCTGAGCCCAGGAATTCAACTCCAGCCTGGGCAACATAGTGAGACCCTGTCTCTTGGGGAAAAAAGACAGTCTCACCTACCTTAATGTCTTCTAGCTGGATCTTCAGGTACCACTCATGATGTGCATGGTTCTCCGCCAGATACAGGGCATGGGAGTAGTAGCCAGCCTGCCGGAGGACCTTGATGGCTGTCTCCACATCAAAGTGGACTTCACTCTCACTCTTTTTCTGCCAGGGAGACATGAGACAAAATCATTTACACAGAGGGAGATAGAGAAGGGAGAGGAAACAGGCACCTGACTTTCAGATTCCTAAGGTGATATCATAACGTTCACACTTTGAAAATATTATGCTACTCAGCCTGTGGGAGTTTCTGACTAAAGTTTTCCTCTGCCCCTACCATTAGAGGGACACCGCTAGGGACAGGACTTCCCCAGTGCCACCACCCTGGGCTTAGATACCATGGGAATTTCTAGAATCATAAAACAAGAGGGGAGATGGCACCGAACTAACAGGAACAGCCACTCCTCTAAATAAGGTCAGCCCTTTCCTCTCCCTATGTCTTGCTGAAACGAACAAGTCCCGGTGGAGCCACCTCATGCTCAGTGGGGCCTCCAAGACTTCCCCACCAACAACATCCTGCACCTTGATGAACTCCTCCAGCTTCGAGCTGTCCTTGAGCTTGGTATAGCAGTTGAGGAGCAGGGTGGTATGGTCGGCATTGGCCAGGGATTGTCGGTGCAGGGTCTGCAGGTAGGCAGTCAGGTTGTGAATGCGCTGGGCATCCAGAAACTTGCGGATCACGTAGGATGGCTCCAACTTTCCAATGGTTCTAGGGAGACATGTGCACCCGATAGCATCTGAATCAGTGTACTTCTCCAGCTCATGTACACAGGAATCACTTGCAGATCTTCTCAAAATGCAAATTCTATTTCAGTGGATCTGGAGTGGGGCCTGAGATTCTACATTTCTAACAAAGTCCCAGGTAATATCGGTGCTACTAGACTGTGGACCACACTGGGTAACAAGGCTCCAGAGCACTGCTTCTTAAATTTGGCTAAAAATAGGAATTCTAAAGAGAACGGGGAAGAGGCCAAACAGGTTTCTTTTTATATTATTACTATTTTGTTGTTGTTTTATTGTTGTATTTTTGTTCTCTTTCTTTTACATTATTTTAAAATTTAATTAATTTTTTTTTTTTTGAGAGGGAGGTTCGCTCCTGTTGCCCAGGCTGGAGTGCAGTGGCACGATCTCAGCCCACCGCAACCTCTGCCTCCCAGGATCAAGCGATTCTTCTGCCTCAGCCTCCTGAGTAGCTGGGATTACAGGCATGTGCCACCATGCCCAGCTAGTTTTGTATTTTTAGTAGAGGCAGGGTTTCTCCATGTTGGTCAGGCTAGTTTCGAACTCCCGACCTCAGGTGATCCACTCACCTCAGCCTCCCAAAGTGCTGGGATTACAGGTGTGAGCCACCACACCCGGCCTTTTTTTATTATTATTTTTTTGAGACGAAGTTTCGCTATTTCGCCAGGCTGGAGTGCAGGGCACGATCTTGGCTCACTGCAACCTCCGCCTCCTGGGTTCAAGCTATTCTCCTGCCTCAGCCTCCCGAGTAGCTGGGACTACAGGTGCATGCCACCACACCCAGCTAATTTTTGTATTTTTAGTAGAAACGGGGTTTCACCATGTTGGCCAGGATGGTCTCAATCTCTTGACCTCGTGATCCGCCCACCTCAGCCTCCCAAAGTGTTTGGATTACAGGCGTGAGTCACTGCCCCCTGGCAATTTATTTATTTATTATTATTATTATTATCTACTATTATTTTTTTGATAGAGTCTTGCTCTGTTGCCCAGGCTGGAGTGCAGTGGCACGATCTTGGCTCACTATAGCCTCTGCTTCCCAGGTTCAAGTGAATCTCCTGCCTCAGCTTTGCGAGTGGCTGGGATTACAGGCATATGCCACCACACCCAGCTAATTTTTTTTTTTAAGATGGGATTACAGGCGCCCGCCACCATGCCCAGCTAATTTTTGTATTTTTAGTAGAGATGGGGTTTCGCCATGTTGGCCAGGCTGGTCTTGAACTCTTGACCTCAGGTGATCCACCTGCCTCAGCCTCCCAAAGTGCTGAGATTACAGGCGTGAGCCACCACGCCTGGCCTTGTATTTTTTTTTTTTTTTTTTTTTTAGTGGAGACAGGGTTTCACCATGTTGGCCAGGCTGGTCTCAAACTCCTAACCTCAAGTGATCCACCCGCCTTGGCCTCCCAAAGTGCTGGGATTACAGGAATGAGCCACGGCGCCCAGCCATATTTTTAAATTTTATTTATTTATTTATTGTTAGAAATGGGGTCTTGCTATGTTGCTCAGACTGGGCTCATGCATTCCTCCCACCTCGGTCTCCCAAAGGGATAGGATCACAGGCACATGCCACTGCACCCCAGCCTTAGACAAACTTTTTTTTTTTGAGACAGTCCTGCTCTGATACCCAGGCTGGAGTGCAGTGGTGCGATCTCGGCTCACTGCAAGCTCCGCCTCTGGGGTTCAGGCCATTCTCCTGCCTCAGCCTCCCAAGTAGCTGGGACTACAGGCGCCCGCCACGACACCCAGCTAATTTTTTGTATTTTTTAGTAGAGACGGGGTTTCACCGTGTTAGCCAGGATGGTCTCGATCTCCTGACCTCGTGATCCACCCGCCTCAGCCTCCCAAAGTGCTGGGATTACATGCGTGAGCTACCGCGCCCGGCCACCTTAGACAGATTTCTAAAACCCCTTCTTAAGGCAGAAAATTCCAAGAATTAGTACTGATGGAAGGAATTATGGAAGCAAGAGATGAATACCTTTTCCCCCTTAAAGAACCAGGTCAAAGTGAATATTTACAAAGGCCAAGCTAAAGGTTAAAATGAGAGGTAATCATCGGCTCAACTGCATACTGGTCATATAATATTTGACCCTAAAATTCCCTTTTCAACAAGGAATCTTGTTCTCTCATTTAAGGCATCATAGTTCTTATAAAGAAAATTAAAAAGGCCAGGCACTGTGGCTCACACCTGTAATCCTAACACTTTGGGAGGCCGAGGCAGGCAGATTGCCTGAGCTCAGGAGTTCGAGACCAGCCTAGAGAACGTGGTGAAACCCCGTCTCTACTAAAAATACAAAAAATTAGCCAGGCATGGCAGCATGATCCTGTAATCCCAGCTACTTGGGAGGCTGAGACAGGAGAATTGCTTGAACCCGAGGCAGAGGTTGCAGTGAGCCGAGATCACACCATTGCACTCCAGCCTGGGTGAAAGAGCGAGAATCTGTCTCAAAAACAAACAAACAAACAAAAAAAGCAAAGAAAAAAACACCGGGCGCAGTGGCTCATGCCTGTAATCCCAGCACTTTGGGAGGCTGAAGCGGGCAGATCACCTGAGGTCAGGAGTTCATGACCAGCCTGGCTAACATGGTGAAACCCCGTTTCTACTAAAAATACAAAAAATTAGCCAGGTGTGGTGGCACGCGCCTGTAATCCCAGCTACTCGGGAGACTGAAGCAGGAGAATCATGTGAACCCAGGAGGGAAGGTTGCAGTAAGTCGAGATCGCGCCATTGCACTCCAGCTTGGACAACAAGAGCGAAACTCCATCTCAAAAAAAAACTAACAAAAACAAACAAAAAACCAAAAACAAAAACAGTTCCTGGTAGAATTCTAGCCCCTACCTGGAGCATGGATGGGCTTTAGCTATCTAGCTGCCTGTCCCTGCATTCACAGCTATATCCCAAAGTGCCTCCAGACTGACCGGATATATTGCTGGACAGCCCCATCGTGGTTGCCCTTGCTGTAGAGATGGTCTCCATACTGCATGAAAATCTGGGCCAGCCCATCACTGTCCAGATGCTGGCTCTTGGCAAGGTTAATCGCCATCTCAAATAGGTTCTTCTTAAACAGCATCTAGAAGGGAAGAGAGATTAGAAAATTGGTAGAAGTGGTCCTGGGAAGACACTTTCCCAAAATGTGCGCACAACACACAAAACAGAAAGTCCTGGATTTCTGATCTGCCTAGATCCTAGACAAACCAAGAGCTACCAGATATCCCCAAGATCAGTATCATCTTATTTCATAAGGTTCTCTGGAAACAAAGTGAACCCTTAGAGTGGGCTCAGGCTCCCAGCCACTACTTCCCTCTAAAGCCCCATCCCAGGCCATTTACCTTATAATCCTACCCTAAGGAAGCTGAGTAAGGCTGTGACCCACAAGGAGGGAAACACCCTGGCCAATATGACTTGGGGAACCTGCTCCTGCAGCTGCTTCTAGGTGCCTGTGGCCAGCTCTGCGAGCCTGGTGGCCTTGCCTCCAGTTTGGTCTGTGTGTCCTTCTCCTGCAGTGCGTGGACCCGCCCATCCCGCGTCAGCACGTACAGGGAGCCCCACTCAGCAAGCACATCCACTACATCCTCAAAGACGGTGCTATAGGCTATGAACTTGTTGCACAGGTCATAGATGTTTAGAATCTGCTTGTCGGAGCTCTGTGAATCCCTGCTGGTAAACTCTGACCTGCATAGGAAAGAAAAAGCACCAGATGTTTGGACATCTCTGTCTTATCTCCCCTATTTCCTTTCCCATGATAACTTTGGTGCACATTTCACCCAGCACAAATCACCTCTCTGGTCCCTCTCATCCCATAACATGCAGCGCTGTGCCGGTAGTTGTACATAGAGAACACATAAACCTGATCTTACCCTTTAGGATCCTACAATTAACCCAAGTAACAGATTAGAAAATTAAGTACACTAACATATCCATTCATTTAGAAAATAATAATCCAATACATGGTATATGTAAAACACTGTGCCTGGAACTGAATGAAAGCAAAACAAACCAGCATCTAACAGGGAGTACTTTCATCATGCAGAAGACCCCACTTACCCCTTAAAAAAATAAAACCAAAACAAAACAGAAAACTTGCATCCTACGTTTCCCAGCACTTTCTAATTTCTCCACTGCTGAATCCCTTGTTCCTCTGCCCAATTTATTTTGACAAAAGAGTTAAAAAACAAAACAAGGCCGGGCGCAGTGGCTCACGCCTGTAATCCCAGCACTTTGGGAGGACGAGGCAGGCAGATCACGAGGTCAGGAGATCGAGACCATCCTGGCTAACACGGTGAAACCCCGTCTCTAATAAAAATACAAAAAATTAGCCGGGCATGGGGGCGGGCACCTGTAGTCCCAGTTGCTCGGGAGGCTGAGGCAGGAGAATGGCGTGAACCCGGGAGGCGGAGCTTGCAGTGAGCCGAGATCGCGCCACTGCACTCCAGCCTGGGCAATAGAGCGAGACTCCATCTCAAACAAAACAGAACAAAAAAAGCAGGTCCAAATTCCCTGGAGCATTCTAGTATGCTAGGGCTATGTAGCAAATACCTGCAGTAAAAACATCCATTTTTCAGTTAAAAAAAGCATTGTAACCAACTCTAGCTATAAGTGTCACTGGCTGGGTGCAGTGGCTCACACCTGTAATCCCAGTACTTTGGGAGGCCGAGGCGGGTAGATCACTTGAGGTCAGGAGTCTGACACCAGCCTGGCCAACATGGTGAAACCTCGTCTCTACTGAAAATACAAAAAGTAGCCAGGCGTGGTGGCACATGCCTGTAATCCCAGCTATTCAGGAGGCTGAGGCAGGAGTATCACTGGAACCCAGGAGGCGAGGCTGCAGTGAGCCGAGATCACGCCACTGCACTCCTGGGTGACAGAGCGAGACTCCATCTCAAAAAAAAAAAACAGAAATGTTACCTACATAACACCGGAGTAGGAGTAGGAGATTGGCAGTATCCAGGCATTAGGATTTTAAAATCAGGCGGATTCTGGGGAACAAGTCCAGCCCTCTCCCTGTCCCTTCTCACTGAGTCCTTACTTGGGAGAAACCTTCCGGTCACGGGAGACAATGATAAGGTAGCCTCTAAACCAGTGGGCAATGAGCTTATGGCCCTCAAAGGCGAAGCAGGGCCCACGTTCATCAGGCTGGTACAAGTAGACACACTCATCCCCGGCCACAATGAACTGCAGGTCCTGAGAAGGGTCACTTAGGGCTGAGCAGCGCAGGCCACAACCATGGGTGTCCAACTCCACGCGAGGGTAGTCTTTTCCAGAAACTATATAGGACTGCCAGAAGCAACAAAGGGGTTAACAGGCTCCTTTGAGGAGGTAACTCTAAGCCTTCACAAAGGTATTCCCATCTCCATACTGGCTCTTTTTTCCCTCTTGGCATTCTAAAGTCTTTCTCTTGGCTGCTGGCCTTCTTCATTAACCATTACCCATCTATTAAATATATAACCAGAGATCACAATTTCTTTCTCTGTATATATTATCACTATCTAGTACAGAAATTCTGCAAGTAAGAAAAATGTAATAATCTACTACTTTATCAAGAGTATTCCTGAGAGAGTAGACTGTTGTAAATCTGGGGCACCAGGAACAAGAAAGGTAAAGATACTTGTCCAACGTCATTTAAAAAGTTAGTTAGAAAATAGGCCGGTGCAGTGGCTCATGCCTGTAATTCCAGCACTTTGGGTGGTTGAGGCAGGTGGATTGCTTGGGCCCAGGAGTTCGAGATCAGCCTGGGCAACATGGTGAAACCCCCATATCTAGAAAAAATACAAAAATTAGCCAGGCATGGTGACACATGCCTGTAATCCCACGTACTCAGGAGGCTGAGGTGGGAGGATCACTTGAGCCCAGGAGGCAGAGGTTGCAGTGAGCTGAGACAGCACCATTGCACTCTAGCCTGGGTTACACAGCAAGATCCTGTCTCAAAGAAAAAAAAAAAAAAAGCTAGTTAGAAATAAAATTCAAGGCCGAGTGCGGTGGCTCACGCCTGTAATCTCAGCACTTTGGAAGGCCAAGGTGGGTGGATCACCTGAGGTCAGGAGTTGGAGACCAGACTGGCCAACATGGTGAAACCCTGTCTCTACTAAAAATACAAAAATTAGCTGGACATGCTGGTGTGTGCCTGTAATCCCAGCTACTCAGGAGGCTGAGGCAGGAGAATTGCTTGAACCTGGGAGACTGAGGTTACAGTGAGTCAAGATCTCGCCACTGCACTCCAGCCTGAGCAACACAGTGAGACTCGGTCTCAAAAAAAAAAAAGAAAGAAAATTCACATCTTTTTACTACAAGCCCAGAGTCTAACTCTTTCCAGCTTCCTAGGCAAAAAAATAAAATACAAAGCTAGGCAAATGATTCGAATTATATGATTAAAACTTTAACACTCCCACCTTTCCTGTCACTTCATTACCCTATCCCCCTGAACAATGGAGAAGCCCTCCCTGCCTGCTCCTAAGAGTGGAGGCCTTGGTCATACCTGGACGTTCTCTGTTGTCACAACAAACAAGTGAGTGGTCTTTCCTGCTTGGCGAAAGGCCAATCCAGTTACAGGATAGTTGCCCTTGTGCAAAATCTGGGTCTTGCTATGCCGGTCCCGGGTGATGTCTCCTTTGTTCAATGTAACACTGCCATCTGTGAAACCTGTAAGAAAACAAGAAAATTACTTCAGTAAGGCTGAAAAGATCAGGAAGTGGAGAGGGGAAAAAAGACCACTTGAGGCACTCAGAAGTGACAAGCTTTCTCCATATACCCAACCTCTCTAATGGTTAACCTGAATATTGGTACTCACTGACACATTTTCAAAGAACAAAATTAAATGCCTTCCCATTCCAAACTTTATTTATTTTATTTATTTATTTATTTATTTATTTATTTTGAGACAGAGTTTTGCTCTTGTTGCCCAGGCTACAGTGCAATGGCGCGATCTTGGCTCACTGCAAACTCCGCCTCCCAGGTTCAAGTGATTTTCCTGCCGCAGCCTCCCTAGTAGCTGGGATTACAGGCATGTGCCACTACACCCAACTAATTTTGTATTTTTAGTAGAGATGGGGTTTCTCCATGTTGGTCAGGCTGATCTCAAACTCCCAATCTCAGGTGATCCGCCCACCTCAGCCTCCCAAGGTGCTGGGATTACAGGCATGAGCCACCGCGCCTGGCCCCCATTCCAAAATTTAATATCGCAAAGGCCTCAGTTCAGTACAAAGTGGTCTCCTGAAAACAGTAAAGATGAGAGGCAGAAGCAACTCTGAAGAAAATCTATAACAAATCTAGGAGGGTTAGTTTTGCCTTCTGTTTACCAATGGCCATAAAGTTGAGATTTTCATGGACAGTCAAACAAGATACAACAGTTGGCTCTGTTCCTGGAATAGCAGGGAAGATTCGAGTGCAGAGTGGATTGCCACCATCTCTCTTCTCCAGGTTCCAGATCTTAACCTGTGGACAGACCTCAGAAGTGTAAATGCTAGTCATCCTCCAACAAAAAATCATTCCTAGGCTTCTGGATCTTTCCCATTTCCCTGCTGGGACTCACCAAGGGGTTGATGCCCTCTTCATCTTCTCCAACAGATGCCAGAATATTGTGCTGCTTCAGTTGGTACAGGTGTGTCACCCGTAGTTTGTAGGCTTGGAAGCCTGTAAGCTGTAGGGAACGTGGCAAGAACCAGATCTGGCCTTCCATATGTGCAGGGTAGTCAAGGAGCCTCCTTTCCAAGGAGAGATACTTACATTCAGACCAGAACTCAGATAACAATTACATGTATATAACTCTAAAATTTTCAAGGATTTTCCCACATACTCCTTATCTTAAAAAGAGTGAGGCCAGGCGCGGTGACTCACACCTGTAATCCCAGCACTTTGGGAGGCCGGGGGGGGGGGGGGGTGCGGATCACCTGAGGTCAGGGGTTCGAGACCAGCCTGGCCAACATGGTGAAACCTGTCTCTACTAAAAATACAAAAATTAGCCAGGTATAATGGTGCGTGCCTGTAATTTCAGCTACTCAGGAGGTTGAGGCAGGAGAATTGCTTGAACCCGGGAGGCGGAGGTTGCAGTGTGCCCAGATCATGCCATTGCACTCCAGCCTGTGCAACAAGAGTGAAAGTCCGTCTCAAAAAAAAGAAAAAAATTTAGTGCGCCGGGCGCGATGGCTCACTCCTGTAATCCCAGCACTTTGGGAGGCCGAGGCGGGTGGATCACGAGGTCAGGAGTTCGAGACCAGCCTGGCCAATATGGTGAAACCCCGTCTCTACTGAAAATGTAAAAAATTAGCCGGGTGTGGTGGCAAGCGCCTGTAGTCCCAGCTACTCGGGAGGCTGTGGCAGGAGAATCGCTTGAACTCAAGAGACGGTTACAGTGAGCCCAGATCCCGCCACTGCACTCCAGCCTGGGCAACAGAGTAAGACTCCGTATCAAAAAAAAAAAAAAAAAAAAAAAGGTAAAAAGGCCAGAATTTAGTAGCAGCAACATGAAGATGAAAGCAACAAACCGCTAGGCTCATTTACCTCCTCGCCAACGATAATATTAGGGCAGGGGAAATCATGTCACTTTACATATTCATCTTTTAAAGCCAACTTGCATTCTTTTTCTTATTGATCTCAAATTAACCTCGTCAAATTGGCATGCACACATCTCCTACAGATAAGGAAATTAAAACCCAGAGAGGTTAAATGACTTGCCCAGGATTGCTCAGTTGATAACAAGTTAGGAGATGGACTTCCTTCTTTCTTCCCGTAGACCACAGAACAACTCTGGATGACCAGCTAAACCAAAGAGGCGCGCGGCACGGACCCCTCCGACAAACAGATTTCATCCTAACTCGATCTCTTCGGGATCCCGGGAGGGAAAAGACAGCTCCAAACGAAGGATATCTCCAAAGACCAGGCTCCCTCGGCCTGAGTCGCAGACAGTGATGCCAGGAGGGAGGCAAAGGAACTTGGAAGCAGCGGATCCAGAAGCAGGTGTGGCCCCGGGAGCGGCCCCATCATTGCTCAGCGGCTCCTTCACCAGCTCCTTGTCGAAGAAAACGAAGCGCCGCCACTGCAGGTAGGCCGCCATTTTGGCCCAGGGCTCCCACCTCCGGGAGCTTTGTCACGTGAGCTGAGCCAGCGAATCACGTGGTCGGCAGCTTCCGGGAGCCCGCGGGCCCAGGAGCTCCTGAGTCGGGGTGACAGCGTCCCGCTGCTGGGAAAGTGGGCGGGGCCGCGCGGGGTAGTCCTAGATCTGCAGTGTGCGAGTTTGCCGGATGTGACTGTAACTTCGCTAGCTAAAATGCTTGAGAGCGGACCCTTCATCCCTTTGAGCATGTTTCTTCCTAAAATGCGCGGATACCGGGAGATCAAGATGAGGGATGTCATGTGCCTTGTGAACTGTCACCCGCCGTGCGTAAGTGAATGACGTTTTGACCTCACAGGACTGTTTTGGGGCATAAATGAAACAGTGTATGTTAAACCAGGTTTTCGGCTGTATGAGAGGAGAAATAAAATTAGAAGTTTGTGTCTGCCACCACGCAGATTGTGAACCATAGTCAATGTTTTATATTCGTTTTTGTTTCCCCCGTCAGAGCGTATGACACCTAACAGACGCTCAAAACGTTTCTTAAGGAAACGGGCTGGGCGCGATGGCTCATGCCTGTCTGTAATCCCAGCACTTTGGGAGGCCGAGGTGGGGGAATCACTTGAGCCCAGGTGTTCGAGACCAGCCTGGGCAACATGGTGAAACCCCATCTCTACAAAAAATACAAAAATGAGCCTGGCATGGTGGTGGACACCTGTGGTCCCAGCTACTTGGGAGGCTGAAGTGGGAGGATCGATTGAGCCCCGGAGTTGGAAGCTGCAGTGAGCTGTGATCGAGCCGCTGCACTCCAGCATGGGCGACAGAGCAAGACCTTGTCTCAAAAAAAAAAAAAGGAAACTGGGAAATACTGGTGGGGCAGGAATTCCCAAGGCCCTGGGCTTTCTCCCCCTTTCATAGTGGCAGGGTAGGGGACATAGAACTGAGCAAAAACCTGGAAGTGGCAGCTTTGAGAGCTGAGTGTTTTAATGAGAAGTGGCAGGTGTCCAAGATATTACATGATCATTCTCCACTCCCAACTCTGGCTAAACCATCTTTGAATCCAAGCAAGATCTATCCTCATGGACAACTACTGCAGGTTTACTGTTTGTGTGCCATGAGAACCTATAGACAGAAGTGACATAGCATCATTTTGAGATGGTAGGGACATATGGAAAAGTGACCCTGTGGTATTTGTGAAGTTTATTGTTTGCACTCCCCCAACTTCCTTTTTTTTCTTTTTTCTTTTTTTTTTTTTTTTTTTTTAGACAGAGTCTCTCTCTATCCCCCAGGCTGAAGCGCAGTGGCACAATCTCAGCTGACTGCAACCTCCGCCTCCCGAGTTCAAGCGATTCTTATGCCTCAGCCTCCTGAGTAGCTGGGATTACAGCTGCCTGCCACCACGCCTGGCTAATTTTTGTATTTTTAGTAGAGTTGGGGTTTTGCCATTTTGGCCAGGCTGGTCTCGAACTCCTGACCTCGGGTGATCCACCCGCCTCGGCCTCCCAAGTACTGGAATTACAGGCGTGAGCCACCGCACCCGGCCCTCCCCCAACTTATTTCAGAATATTTGATGCTGTATTTCCACCAGCCAGAGTTCCCTGAGAGCGGGGGCTACATCTTGTACCGTAACTGTGAACGAGGCCTAGCAGAGCCTGGTAGAAGTTCCATGTTTGGTTGAAGGAATGAATGTGGTGTGGATGCCTCTCCTCTTATCCACTCCTCTCCTCAATCTGGTTGATGGGCAGGTGGCGTCCATTTGTCTGAAGAGGTAAATGATAGGAAGAAACTCTAGCCACCACCATGCACACAGATTTCCTGACTTCCAACTCAAGTTTCTTTCCTCTTCATCACACAGGATATCTCCAATTCATTGCAACTGTTTCAGGATACCAACTGTTGGGCAGAAGCACAAATGGGAGCGGGTTGAACCCACTTTCACCTACTGAGCATATTCCATACTGGTCATCAGAATGTTTAGATAGTATGTTAATATGTCAGTTGTTAAGCCTATGAAGAATATATGTTAAAAGAAGCAATGTGGCCAGGCAAGCTGGCTCATGCTTGTAATCCCAGCGCTTTAAGAGGCTGAGGCAGGAGGATCCCTTGAGGCCAGGAGTTCAAGACCAGCGTGGGCAACAGGCTTCAAAAAAGAAGAAATGTAAAAGCAGAGATGTGAACAAGAGATAGAGTGCATCTTTGTTGCTTGGGTGCTCCCCCTGTTGTCCAATGGCAGAAGCTCCACGTCTTCCTCTGAGGGCTGAATCTGGTTCTACTTGTGCCCATTGGATCCTCTTATTGATGAGGGTTACAAAGGCCGAGATTGGCCTGCCAGAGAGACCCACAGCACCTCTTCAGACTTACTACCTTCTTTCCTTTCCTTCTTTTGACAAATATGTATTGAGCACTCCTAGTCCAGGAATTGTACCAAATGCCCAGAATATAAATGAACAAGACATGGTCCTCAACCACCACCCTAGAGACAGGCATAAAAAGAACTGACAGTAACAAGCCCCTAATTTCATGTAGTAAATTATATCTAATAAAGTGCCTTCGCTTTTCATGGAATCTTCGTAGCAACCATCTGCAGAAGAGGTATCATTATCCCTGATGAGAAATGGAGTCTCAAAGAGTTTAACTTAAAGTGGCTCTCTCTGGGCAAAAACTTCAAAGTTCTTTGGAAATAAAATGAGTAATTCAGTCCCCTACCCTCTAATTAGATAGTTTGATGGGTGTAAAGCTAGATTATGCTTGTCAGAACATACACCAGGGTTTGTCTCTTAGTTACACTGGTCTGAACCCAGGAATTTCAGGATAGTGAGGAATATAACCAAGCAAATTACACAGAAAATGACTGTTCACTTACAGTTAGTTCTGCATACTGAGAACTCGAGTTCTGAATGGACTAAAGATAAAGAAGAAATACAAGTCTTTAGTTTCGAATTAGAGAGGTCATAACTCAGAATCAAGAATGCAAGAATTGTCTTGCAGTATTTTCTTTTCCCTTTAGCAAACTGCTGCCCATGATATAAAACAGTTACATCCACTGGAACAAAACAGGAACACTTCTTGTCCCAAATGCAAACTTTAATTTATTTTTATCTTATTTTATTTTATTTTTGAGACGGAGTCTCGCTCTGTCGCCAGTCGTCAGGCTTGAGTGCAGTGGCGTGATCTCGGCTCACTGCAACGTCCGCCTCCCAGGTTCAAGTGATTCTCCTGCCTCAGCCTCCTGTGTAGTTGCCTCAGCAAACTTTAATTTTCCGTTTTTATCATCTGGCTCTCCAGGTAGAAACTACCTTCTTTTCTTTTTGAGATAGAGTCTCCCTCCATTGCCCAGGCTGGAGTGCAGTGGCACGATCTCGACTCACTGCAACCTCTGTCTCGTCTCCCAGGTTCAAGCGATTCTTGTGCCTCAGCCACCCAAGTAGCTGAGACTACAGGCGCACGCCATCATGCCCGGCTAGTTTTTGTATTTTTTGTAGAGACATGGTTTTGACATGTTTCCCCGGTTGGTCTCAAACTCCTGGCCTCAAGTGATCCACTCGCCTCTGCCTCCCAAAGTGCTAGGATTACAGGCATGAGCCACCACGCCCGGCCTGTTGTTGTTTTAATGTTCTTCCAGTTTTCGTCAATAACCGCATATTTCTTTCGTTCTTTTTTGTTTTGTTTTGTTTTTTGAGACACGGCTAGAGTGCAGTGGCACAATCACGGCTCACCACAGTCTCCACCTCCTAGGCTCACGAGATACTCCCACCTCAGCCTCCCCAGTAGCTGAGACTACAGGCTCATGCCACCATGCCCAGTTAATTTTGTTGTTGTTGTACTTTTAGTAGAGACAGTGTTCTGCCCTGTTGCCCAGGCTAGTCACAAACTGCTAGGCTCAAGCAATCCACACGCCTCAGCCTTCCAAAGTGCTAGGATTACAAGTGTAAGCCACCATATTTCTTTCTTTTTTTTGGAGGCGGGGGCCGGGGAGACAGGGTCTCACTCTGTCGCCCAGGCTGGAGTGCAATGGCGCGATCTCAGCTCACCCCAACCTCTGCCTCCCAGGTTCAAGTGATTCTCCTGCCTCAGCCTCTCAAGTATCTGGGATTACAGGCACACACCACTACCACCCAGTTAATTTTTGTATTTTTACTAGAGACAGGGTTTCACCATGTTGTCCAGGCTGGTCTCAAACTCCTGACCACAAATGACCCACCCGCCTGGGCCTCCCAAAGTACTGTGAGCCACCGTGCCTGGCCCTAGCCACATATTTCTTTTGTAATTCTAAAAATATTGTTATAGAAGTAGGAAAAAATTTATCTTGGTTTATCTCCTGCTGAAAATGGGCTCTCTCCTGCCTAGGGTTACAGCAAAGTCAAACCTAGAGTCTCTTGAGGCCAGGCAAGGTGGCTTATGCCTATAATCCAGCACTTTGGGGGGCCAAGGTGGGAGGATTACTTGAGGCCTGGAGTTCAAGACCAGCTTGGGCAACATAGGCAGACCTCGTCTCTACTAAAAATAAATAAAGAAATAAGTAGTCAGGTGTGGTGATGTGCACCTGTAGTTCCAGCTACTTGAGAGGCTGAGGAGGGAGAATTGCTTAAGCCCAGGAGATGGAGGCTGCAGTGAGCTGTGATCACACCACTGCACTCCAGCCTGGGCAAGAGAGTGAGCACCCTGTCTCAAAACAACAACAACAACAAACCCTAGAGTTGTTTGTATGACAGACAAAATAATTTTTAAATGTTTTATTGAAGTAACAACATACAAAAAAGTTGTAGAGTAGTACAACCCACTGAAATTCCACAAACTAACTGGACACTCCCATCGTAATCAGCAATGAGAACATGGCTAGCAGCCAGGCACAGTGACTCAGGCATGTAATCCCAGTATTTTGGGAGGCCGAAGCAGGCAGATCACCTGAGGTCAGGAGTTCGAGACCAGCGTGGGCAACATGGTGAAACCCTGTCCCTACTAAATACAAAAATTAGCTGGGCATGGTGTTGCACGCCTACAGTCCCAGCTACTTGGGAGGCTGAGGCTGGAGAATGGCTTGAACCCCAGAGGCAGAGGTTGCAGTGAGCTGAGATTGTGCCACTGCACACAAGCCTGGGTGACAGAGTGAGACTCTCTCTCAAAAAAAAAGGAGTGGGGGGAACATATCTAGCACCCCTAGAAGCTTGCCTTATGTCCTCTTCTAAACCCTCCAGCTTGGGCAACAGAGCAAGACCCTGTATCTAAAGGATAGCAGCATCCTGACTTCTATCCCTGTAGCTTAGTTTTGCCAGCTTTTAAACTTGATATTTAAATCATACAGTATGTACTTGGGCTTCTTTCACTCAGTATTATGTTTGTAGAATTCATCTAAGTTGTCCTATGTAATAATAGTCCACTCATTCTTATTGCTGTATAGAATTCCACTGTATGAATCTCTGATTCATTTATCTATCCAATTGTTGATGAGCATTTGGATAGTTTTCAGCCCGGGGCTGTTATAAATAAAGCTATTACCAACAGCCTCTGGGTGAACATATGTTTACTTTTTTTTGTTGTTGTTGTGACAGAGTCTCACTGTGTCACCCAGGCTGGAGTGCAGTGGCACAATCTTGGCGCACTACAACCTCCACCTCTCAGGTTCAAGCAATTCTCCTGCCTCAGACTCCCCAGTACCTAGGATTACAGGTGCGTGCCACCACGCCGGGCCAATTTTTTTTTTTTTTTTTTTTTTTTGAGATGGAGTCTGGCTCAGTCGCCCAGACTGGAGTGCAGTGGCGCGATCTCGGCTCACTGCAACCTCCACCTCCTGGGTTCAAGCAATTCTTCTGGCTCAGCCTCCTGAGTAGCTGGGACTACAGGCACATGCCACCACCAATTTTTGTATTTTTAGTGGAGATGGGGTTTCACCGTGTTAGGATGGTCTTGATTTCCTGACCTCATGATCCACCTGCCTCAGCCTCCCAAAGTGCAGGGATTACAGGCGGGAGCCACCCCCAGCCGACAACTAATTTTTAAAAATTCTTCTGGTGTAGGATATTCTCTCTGATCAACACTGCCCTCAGCCCATCATGTAATTTGCATGGTTTATGTGCATATATACCCTCACCGATATGTCTATTTTACACCTCTGTCAGTTTGGCACATGTTCTGCAAGACGGCAACTTTCTTCCCTTAGGTTTCTGCAGTGTTGGGGAAGGGATATAGTCCTCCAATGTTAACAAGTTATTCTGGAGAAGAACCAATGAGTTCACCTGCCTAGGTCAATCTAAATCAGGTGTTTTACATTAAAAATTTCCCATTGTTCTTCAGCTTGTTCTTGTGAAATACTATTCTACCCTCTGGTCCCAGAACAAAACAGCTGACTCCTCAGAGCACTTGCACCTGCTTCACTACCCAGGGGGACAGATACCCAGGCTGAGAACTGTAGCTGTGGCAGAACCATGCTCCCACCAGGGGTATTCATGGTTGGAGCTCTCTTAGGAGCTTCGAGAGCTTTCTTCTTCTTCTTCTTTTTTTTTTTTTTTTTGAGACAGGGTCTCACTCTGTCGCCCAGCCTGGAGTACAGTGGTACAATCTCGGCTCACTGCAGCCTCTGCCTCCTGGGTTCAAGCAATTCTCCTGCCTCAGCCTCCTGAGTAGCTGGGATTACAGGCATGCACCACCACATTGGGCTAATTTTTTTGTATTTTAGTAGAGACGGGGTTTCACCATGTTGCCCAGGCTGGTCTTGAACTCCTAAGCTCAGACAATCTGCCTGCCTCGGCCTCCCAAAGTGCTAGGATTACAAGCGTGAGCCACTGTGCCCGGCCCCCCAAATAGATTTTTAATAAGCGCATGAAACGATGAACATATTTGTTTCCCAGTTTCCCAACACATTATGACTTCTTTGAGGGTAAGGACAAGCTCATGCCCATCTCTGGATTAGCAGCACCTAGCCCAGTGCTTGCATATCAGAGTGGCCCAATAAATGTTAAAACGCATACTCTCTGTTTGAAATGGATGGAAAGGCTGGGCGTGGTGGCTCACGCTGTAATCCCAGCACTTTGAGAGGCCGAGGCAGGCGGATCACCTGAGGTCAGGAGTTCGAGACCAGCCTGGCCAACATGGTGAAACCCTGACTCTACTAAAAATACAAAAATTAGCCAGGCATGGTGGTGTGTGCCTGTAGTCCCAGCTACTTGGGAGGCTGAGCCAGGAGAATCGCTTGAGCCCGGGAGGTGGAGGTTGCAGTGAGCCAAGACTGCACCACTGCACTCCAGCCTGGATGACACAGACTCTGTCGCAAAAAAAAATAAAAAATGGATGGAAAGACTCTACTGGATAGTTGGCCAAAAGTGGAGTCTATTACTGAGAAACAAAATCTTTCCCTGTGGAATTGAACTGACAGCGTATATGTCTATCATTATGGCAGAACGAACCCCATGCTATGGAATGTTCTACAGCAGTAAACGAGGAAATGAACCACAGTTACATGGAAAATGCTCCACACTTTATTATTAGTTTAAAAAAATTGCAAACAATGTAATTGTGTAACATTTTATGGTTTTAAAAAAGATAAAAGGCAAACAAGGTGTTGGTTGCAAAAAATAAAAAATGTATATTATGAAAAGATAAAAGCTACATGTTTCTAGGATATCTATATGTGTAAAAGAGGGAAAGACCTGGAAACTTATACACCACACTGACAATAGCAGGTGCCTCCACAAGAGAGAGTGGGGGTTTGGGTTGGCATCAAGGAAATTTGCCTTTGTGTAGAATGAATTTTTTAAAGATTACATTTGTGTATTATTTGTGTAATTAAATTCTGTTAAAATTTTAACTGAATTTCTATTTCTACCAATTTGTCTACTGCCTGAATACATAACTACTCTTAAAAGGAAGAATAGCTCTCCCTCCCCCTCCCCCTTTCCCCAGGGTCTCCCTCTCCCTCTCTTTCCACGGTCTCCCTCTGATGCCCAGCCGAAGCTAGACTGTACTGCTGCCATCTCGGCTCACTGCAACCTCCCTGCCTGATTCTCCTGCCTCAGCCTGCCGAGTGCCTGCGATTGCGGGCGCGCGCCGCCACGCCTGTGTTTTTTTGGTGGAGACGGGGTTTCGCTGTGTTGGCCGGGCTGGTCTCCAGCTCCTAACCGCGAGTGATCCGCCAGCCTCGGCCTCCCGAGGTGCCGGGATTGCAGACGGAGTCTCGTTCACTCAGTGCTCAATGTTGCCCAGGCTGGAGTGCAGTGGCGTGATCTCGGCTAGCTACAACCTCCACCTCCCAGCCGCCTGCCTTGGCCTCCCAAAGTGCCGAGATTGCAGCCTCTGCCCGGCCGCCACCCCGTCTGGGAAGTGAGGAGCGTCTCTGCCTGGCTGCCCATCGTCTGGGATGTGAGGAGCCCCTCTGCCCGGCTGCCCAGTCTGGGAAGTGAGGAGCGCCTCTTCCCGGCCGCCATCCCGTCTAAGAAGTGAGGAGCGTCTCTGCCCGGCCGCCCATCATCTGAGATGTGGGGAGCGCCTCTGCCCCGCCGTAGCCACCCCGCCAGCCGCCCCGTCCGGGAGGGAGGTGGGGGGCCAGCCCCCGCACGGCCAGCCGCCCCGTCCGGGAGGGAGGTGGGGGGGCGCCTCCGCCCGGCCGCCGCCCCGTCCGGGAGGTGGGGGGCGCCTCTGCCCGGCCGCCCCTTCTGGGAGGTGAGGAGCCCCTCTGCCCGGCCACCACCCCGTCTAGGAGGTGTACCCAACAGCTCATTGAGAACGGGCCATGATGACAATGGTGGTTTTGTGGAATAGAAAAGGGGGAAAGGTGGGGAAAAGATAGAGATCGGATTGTTGCTGTGTCTGTGTGGAAAGAAGTAGACATGGGAGACTTCATTTTGTTCTGTACTAAGAAAAATTCTTCTGCCTTGGGATGCTGTTGATCTATGACCTTACCCCCAACCCTGTGCTCTCTGAAACATGTGCTGTGTCCACTCAGGGTTAAATGGATTAAGGGCGGTGCAAGATGTGCTTTGTTAAACAGATGCTTGAAGGCAGCATGCTCGTTAGGAGTCATCACCACTCCCTAATCTCAAGTACCCAGGGACACAAACACTGCGGAAGGCCGCAGGGTCCTCTGCCTAGGAAAGCCAGAGACCTTTGTTCACTTGTTTATCTGCTGACCTTCCCTCCACTATTGTCCTATGACCCTGCCAAATCCCCCTCTGCCAGAAACACCCAAGAATGATCAATAAAAAAAAAAAAAAAAAAAAAAGGAAGAATAGACTCTCTCTGGGACTGCCAATAATTTTTCCTTCTAAGCATAGACACCGGACCACTCTCCACCTAAGCATCACGAAAAATGTAGAGAAAGGAAGAGCTAAGAGCTCCTTAAACAAGTTCAGGCTTGACACAACCCTGGCCCTGACAGCCAGGGTCTTCAAGCGGGCCTTTCTGTGAAGGGTGGCCAGGCATCAACTTAGTAGGAGAGAAAACAGATGACTTATTTCCATCCACACTTAAGGAAAATGCAGTCTCCAAGGACTGCGTACATTTCTTTTTCGAGAAGGAGTCTCGCTGTTGTCGCCCAGGCTGGAGTGCAGTGGCGCAGTCTGGGCTCACAGCAACCTCTGCCTCCCGGATTCAAGCAATTCTCCTGCCTCAGCCTCGTGAGTAGCTGGGATTACAGGCACCCGCCACCACGCCTGGCTAATTTTTGTAGTTTTGGTAGAGACGGGGTTTCACCATGTTGGCCAGGCTGGTCTCGAACTCCTGACCTCCAGTGATTCGCCCGCCTTGGCCTCCCAAAATGCTGGGATTACAGGCGTGAGCCACCGCGCCCGGGCGACTGCGCACATTTCTATGGAGCTGTAAGTTAAAAGAGAAGGCAGTGAGGTGCTTCTGTCATTCTATGACAGAAACAGCTAAAGAGTAGAGAAATGTTCACAAGATTTAATAGAACAGAAATAGGAGAAGGTGCACACAAGCTCAACCAACTATAGCCTCACAAATAAAAGTGTCTTTTGTGTGTAGTACTTAAGTTTGGAATATTCTTTCTTATACAAATGAGTGGGGCTTAACCTAAGAAATCCTGGCCAGATTCTGCGACGAATGCATCGGTTATCTCTGACCCATCAGCAAACATCTTTTTCTGTGGCTTCAGTTTCCTCAGTAAAACAGAGGGGGTTGCGACGGACTCAGTCCGAGGGACAGCCATTCTCCAACGTCTATCCAAAGCCTAGGGCACCTCAATACTAACCGGCAGGCCAGCGCCCCCTCCGCGGGGCTGCGGACAGGACGCCTGTTATTCCATTCCTCGGCCGGGCTCTACAGGTGACCGGAAGAAGAGCCCCGAGTGCGGGACTGCAGTGCGCCCGACCTGCTCTAGGCGCAGGTCACTCCCGAACCCCGGCAGCAAAGCATCCAGCGCCGGAAAAGGTCCCGCGGTCGCCC
This sequence comes from Homo sapiens, assembly GCF_000001405.40. Taxonomy (NCBI): domain Eukaryota; kingdom Metazoa; phylum Chordata; class Mammalia; order Primates; family Hominidae; genus Homo; species Homo sapiens. The sequence goes on along the minus strand of NC_000011.10, from coordinate 119,057,437 downwards.
CGGGGCCGGCGCTGGGGAGGAAGGAGTGGAGCGCGCTGGCCCCGTGACGTGGTCCAATCCCAGGCCGACGCCGGCTGCTTCTGCCCAACCGGTGGCTGGTCCCCTCCGCCGCCCCATTACAAGGCTGGCAAAGGGAGGGGGCGGGGCCTGGGACGTGGTCCAATGAGTACGCGCGCCGGGGCGGCGGGGGCGGGGCCGGGCGCGCAGCGCAGGGCCGGGCGGCCGAGGCTCCAATGAGCGCGCGCCGCGTCCGGGGCCGGCTGGTGCGCGAGACGCCGCCGAGAGGTTGGTGGCTAATGTAACAGTTTGCAAACCGAGAGGAGTTGTGAAGGGCGCGGGTGGGGGGCGCTGCCGGCCTCGTGGGTACGTTCGTGCCGCGTCTGTCCCAGAGCTGGGGCCGCAGGAGCGGAGGCAAGAGGTAGCGGGGGTGGATGGAGGTGCGGGCCGGCCACCCCTCCTAGGGGAGACAGCGTGCGAGCTCCGGGGGCGGGTCGGGAGCGCAAGGGAGGGCCGCGCGGACGCCGGGCGCTCGGCCTCGCACCGGGGGGCACGCAGCTCGGCCCCCGGTCTGTCCCCACTTGCTGGGGCGGGCCGGGATCCGTTTCCGGGAGTGGGAGCCGCCGCCTTCGTCAGGTGGGGTTTAGGTGAACACCGGGTAACGGCTACCCGCCGGGCGGGGAACCTTACCGCCCCTGGCACTGCGTCTGTGGGCACAGCGGGGCCGGGGAGTGAGCTGGGAAAGGGGAGGGGGCGGGACAACCCGCAGGGATGCCGAGGAGGAGATAGGCCTTTCCTTCATCCTAGCTACCCCCAACGTCATTACCTTTCTCTTCCCGTCCAGGCCCAGCTGGCTTTCCCCGTCAGCGGGGGAGCTCCAGGTGTGGGGAGGTGGTTGAGCCCTGGGCGGGGATCCCTGGCCGCACCCCAGGTGTCTGACAACAGGCACAGTGCTGCGGTGCGCCACTCACTGCCTGTGTGGTGGACAAAAGGCTCGGGTCTCCTTTCTCTTGTCCTGTTAGCTTCTCTGTTTAGGGATGTGGCAAAGCCGAGGACCCATGCTCTTTCACTTGGGCCTTTGTGTGGGCGCTGCTGGGATGATTAGAGAATGGTTTGTACCCATCAGGAGGGAGAAGGGGAGAAGTAGGCTGATCTGCCCTGGGTAAGAATGAAGTAGATATGAATCTTACAGCCTCTCCGTTCTGGGATGTGATTCTGTCTCCTTCACTCCGGGTATCCAGTTTTAAGTGTTTTCTTTCTTCGCCTCCCCCAGGGGCACTATGGCAGACAAAGTTAGGAGGCAGAGGCCGAGGAGGCGAGTCTGTTGGGCCTTGGTGGCTGTGCTCTTGGCAGACCTGTTGGCACTGAGTGGTATGTACCCCAGTAGAGGGAGCAAATGGATAAATGATGACTGAAGGATGCATGATGGGAATTGAGCTTGGGGCTGTTGGCCAGAAGTCTCTTGAGTTGTTAGGTCCAGGCCTTTTTGTCTTTTGCCATCTTCGTTTACCCATGGAAAGTGGTATGCTTTGATTAGAGGGAGTCCCAGGAAGGTGGGCGAAGGGAGAGCTAACTGACAAACCTCTTTTCCCTTCAGATACACTGGCAGTGATGTCTGTGGACCTGGGCAGTGAGTCCATGAAGGTGGCCATTGTCAAACCTGGAGTGCCCATGGAAATTGTCTTGAATAAGTGAGGGTGGCCCCCGTGTTAAGGGTGGGGAACGAGGGAGTCTGGGCTCCAAGTGTGAATGTGTTAGTCATAGTGCCCACAGCAGACTTCGGCATCTGAGTGGTTAAATGTGTGTGAGTGTCGAGGCTTCTGAGTCCTTCTGCTGCAGGCACCTGGGCCCAAAATCTCTTTTCCTCAGGGAATCTCGGAGGAAAACACCGGTGATCGTGACCCTGAAAGAAAATGAAAGATTCTTTGGAGACAGTGCAGCAAGCATGGTGAGCTAGCAGTCCCTCTTCCCAGAGTGGTGGGCAGAGGAGAGGAGATGGCAGCCCCCAGAGTCTGTTTCCTTATCAGTCTCTGTGATGTAAGAGGTAGGTAATGGTGGACTTGGGAGCCTAATACTAGTCTGCTCCTTCTTCACCCCTCAGGCGATTAAGAATCCAAAGGCTACGCTACGTTACTTCCAGCACCTCCTGGGGAAGCAGGCAGATAACCCCCATGTAGCTCTTTACCAGGCCCGCTTCCCGGAGCACGAGCTGACTTTCGACCCACAGAGGCAGACTGTGCACTTTCAGATCAGCTCGTGAGTGCTCTGTTGGGGAAGGTGGTCTCGGCAACGCTGCTGGGCTCCTCATTGGTGTGTGTTCCTGATTGTCCTGCCTTAATGCCTGGCTTTCCTTGGCTCCAACTACCTTCCTTCCCCTCAGGCAGCTGCAGTTCTCACCTGAGGAAGTGTTGGGCATGGTTCTCAATTATTCTCGTTCTCTAGCTGAAGATTTTGCAGGTGAGTGGTCAAGGTGGGGCCCTTAGGGCCAGGCTCCCCAGGATCTAGGGCAGTGATTCTCCAACAGGGGCAAGTTTGCCTCCCAGGGAACATTTAGCAACATCTGAAGATAGATTTTGGTTGTCACATCTGAGGGGTGCACCTGCTATCTAGTGGGTAGAGGCCGGGGATGCTGCTCAACATCCTACAGTGCACAGGACAGCCCCACAACACAGAATTACCTAGTCCAAAATGTCATTAGTGACCAGATTAGAAGCCCTCATCTAAGGTATGGAGCCGGCGGGACCCTTTTCTGTTGTCATCTGTAGAGCAGCCCATCAAGGATGCAGTGATCACCGTGCCAGTCTTCTTCAACCAGGCCGAGCGCCGAGCTGTGCTGCAGGCTGCTCGTATGGCTGGCCTCAAAGTGCTGCAGCTCATCAATGACAACACCGCCACTGCCCTCAGCTATGGTGTCTTCCGCCGGAAAGATATTAACACCACTGCCCAGGTGAGCCAGGGGAGCCTTGACCAGACATGCAGGGTGACTGAATCTAAGGATGGAGGCCACTTGGTCCCTTTTGCATCTGGTTTGCATGGCTGGGCTGACCCTTGGCAAAATGCACCAATAGCCTCCTCCCAGCCCCTGTTGGAGCTGTTTAGTTTTGTGTTAAGAGTCAGACAGCCCATTGGAAGCAGGTGGGTGGGCAGGCAGGCCCCCTGGAGTTTGAGAAGGTTCCTGTGACAGTTGCCTTGATATCTCTACAGAATATCATGTTCTATGACATGGGCTCAGGCAGCACCGTATGCACCATTGTGACCTACCAGATGGTGAAGACTAAGGAAGCTGGGATGCAGCCACAGCTGCAGATCCGGGGAGTAGGGTAAGTGGATACTTGGCAGGGAGGGCTGCTTGTGAAGACCCTCAAGTCAGGGGTTTCTTCTTGGAGGAGACACACTGCTTTGCTTTCCTGCATGCTGCAGGAATGGTCTCCTGATTGAGGCATCAGTCATTGTAGGGGACCACTCACAAAGAGTAAGGGGAAGCTGAGGCTCAGGGGAGGACAGTTTGGGAAAACTGGAAGACATGGAACTTTCAAAATGTATTCTAAGGAAATCCATGGAGCCGCAGGCAATATGTAGGGTGTCAGATTCAATCATGTTTTTGTTCTCTTGTCATTTCCAGTTAAATAATTTACCATTCTTGTTGTCTTACCTCTTTTTAAATTTTTTTTTATGGCCTGTGACATAGCCCTCAGGAGATCCTGAGAACATGTGCCCTGTTGTCTTATTTCTTGAAATCATCTTTTTCCGTCTTCACCATTACCACCCAGCCCAAGTTACCATCACCTCTTATTTGCAGAATTAAAAACATCTCCCTGTTCCTAGTGACGTCTCCTTTCAGTTCTTTCTTCATATTGCAGCCAGAGGGTTCTTCTTAAAATCCAACCTAATCATTACCTGTTTCTTTAAAAACCTGTCGCTGGCTCCATAACTTTCCCTGTGCCTGTCTCAACCCTGCCTTCTGCAGCCTGTCTGAGCCCTGAGCCCTCTCGCTTTTTGAGCCCCAGTGATGCTTGCCCTCCTCCGGAACTTGCCATGCACTCTCCCACTTCAAGGTCTTTATGAACGTTGTTGCCTCTGTCTAGAATGTTCTTTCCCCTCCAGCTAGTGAACTCTGAACTCTTCAGTTCAAGTGATGCTTGCACTGAACTCATCCTTCAGGTTTCAGTTCAAGCATCACTTTTTAGGAGACATGTTCTTGGGTCTCCCTCAGTAGCCTGAATCTCCCCCCATGCATGTTCTGCAGGCATTGTCCCCTCACCTTTACAACATGTGACGTAGTGATAATTTCACATTTGTGTGATTATTCAACTTTTCCATAGCAGGGACCCTGTCTCTCTCCCCACCGCCACATTTGTATTCCCAGAGGGAAGTACATAAGTAATGCTCAGTAAACACTGTCGAATGAATGAGTGGAAGAAGGGTCACTGCGAGGTGTCAGCTGTGCTGTAGAGAGTTGAGGGCAGAGTGTGTGTCCACACATGGGGCACTGGAGATGAACAAGGTCCCCTGAGATGAAGGAAAGGTGCCATGTGGGGATGAGAGGCTCCTGTGCAGATGCGGGGACTCCATGTGTTCTTCACTTTTTTCCCTGCTCCCTTTTCTCAACAGATTTGACCGTACCCTGGGGGGCCTGGAGATGGAGCTCCGGCTTCGAGAACGCCTGGCTGGGCTTTTCAATGAGCAGCGCAAGGGTCAGAGAGCAAAGGATGTGCGGGAGAACCCGCGTGCCATGGCCAAGCTGCTGCGTGAGGCTAATCGGCTCAAAACCGTCCTCAGTGCCAACGCTGACCACATGGCACAGGTGCCCACAAGTGGCTGGTTGAGGCTATATTTTGTCCCACGTAGAGGGTGGGGGACCCTGCCACTGAACTGGGCTGCTCGTGCCTGGCATGGCCCATGCTCCTCCCGCTACCATCCTCCCAAAGACCTATTCTTTTTGTTTCTGTCCTACTCACCAAGAGAGCGGGAGCTGGGCAAGAACCCCCTGACAGTCCCCATCCTCTCCCAGATTGAAGGCCTGATGGATGATGTGGACTTCAAGGCAAAAGTGACTCGTGTGGAATTTGAGGAGTTGTGTGCAGACTTGTTTGAGCGGGTGCCTGGGCCTGTACAGCAGGCCCTCCAGAGTGCCGAAATGAGTCTGGTGAGCGAGTAGGGGAAGGCGGGAATGCCCCGTAGGAAAGGGCATAGGAAACCCATGGGACGTCAAGGGACGAGTCAGTGCTAACTGCATGCTGTTGCACCTGTCATTCTTACCCACTGCAGGATGAGATTGAGCAGGTGATCCTGGTGGGTGGGGCCACTCGGGTCCCCAGAGTTCAGGAGGTGCTGCTGAAGGCCGTGGGCAAGTGAGTGTGGGGGCTAGAGCGCTTGGCTGAGTTCTGCCTGGGGCAGGGCTTTGGGCTGAGCAGCTGGAGGGCTGAGGGGAGGGAAGTCCCGGTTGCATGCTCCAGGGTAGACCGTGCTGAGGCTTGGGGCTTTCCCAGGGAGGAGCTGGGGAAGAACATCAATGCAGATGAAGCAGCCGCCATGGGGGCAGTGTACCAGGCAGCTGCGCTCAGCAAAGCCTTTAAAGTGAAGCCATTTGTCGTCCGAGATGCAGTGGTCTACCCCATCCTGGTGAGTGAGCCTGACTGAGCAGGTGACAAGCTCCCTTTACCTCTCCCAAGTAGGGTTTCCCCTTCTGTCTGCTCTGGCTCATCCCTTTGTCTTTCTGCTAAGAGGTCTCCCCCATCCCACCCCCATCCTTACCCCAGAACCTACTCGGGTTCTCTAGTGTGCAACAGTGTGCCTCTGTCTGCCTGCTGTGTAGGTGGAGTTCACGAGGGAGGTGGAGGAGGAGCCTGGGATTCACAGCCTGAAGCACAATAAACGGGTACTCTTCTCTCGGATGGGGCCCTACCCTCAACGCAAAGTCATCACCTTTAACCGCTACAGCCATGATTTCAACTTCCACATCAACTACGGCGACCTGGGCTTCCTGGGGCCTGAAGATCTTCGGTGAGGGGCAGGGGTGTAGGATGGGAGCTCCAGGGAGGGGGAGGCGTGGCTGCTGGATAATCTGAGGACTGGGGGTGAGGGAGGATGTGGGCCTGCGGGGCTGAAACAGGGCAGCTATGATCAGCTTCGCTGGAGAATGCATCCGTCCTCTTGAGTGTGCCCTTGGGGAGTGCCCCTGACACCTTGTGCCAGGAGGCCATGTAGTCTAGAGGGCGAGATGGGCTGGGGTGGGTCCCCCTGAACTCCTCTTTCCTTCCCAACCAGGGTATTTGGCTCCCAGAATCTGACCACAGTGAAGCTAAAAGGGGTGGGTGACAGCTTCAAGAAGTATCCTGACTACGAGTCCAAGGGCATCAAGGCTCACTTCAACCTGGATGAGAGTGGCGTGCTCAGTCTAGACAGGGTGAGAGCTAAAGGATACCCTGTGTGCAGAGCAGGGGCTCAGGCCCTGCCAGCCATTTCCAAAGTGGGTTCCACATGGCATTAGGATAAGATAACCAAAAAAGGTTTAGGAATCAGAAAAATGTTGGCTCTGAACAGAGCTAACTGATGATCTGGTGCAGACCTCCTTATAGCCTATAAATGCTTATAGGCATTGTAAATTTCTTGGAACTATTGAATGGTTTGATATAGGCATTGTAAATTTCTTGGAACAATTGAATGGTTTGAAGAATCCACTCTTTTTTTTTTTTTTTTTTTTTTTTTTTTTTTTTTTTTGGAGAGGGTCTTGGCTCTGTTACTTAAGCTGGAATATAATGGCATGGTCATAGCGCATTCCAGCCTTGAACACTTGGGCTTAAATGATCCTCCCATCTCAGCCTCTTGAGTAGCTGGGACGATACGTATGTGCCACCATATCCTGCGAAATTTTTTTGTACTTTATTTATAGAGATAGGGTCTCACTATGTTGCCAGACTGGTCTCTAACTCCTGGGATCAAGCGATCATCCTGCCTCAACCTCCCAAAGTACAGGGATTATGGGTGGGAGCCACGCAGCCTCAGGAATCCACTTATTATTATTATTACTTTTTTTGAGACAGAGTCTTGCTCTGTTGTCCAGGCTGGAGTACAGTGACGTGATCTTGCAACCTCCGCCTCCCGGGTTCAAGTGACTCTCCTGTCTCAGCCTCCTGAGTAGCTGGGATTACAGGCGCCTGCCACCACACCTGGCTAATTTTTGTTATTTGGAGTAGAGATAGGGTTTCACCATGTTGGCCAGTCTGGTCTCAAACCCCTGACCTCAAGTGATCCACCTGCCTTGGCCTCCCAAAGTGTTGAGATTACAGGCATAAGCCACTGCACTCGGCCAGGAATCCGTTTTTGAAGAACAAATCTGGGGGTAATATGGATGTAATAGCCAATACAGTTATTGAGTGGAGAAGTAGGGGGCTCTTTGGAGAAAGAGGAGCTGGGACCCTATTCATGGAGGGCTCTTAATCAAAGGAGATGGGCAGCCACCTCCAAGTCCTTAGAAAAGGCAGGTGAGAGACTAGGCCTGTGACGGCATGGAGTGTGCATAAGCAAACACCCACTTTGGCAGATGTTTGTGGAGAAAAGGTGGATTAGCCTGTGTATTTTTTCATTTTGAACCTGTTTTCAGGTGGAGTCTGTATTTGAGACACTGGTAGAGGACAGCGCAGAAGAGGAATCTACTCTCACCAGTAAGATGAGCATGCATGTGTGTATGGGAGAGAATATACTTGTGTGAAGGTTGGGGAGGTGGACAGGGCATGGCCCTTGGGTTAGAAGGTGGAGTCACTGCTGTGGTCTCCTTTTGAGTCTTTGGGTTTTACTCCCCCTAGAACTTGGCAACACCATTTCCAGCCTGTTTGGAGGCGGTACCACACCAGATGCCAAGGAGAATGGTACTGATACTGTCCAGGTGAGTTCAGGATGGAGCCAGGGAAGCATGGAGGACGGTGGGGGATGCAGGTAGTAGCCGCAGAGGAAGGGGGTGAGGGTAGGCCACCCCTGCCCCTGTTGTGTTAACCATTCACTCCCCAGGATCCTCTGGGCTCTGAGCTGTTTCTTGACTGGTGCTCCCAAGGCCCATTCCCCTCATTGCAGATGCTCTTCCTTTGTCCAGCTAGATTGCCACAGTCCAAGCAGGCCATTGACCGTTTCCATACAGCAGTCACCTGTATGGAACCCCCATGGGGTCGGCGGTGCCGAGCCAGGCCTGCCTGGAGGCTCTGCTCCTGATCGTTCCCTGGGGCGCCTGTGGTGTTTCCCAGGAGGAAGAGGAGAGCCCTGCAGAGGGGAGCAAGGACGAGCCTGGGGAGCAGGTGGAGCTCAAGGAGGAAGCTGAGGCCCCAGTGGAGGATGGCTCTCAGCCCCCACCCCCTGAACCTAAGGGAGATGCAACCCCTGAGGGAGAAAAGGCCACAGAAAAAGAAAATGGGGACAAGTCTGAGGCCCAGGTGAGCTGTGGCAGAGGAAGGCCAGTGTGGATCCAGAGGCTAAGGGAGCAGGCGCCTGCCTTGTTTCTGGCCTTGTGGAGAATGTAGGAGGGCAGAGGCTTTTCCTGACACCCCTGACTCTTCCCACCCAGAAACCAAGTGAGAAGGCAGAGGCAGGGCCTGAGGGCGTCGCTCCAGCCCCAGAGGGAGAGAAGAAGCAGAAGCCCGCCAGGAAGCGGCGAATGGTAGAGGAGATCGGGGTGGAGCTGGTTGTTCTGGACCTGCCTGACTTGCCAGAGGATAAGCTGGCTCAGTCGGTGCAGAAGTAAGTGAGGACAGCTGGTGTGTGTGTGTACATGTGTGTGCAAGGTGGGCAGGATGTGGGATGGCGCCCTGGGAGGGAGGGCTGTCGGACCCAGAGTCTCAAGTTCTCACTTGCCCTCTCCCTCATCCCTACCCCTCCTTTGTCCCATAGACTTCAGGACTTGACACTCCGAGACCTGGAGAAGCAGGAACGGGAAAAAGCTGCCAACAGCTTGGAAGCATTCATATTTGAGACCCAGGTCAGTGGGCAGGAGGCAGCAGCCCCCCCACTGGGCTTACACCTGGCTCTGTGGGCCTTGCCTCTGGGCTTGTGGGTGCATGTGTTTACATGTCCCCCTCCCCAGGACAAGCTGTACCAGCCCGAGTACCAGGAAGTGTCCACAGAGGAGCAGCGTGAGGAGATCTCTGGGAAGCTCAGCGCCGCATCCACCTGGCTGGAGGATGAGGGTGTTGGAGCCACCACAGTGGTGAGGGGCCTCTCAGGACATGGCAGGTGGAGTGGGAGCTCTCCTTCCTCTCCCAGGGTCAGAGAGAGAGAAGAGCTGGGGCTTGAGCCCATAAAGAAGGACATGGGGCTGACTCCAGGCTCTGCTGTCGTCCCTTCCACCCCTCTGCCCAATCGCACATCCATCAGATGTTGAAGGAGAAGCTGGCTGAGCTGAGGAAGCTGTGCCAAGGGCTGTTTTTTCGGGTAGAGGAGCGCAAGAAGTGGCCCGAACGGCTGTCTGCCCTCGATAATCTCCTCAACCATTCCAGCATGTTCCTCAAGTGAGCAGCCCCTGAACCCTTTTTGCAGTCCTGCCAAGGCCACTGGTTTTCATTCCTACCAGCTTCCCACTCCCCACACTCCAGGCCCCTCTCCCTCTGGGGCTAATGGTCTCCTTTCTGGCTTCCAGGGGGGCCCGGCTCATCCCAGAGATGGACCAGATCTTCACTGAGGTGGAGATGACAACGTTAGAGAAAGTCATCAATGAGACCTGGGTAATCACTTCGTAAATACTTAACCAGATACTTAGCTGCCATCCTAGGTACTGTGGGAGAGGTGGAGAGATGAAGCCACAGCAGCCCCTGCCTCCTGGCTTAGCATCTAACCTGAAGACAAAAGATGTTTGTATTTGAGCCCACCTCTGATTAGTCCCAAGCAAGGGCCATGGCCATAAGAGTCATCAGCCTGGAGGAGCAAAAAAGCCCATCCCATGAGGACAGAGAAAGCTGCTTTGAGGGGCTGGGATTTGAGCTAGGTTCAGAACATGGGCCAGGGTTTGGCTAGGTGAAACTGATGTGTCATGTGAAGCAGAAACTGTTTTGGATGTGTGGGGACTCTTGAGCCAGAGCTCAGTAAAGTGGAGAGTCAAGAAATGAGTATTCAGCTGGGCGCGGTGGCTCACGCCTGTAATCCCAGCACTTAAGGAGGCTGAGGTGGGCGAATCACCAGGTCAAGAGATTGAGACCATCCTGGTCAACATGGTGAAACCCCGTCTCTACTAAATATACAGAAATTAGCTGGGCGTGGTCGCCTGTAGTCCTAGCTACTCAGGAGGCTGAGGCAGGAGAATCTTTTGAACCCAGGAGTCGGAGGTTGCAGTGAGTCGAGATCGCGCCACTGCACTCCAGCCTGGCAACAGAGCGAGACTCCGTCTCAAAAAAAAAAAAGGACTATTCAAGGGGTTTGTTCAGTTGTAGTCACTCCAGAGTAGTAGGATGTAAACCAGAAACCTGCAGGTTGGGACTTCATTGTGGAGAACCTTTAATACCCTTCTGAGGAGTCTGTTAGCCTCTTGGGGCTGAGGCCAGGGGTGGCAGTGATTTGCAGTCTGAGGGAAGAGGCTGGTTGGGGGTGTGATTCCATCTGGGACAGAGATGTCTGCTCTCTCCATGGCTAGCTTGGAGCCTCTCCTGGTCTCACCCACAGGCCTGGAAGAATGCAACTCTGGCCGAGCAGGCTAAGCTGCCCGCCACAGAGAAGCCTGTGTTGCTCTCAAAAGACATTGAAGCTAAGATGATGGCCCTGGACCGAGAGGTGCAGTATCTGCTCAATAAGGCCAAGTTTACCAAGCCCCGGCCCCGGCCTAAGGACAAGAATGGGACCCGGGCAGAGCCACCCCTCAATGCCAGTGCCAGTGACCAGGGGGAGAAGGTCATCCCTCCAGCAGGTGAGAACAGGGTACCTGGCTGCATGTTCTGCTGGACAGGGAGACAGCCTCCTTTCCTTCCTGAGGCTATGTCTTACCCCTGGTTTCCTTCTAGGCCAGACTGAAGATGCAGAGCCCATTTCAGAACCTGAGAAAGTAGAGACTGGTGAGTTGGAGCAACCATGGTTGAGCACGTGGATGTTGCATTAGCCCAGGGGTAGGCAAACTGGCAGGCACAGCCTGTTTCTAGACAGCCCATGAGCTTGAATGGCCTTTGCGTTTTTAAAGGGTTGTTTAAAAAAAAAAAAAAAAAAAAAGGCCAGGCACGGTGGCTCACGCCTGTAATCCCAGCAGTTTGGAAGGCTGAGGCGGGTAGATCACCTGAGGTCAGGAGTTCGAGACCAGCCTGGCCAACATGGTGAAACCCCATCTTTACTAAAAAAATACCAAAAAAAAGAGTCAGGCGTGGTGGCGCACACCTTTAATCCCAGCTACTCAGGAGGCTGAGGCAGGAGAACACTTGAACCTGGGAGGCAGAGGTTGCAGTAAGCCAAGATGGCGCCACTGCACTCTGCACTCCAGCCTGGGCAACAGAGACTCTGTCTCAAAAAACAGAGTAGGCAAAGAGACCAAATGTGGTACATGCATCCTAAAATATTTACTAGCTGGCTCTTCATGGAAAAACTGGCCCAGCCTTCCCTTAGCCTCTTCCTCCCTTCTGAGGAGACTAACCTGTTTCTTCCCAAAGCAGGATCCGAGCCAGGAGACACTGAGCCTTTGGAGTTAGGAGGTCCTGGAGCAGGTGAGGATGGAGCCGGGGCTACGGTGGGAAGCCTGGTGGGGTCTCAGGAAATCCTTTGCAAAGAACTGGGGTTGGTTCCTCTGTTTCACCTGCGGTGATTCCTTTGCTCCCCCAAACTCCCAACAGAACCTGAACAGAAAGAACAATCGACAGGACAGAAGCGGCCTTTGAAGAACGACGAACTATAACCCCCACCTCTGTTTTCCCCATTCATCTCCACCCCCTTCCCCCACCACTTCTATTTATTTAACATCGAGGGTTGGGGGAGGGGTTGGTCCTGCCCTCGGCTGGAGTTCCTTTCTCACCCCTGTGATTTGGAGGTGTGGAGAAGGGGAAGGGAGGGACAGCTCACTGGTTCCTTCTGCAGTACCTCTGTGGTTAAAAATGGAAACTGTTCTCCTCCCCAGCCCCACTCCCTGTTCCCTACCCATATAGGCCCTAAATTTGGGAAAAATCACTATTAATTTCTGAATCCTTTGCCTGTGGGTAGGAAGAGAATGGCTGCCAGTGGCTGATGGGTCCCGGTGATGGGAAGGGTATCAGGTTGCTGGGGAGTTTCCACTCTTCTCTGGTGATTGTTCCTTCCCTCCCTTCCTCTCCCACCATGCGATGAGCATCCTTTCAGGCCAGTGTCTGCAGAGCCTCAGTTACCAGGTTTGGTTTCTGAGTGCCTATCTGTGCTCTTTCCTCCCTCTGCGGGCTTCTCTTGCTCTGAGCCTCCCTTCCCCATTCCCATCCAGCTCCTTTCCCCCTGGGTTTCCTTGGCTTCCTGCAGCAAATTGGGCAGTTCTCTGCCCCTTGCCTAAAAGCCTGTACCTCTGGATTGGCGGAAGTAAATCTGGAAGGATTCTCACTCGTATTTCCCACCCCTAGTGGCCAGAGGAGGGAGGGGCACAGTGAAGAAGGGAGCCCACCACCTCTCCGAAGAGGAAAGCCACGTAGAGTGGTTGGCATGGGGTGCCAGCATCGTGCAAGCTCTGTCATAATCTGCATCTTCCCAGCAGCCTGGTACCCCAGGTTCCTGTAACTCCCTGCCTCCTCCTCTCTTCTGCTGTTCTGCTCCTCCCAGACAGAGCCTTTCCCTCACCCCCTGACCCCCTGGGCTGACCAAAATGTGCTTTCTACTGTGAGTCCCTATCCCAAGATCCTGGGGAAAGGAGAGACCATGGTGTGAATGTAGAGATGCCACCTCCCTCTCTCTGAGGCAGGCCTGTGGATGAAGGAGGAGGGTCAGGGCTGGCCTTCCTCTGTGCATCACTCTGCTAGGTTGGGGGCCCCCGACCCACCATACCTACGCCTAGGGAGCCCGTCCTCCAGTATTCCGTCTGTAGCAGGAGCTAGGGCTGCTGCCTCAGCTCCAAGACAAGAATGAACCTGGCTGTGTCAGTCATTTTGTCTTTTCCTTTTTTTTTTTTTTTTGCCACATTGGCAGAGATGGGACCTAAGGGTCCCACCCCTCACCCCACCCCCACCTCTTCTGTATGTTTGAATTCTTTCAGTAGCTGTTGATGCTGGTTGGACAGGTTTGAGTCAAATTGTACTTTGCTCCATTGTTAATTGAGAAACTGTTTCAATAAAATATTCTTTTCTACAGTTTTTGTGCTGTGAGTTTTTAAAAATAGAAAAATTTTGGGCCAGGCATGGTGGCTCATACCTGTCATCTTAACATTTTGGGAGGCCAAGATGGGAGGATAGCTTGAGGTCGGACCAGCCTGGGCAACAGCAAGACTCTGTCTCAAAAAAAAAAAAAAAAAGTATCTGAGTGTGGGGATGTGTGCCTGTAGACCCAGCTACTTGGGAGACTGAGGCTGGAGGGTGGGTCCCTTGGGCCCAGGACTTCGAGGCTTCAGTGAGCTATGATCGTGCCACTGCACTCCAGCATGTGTGACAGTGAAAACCTCAAAAAGTTTGAATAATTACATCATCAAAATGTTATTGACACTTTGGACTTAGTTGAGATTTGTATATGTATTTTTTTCAAGGAAACAAAATACTGGTTTTATTTTACTGCTAACATTATTTGGACTCCTATATCCCAGGCATTTTTAAGTAACGTACTTTTTTTTTTTTTTTTTCTTTGAGACTGGGTCCTGCTCTGTTGCCCAGGCTGGAGTATAGTAATGCGATCCAGGCTCACTGCAACCTCCGCCTCCCGGGTTCAAGTGATTCTACTGCCCCAGCCTCCTGAGTAGCTGGGATTACAGGCACCTGCCACCATACCCAGCTAAATTTTTTTTGTATTTTAGTAGAGACGGGGTTTCACCATGTTGGCTAAGCTGGTCTGGAACTGACCTGAAGCGATCCACCTGCCTTGGGCTCCCAAAGTGCTGGGTTTACAGGCCTGAGCCACTGGGCCCAGCTGGTAACATTAATTTTTAAAATAGCAACCTCATTGTACAAATAAGATACCAGTTCATAGAGATTTAGCAAGTAATTGGTCCAAGGAATGAATCAATGTTGAGTGCTTCAGCTAGGTTTGAGCTTAATTCTGACCATTCGCCCTTGTTCTTCGTACTTAGCCGTGGGAATGTGTTGGTAGAGACCATTTGTAGCAGTTTCGGTTCATCAGTTTGGGATGCAGCATGCCTAGCCCAAATTTTCTATTACCAAGGGAGGATCCCTCTTGTCACTAATCATGTACATATCTAAGCAGTTGTATACGGTATACAGGGTGTTGCTCTGTCACCCAGGCTGGAGTGCAATGGTGCCATCTTGGCCCACTGCAGCCGCGACCTCCCAGGCTCAAGCAATCCTCCCACCTCAGCCCTGTAGCAGGGACTACCTGGCTAATTTTTGTATTTTCTGGTCGAGACGGGGTTTCACTATGTTGCTCAGGCTGGTCTTGAACTCCTGGACTCAAATGATCTGCTTGCCTTGGCCTCCCAAAGTGCTGGGATTACAGGTATGAGCCACTGAGCTTGGCCCCGTTGTATTTACATTTAATAACCATGAAGGCCCAGCCGGGTGTAGTAGCTCACGCCTGTAGTCCTAGCACTTTGGGAGGCCAAGGCAGGCGGATCATGAGGTCAGGAGATCCGAGACCATCCTGGCTAACACAGTGAAACTCCGTCTCTACTAAAAATACAAAAAATCAGCCGGACATGGTGGCACCCGCCTGTAGTCCCAGCTACTCAGGAGGCTGAGACAGGAAAATCAATTGAACCCGGGAGGATGAGGTTGCAGTGAGCTGAGATCGTGCCACTGCACTCCAGCCTGGGCGACAGCTAGACTCTGTCACACACAAAAAAAATAACCACGAAGGGTTGTCTTTTTTCTCTAAAAGTTGAACAAGTCAGATAAGTTTTGAATGTGGAAGTTTTGGGTTTTTGTTTTTTTTTTTTTGGATGACTTTTAGACAGTTTCAGATTCACAGCAGAATTGAGCAGGAGGTACAGAGTTGCCATATACCTCCTGTCCCCACATACTCAATCTCCCCCAGAGTGGTACATTTGTTACAATCACCCAAAGTTCTGTATGACACCATAATGGTGGGTACATATACATTTGTCAAAACCTATAGAATGTGCAACACCAAGACAACTGAAAGTGTAGACTTTGGGCAAATATGATGAGTCAGTGTAGGTTCCTCAGATGTAACACCTGTAGACCTCTGGTGTGAAGTGTTTATTATGGGGGAAGCTGTGAGTGTATGGAGGAAGGGAATATACGGGAACTCTGTATTTTCCCCTCAATTTTGCTGTGAACCTAAAAGTGCTCTAAAAAAAAAAGGCGAAGCTAAGTGCAGTGACTCATGGCTGTAATACCAGTGTTTGGGGAGGCAGGAGTGGAAGGATCGCTTGAGGCCAGGAGTTTGAGACAACATAGCCAGACCTCATCTCTACAAAAAATAGTAGTCCTAGCTACTCAGGAGGCAGAGGCAGGAGGATCACTTGAAACTAGGAGTTCAAAGCTGCAGTAGATTATGATCGCACCACTGCACTGCAGCCTGGGAGGGAGAGACCCCGACTCAAAAAAAAAAAAAAAAGGCCCGGCGCGCCTTGCCTCAAGCCTGTAATCCCAACACTTTGGGCGGCCGAGGCAGGCGGATCACCTGAAGTCAACAGTTTGAGACCAGCCTGGGCGACAAGAGCGAAACTCTGTCTCAAAAAAAAAAAGGGTGGGGAGGTGGGGGGCAGGCACGGTGGCTCGGGCTAGTAATCCCAGCACCTTGGGAGGCTGAGGCAGGCAGATCACAAGGTCAGAAGTTTGAGACTAGCCTGGCTAACACAGTGAAACCCTGTCTGTACTAAAAATACAAAAATTAGCTTGGCGTGGTGGTGGGCACCTGTAATCCCAGCTACTCAGGAGGCCGAGGAAGGAGAATCACTTGAACCCAGGAGACAGAGGTTGCAGTGCGCCAAGACTGGGCCACGGCACTCCAACCTGGCAACAGAGCAAGACTCCGTCTCAAAAAAAAAAAAAAAAAAAAAAAAAAATCGGGACTAGATGGCTTCACTGGTGAATTCTACCAAATATTTTTAAAATATTTATTTTGGCCAGGGATGGTGGCTCACATCTGTAATCCTAGCACTTTGGGAAGCCGAGGTGAGTGGATTGCCTGAGCTCTGAAGTTTGAGACCACCCTGGGCAACATGGCGAAACACCATGTCTACTAAAATACAAAAAATTAGCCGGGTGTGGTGGTGTGTGCCCGTAGTCCCAGCTACTTAGGAGGCTGAGGCTTGAGAATTACTTGAACCCAGGAGGCAGAAGTTGCAGTGAGCTGAGGTCATGCCACTGCACTCCAGCCTGGGCAACAGAGCGAGACTCTGCCTCAAAAATAAAAATAAAAAATAGCCAGGCCCGGCCGGGCGCAGTGGCTCACACCTGTAATCCCAGCACTTTGGGAGGCCGAGGCGGGCGGATCACCTGAAGTCAGCAGTTCGAGACCAGCCTGGCCAACATGGTGAAACCCAGTCTCTACTAAAAAATACAAAAATTAGCCGGGCTTGGTGGCAGGCGATTTAATCCCAGCTATTTGGGAAGCAGAGGCAGGAGAATCATTTGAACCTGGGAGGCAGAGGTTGCAGTGAGTGGAGATCAAGCCATTGCACTCAAACCTGGGGGATAAGAGCAAGACTTCTCTCAAAAAAAACAAATAGCCAGGCCCAGTGGCTCACGCCTGTAATCCCAGTCAGGATACCTCAGGTCAAGACCAGCCTGGCCAACATGGCAAAACCCCATTTCTACTAAAAATACAAAAAATAGCTGGGCGTAGTGGGGCTGGGCGCAGTGGCTCATGCCTGAAATCCTAGCACTTTGGGAGGCCGAGGCAGGCAGATCACCAGGTCAGGAGATCGAGACCATCCTGTCTAACACGGTGAAACCCCATCTCTACTAAAAATACAAAAAAATTAGCCGGGCATGGTGGCAGGTGCCTGTAGTCCCAGCTACTTGGGAAGGTGAGGCAGGAGAATGGCATGAACTCGGGAGGCGGAGCTTGCAGCAAGCGGAGATCACTCACTGCACTCCAGCCTGGGTGACAGAGCAAGACTCCATCTCAAAAAAAAAAAAAAAATCCTCCTGCCTGTGCCTCCCAGTGTTGGGATTACAAGCATGAGCCATCCTGTTCAGCCAGGGGCTAATTTTGAAACAAGCCAGGAATAAAGACCCAGCTACCTGTGGGGAAAAGAAAGAGAGATCAGATTGGTAATGTGTCTGTATAGAAAGTAGACATAAGAGACTCCATTTTAATCTGTAACCCCACCCCCAACCCTGTGCTCCCTGAGACATGTGCTGTGTCAACTCAGGGTTAAATGGATTAAGGGCTGTGCAAGATGTGCTTTGCTAAACAAATGCTTGAAGGAATCTCAAGTACCCAGGGACACAAAACACTGCGGAAGGCCGCAGGGACCCCTGCCTAGGAAAGCCAGGTACTGTCCAAGGTTTCTCCCCATGTGATAGCCTGAGATATGGCCTCGTGGGAAGGGAAAGACCTGACCGTCCCCCAGCCCGACACCCGTAAAGGGTCTGTGCTGAGGAGGATTAGTAAAAGAGGAAGGAACGCCTCGTTGCAGTTGAGACAAGAGGAAGGCATCTGTCTCCTGCTCGTCCCTGGGCAATGGAATGTCTCGATGTAAAACCCGATTGTATATTCCATCTACTGAGATAGGGGGAAACTGCCTTAGGGCTGCAGGTGGGACATGCGGGCAGCAATACTGCTCTGTAAGGCATTGAGATGTTTATGTGTATACATATCTAAAGCACAGCACTTAATTCTTTACCTTGTTTATGATGCAGAGAACTTTGTTCACGTGTTTACCTGCTGACCTTCTCTCCACTATTATCTTATGATCCTGCCACATCCCCCTCTCCGAGAAACACCCAATAATGATCAATAAATACTAAGGGAACTCAGAGGCCGGCGGGATCCTCCATATGCTGAGCGCCGGTCCCCTGGTCCCCCGATTTCTTTCTCTGTACTTTGTCTGTGTCTCTTTCTTTTCCAAGTCTCTCGTTCCACCTAACAAGGAACACCCACAGGTGTGGAGGAGCAACCCACCCCTTCAGCTACCGAATCCTCCTGTTTAGGGGGAGTCACGACCAATTAATCCAAAACCACCAGGTAGAAGTCAAGATGATGCCAACTGGGCTTCCAGACAAGAAATTACTCAAGAGAGCTATCGGAACAAGACACATAGATACCCTCCTGTACCACTCCCATATGTTTCCCATGCCAAGTTTTTCTTATGAAATCTCTTCACTGAGCCCAAAAAGCTGGAACAGTCTTTTAAAGGCATGAGTCTGGCCATATCTCAACTGTTAGCATTTGATTAATAAAACTGCTCTCTGTAGGCCGGGGGCAGTGGTTCACATCTGTAATCCCAGCACTTTCGGAGGCCAAAGTGGGTGGATCACTTGAGGCCAGGAGTTTGAGACCAGCCTGGCCAACATGGCAAAACTCTGTCTCTACTAAAAATACACAAATTGGCTGGGCGCAGTAGCTCACACCTGTAATCCCAACACTTTGGGAGGCCGAGGCGGGCGGATTACCTGAGGTCAGGAGTTCAAGACCAGTCTGGCCAATATGGTGAAACCCCATCTCTACTAAAAATACAAAAATTAGCCGGGTGTGGTGGCACACGCCTGTAATCCCAGCTACATGGGAGGCTGAGGCAAGAGAATCACTTGAACCCAGGAGGAGGAGGTTGCAGTGAGCCAAGATCTCGCCACTGCACTCCAGCCTGGCAACAGAGCCAGACTCTGTCTCAAAATAAATAAATAAATAAATAAATAAATAAATAAATAAATAAATGAAAAGAAAAAAGAAAAAAAAAGAAAACTAGTGTTGATGAGGCTGTAGAGGAATTAAAACTCTCACATGGCTGGGCGTGGTTGCTCACGCCTGTAATCCCAGCACTATGGGAGGCTGAGGCGAGAGGATTACTTGAGCCCAAGAGCTCGAGACCAGTCTGGGCAACAATAGTGAGACCCCCATCTCTACAAAAAATAAAAATAAAAAATTAGCCAAGCATGGCAGCTGGGATTATTCTGGTGGTTACTCTTTAATGATTAAGACCTATTCTTATGTTTATTTTTCTGTCAATTCCTTAAGCTTTCAAAATTTATATTATCCCCCTTTACCAAGTAAATTCCTCAGTGTTAATTTATCAAGTTACCTCTCCCATGTTGATACCATCTCTAATTTTCTTTTTTTTTTTTTTTTGAGACGGAGTTTCGCTCTTGTTGCCCAGGCTGGAGTGCAATGGTGTGATCTTGGCTCACCGCAACCTCCGCCTCCCAGGTTCAAGCAATTCTCCTACCTCAGCCTCCCGAGTAGCTGGGATTACAGGCATGCACCAGCATACCTGGCTAATTTTGTATTTTTAGTAGAGACGGGGTTTCACTGTGTTAGCCAGGATGGTCTCGATCTCCTGACCTCGTGATCCACCCACTTCGGCCTTCCAAAGTGCTAGGATTACAGGCGTGAGCCTCCGCGCCCGGCCTAATTTTCTTTCTTTTCTTTTTTTTTTTTTTTGAGACGGAGTCTCACTCTGTCGTCCAGGCTTTAGTGCAGTGGCGCGATCTTGGCTCACTGCAAGCTCCGCCTCCCAGGTTCATGCCATTCTTCTGCCTCAGCCTCCCGAGTAGCTGGGATTACAGGTGCCTGCCACCAAGCCCGGCTAATTTTTTTTTTTTTGTATTTTTAGTAGAGACGGGGTTTCACCGTGTTAGCCAGGATGTTCTCGATCTCCTGACCTCGTGATCCACCTGCCTCAGCCTCCCAAAGTGCTGGGATTACAGGCGTGAGCCACCACGCCTAGCAGTTTTATTTTCTTAAATGACATTTTCTTTTTTCTTTTCTTTCTTTTTTTTTTTTTTTTGAGATGAAGTCTCGCTCTTGTCCCCCAGGCTGGAGTGCAATGCTGCGATCTCGGCTTACTGCAACCTCCGCCTCCCAGGTCCAAGCGATTCTCCTGCCTCAGCCCCCAAGTAGCTGGGATTACAGGCACCTGCCACCACACTCGGCTAATTTTTGTATTTTTAGTAGAAATGAGGTTTCACCGTGTTGGCTGGGCTGATCTCAAACTCCTGACGTCAGGTGATCTGCCTGCCTTGGCCTCCCAAAGTGCTGGGATTACAGGCGTGAGCCACTACGCCCAGCCTCTTTATTTATTTATTTATTTTTTTGAGACGGAGTCTCTCTCTGTCGCCCAGGCTGGAGTGCAGTGGTGCAATCTCAGCTCACTGCAACTTCCACCTCCTGAGTTTGAGTGATTCCCCTGCCTCAGCCTCCTAAGTAGCTAGGACTACAGGCATGTGCCATCACGCTCAACTAATTTTTGTAATTTTAGTAGAGACAGAGTTTCACCATGTTGGTCAGGCTGGTCTTGAACTCCTGACCTCAGGTGATCTGCCCTCCTCAGCCTCCCAAAGTGCTGGAATTACAGGCGTGAACCACTGTGCCAGGTCTTAAATGGCATTTTTAAATCTATCTGGGATTTATTTTGTGTGGAGTGTGCAATAGAGATCTAAGTTGATTTTTTCTAAATACCTAGAACAATTTATTCATTTATCTATTTATTATTTATTTATTTTGAGGCAGGGTCTCACTCTGTCACCCAGGAGGGAGTGCAGTGGCGTGATCACAGCTCATTGCAGCCTCAACCTTTTCGGCTCAAGCAATTCTCCTGCCTTGGCCTTCCAAAGTGTTTCAATTACAGGCATGAGCCACTGTGCCTGGCATTATTTATTAGTTAATCCACTCCACTCTATTGATTTGGGATGGCTTCCTTTTTTTTTTTTTTTTTTTTTACTTTTTTGGAGACAAGGTCTCACTCGGTTGCCCAGGCAGGAGTGCAGTAGCACAATCACTGCTCAGTGCAACCTTGACCACCCAGACTTAAGCAATCCTCCCACCTCAGCCTCCTGAGTAGCTGGGACTATCAGCATGAGCCACCATGCCTGGTTAATTAAAAAAAAAATTATTTATTTATTTTAAATTTTGAGACGGAGTCTTGCTCTGTCACCCAGGCTCAAGTGCAGTGGCATGATCTCAGCTCACTGCAACCCCCGCCTCCCTGGTTCAAGTGATTCTCCTGCCTCAGCCTCCCTAGTAGCTGGAATTACAGGTGTGTGCCACCATGCCCGCCTAATTTTTGTGTTTTTTTTTTTGAGACTGAGTCTCACCCTGTTGCCCAGGCTGGAGTGCAATGGTGCCATCTTGGCTCACTGCAACCTCTGCCTTTCAGGTTCAAGCGATTCTCCTCCCTCAGCCTCCTGAATAGCTGTGATTACAGGTGCACGCCTCCACGCCTGGCTAATTTTTGTATTTTTAGTAGACGGGGTTTCACCATGTTGGCCAGGCTGGTCTGGAACTCCTGACCTCGTGATCCACCCACCTCGGCCTCCCAAAGTGCTGGGATTATAAGCGTGAGCCACTGCACCCGTCCAGGAGTGTCATTTTTTTTAATTAAAAAAAATTTTTCTTTTGAAACACGGTCTTGCTTTCACCCAGGCTAGAGTACAGTAGTGCGATCATAGCTTACTGCAGCCTTGACCTTCCTGCCTCAAGCAATCCTGCCACCTCAGTCTCCCAATTAGCTGGGACCACAGGTACATGCCACCACACCTGGCTAATTTTTACTTTTATTTATTTATTTATTATTTTGAGATGGAGTCTCGCTCTGTGGCCCAGGCTGGAGTGCAGTGGCGCGATCTTGGCTCACTGCAACCTCCGCCTCCCGGGTTCATTCGATTCTCCTGCCTCAGCCTCAGGAGTATCTGGGATTAAAGGCACATGCCACCACGCCCAGCTAATTTTGGTATTTTTAGTAGAGACTGGGTTTCATCATGTTGGCCAGGCTGGTCTCGAACTCCTGACCTCAGGTGATCTGCCTGCCTCAGCCTTCCAAAGTGCTGGCATTACAGGCATGAGCCACTGCACCCGACCCTGGCTAATTTTTTATATTTTTGTAGAGATGGCGGGGGGTTCTCCCTATGTTGCCCAGGCTGGTCTTGAACTCCTGGACTCAATCAACCCTCTCACCTCAGCCTTCCAAAGTGGTTGAATTACAGCATAAGCCACTGCACCTGTGCAGGATGTCCCTTTTATCATAGTTAAAATCATACATGAGATAAAAAATTTTTTTGAAACAAGGTCTTTCTTGTAGCCTAGGCTGGAGTGCAGTGCTACAATCATAGCTCACTGAGGCCTTGAACTCCTAGGCTCAAGGTCTCTTCCCGTCTAAGCCCCTGAGTAGATAGGACTAGAGGCACATGCCACCACACCTGGCTAATTTCTAAATTTTTTGTAGCAATGGGGTCTCACTACGTTGCCCAGGCTGGTCTCAAACTCCTGACCTCAAGCCATCCTTCCAAAGTGTTGGGATTGTAAGCATGAGCCACTGGGCCCAACCTCGGATGATATTTAAAATAATGTTGTCCATTCATTTCTATGGCTTCTGAAAAAAAAATAAAAACTTTGTCCAGTTTCCAACAAATTCTGTTGGGATATAGATTGGGATGGTTTTAAAATGCCAAATGAATTTTGAATGGATTGACATTTGGACAGTATCAAAGTCATAGCTTGTTTTTCAGGCATGTAGTATGATTTACGTTTGTTCAAATTACCTTTTATTATCCCTTAGTAAAGTCTTTGTACTGTATTGGGATGTCATCTTCTCATTTCTTTTTCTTTTCTTTCTTTCTTTCTTTTTTTTTTTTTTTGAGACGGAGTCTCACTCTGTCACCTAGGCTGGAGTGCAATGGCGCCATCTCAGCTCACTGCAACTTCTGCCTCCCAGGTTCAAGTGATTCTCCTGCCTCAGCCTCCTGATTAGCTGGGATTACAGGTGTACACCACCACACCCGGCTAATTTTTGTATTTTTAGTAGAGACAGGGTTTCACCATGTTGGTCAGGCTGGTCTCGAACTCCTGACCTCATGATCCGCGCGCCTCAGCCTCGCAAAGTGCTGGGATTACGGGAGTAAGCCACCATGCCCGGCCTATCTTCTCATTTCTTAACATTCTTTGGAAATACAGTGAGCAAACTAGCATTTGAGTCCCTACTATCCTGATCATAAAGTGCTTTAAAATGTTTTTCCATTTAATTCCCACTGACTGGGTGCGATGGATCATGCTTGTAATCGCCGCACTTTGGGAGCCTGAGGCAGGTGGATAACCTAAACTCAGGAGTTTGAGACTAGCCTGGCCAACATGGCGAAACCCCCTCTGTACGCCGGGTGCGGTGGCTCACGCTTGTAATCTAGCACTTTGGGAGGCCGAGGCGGGTGGATCACGAGGTCAGGATCGAGACCATCCTGGCTAACACAGTGAAACCCCGTCTCTACTAAAAATACAAAAAATTAGCTGACCGTGGTGGCGGGTGTCTGTAGTCCCAGCTACTCGGGAGGCTGAGGCAGGAGAATGGCATGAACCTGGGAGGCGGAGCTTGCAGTGAGCCCAGATGGTGCCACTGCACTCCAGCCTGGGCGAGAGAGCGAGACTCTGTCTCAAAAAAAAAAAAAAAAAAAAGAAAGAAAAAGAAAAAAAGAAAGAAAGAAACCCTGTCTGTACTAAAAATACAAAAATTAGCCAGGCGTGTTTGCGGGCACCTATAATACCAACTACTCAGGAAGCTGAGGCAGAAGAATCGCTTGAACCCAGGTGGCCTGGTCCTGTAGTCTTAGCTACTTGGGAGGATCGCTCAATGCTCAGGAATTTGAGGTTAGAGTGAGCTAAGATACCATTGCACTCCAGCCTGGGCAACAGAGCAAGCCTGTCTCAAAAACAAACAAACAAACAAACAAACAAACAAAAAAAACAGACCGGGCGCAGTGGCTCACGCCTGTAATCCTAGCACTTTGGGAGACCGAGGTGGGCGGATTACCTGAGGTCAGGAGTTCGAGACCAGCCTGGCCAATAGGGTGAAACCCTGTCTCTACTAAAAATACAAAAATTAGCTGGGCGTGGTGGCACATGCTTGTAATCCCAGCTACTCAGGAGGCTCAGGCAGGAGAATGGCTTGAGCCCAGGAGGCAGAGGTTGCAGTGAGCCGAGATCCTGCCACTGCACTTCAGCCTGGCCGACAGAGCAAGACTCTGTCTCAAAAACAAACAAACAAACAAATAAACACCATCGACCAGGCACAGTGGCTCATGCCTGTAATTCCAGGATATTGGAAGACCAAGGCAGGTGGATCCCTTGAGCTCAGGATTTCGAGGCCAGCCTGGCCAATATGGTGAAACTCTTGTCTCTACAAAAAATAGAAAAATTAACCGGGTTGGCTGGGTGCAGTTGTTCATGCCTGTAATCCCAGCACTTTGGGAGGCCAAGGGGGGCAGATCACCTGAAGTCAGGAGTTTGAGACCAGCCTGACCAACATGGAGAAACCCTACCCCTACTAAAATTACAAAATTAGCTGGGCATGGTGGGGCATGCCTGTAATCCCAGCTACTCGGGAGGCTGAGGCAGGAGAATCGCTTGAACCCCAGAGAAGGAGGTTGCAGTGAGCTGAGATCACTCCACTTCCAAAACAAAACGATAGGGCTGTTAATTTAGGTGGTGGTTACACGGGTATTAACATGTGTAAAAAATCACTGAGTTGTACATGTAAGATTCCTGCACTTTTTGTATTTTATTATGTGTATGTTAAATCTTAAAAATAAAAGCGGAGAAAAACCTGATGGCTTCCTACTCCTCTATTAGGTAAAGTAAGAATCTGCTCTGGTTTGGTTTCGGAGGAACTGTTTCCTGGTCCTTGGATCTACCTGGCTGAAAGCACAGTGCCTGGTACAAACTAGGCTCCTCCCCGATTTTGAATTAACGAAGTTCAGTGACATCGTCATCCTATTTTTTTTTTTTTTTTTTTGAGACAGGCTCTCGCTCTGTCACCCAGGCTGGAGTGCAGTGGCACGATCTCGGCTCACTGCAACCTCTGCTTCCCAGGTCCAAGAAATTCTCCTGCCTCAGCCTCCCCAGTAACTGGGATTACAGGCGTGTGCCACCAAGCCTGGCTAATTTTGGTATTTTTAGTAGAGACAGGGTTTCACCATGTTGGCCAGGCTGGTCTCGAACTCCTGACTTCAAGTGATCTGCCCGCCTTGGCCTCCCAATGTGCTGGGATTACAAGCATGAGCCATCGCGTCCGGCCTGTCATCCTATTTTATCTCATCTCCTCCTCCTCCCTTCCCTGACCATCTTCTCTGGAGTAAAAGATCTTTGCTCTCAATTTTGGAACACTTACAATTCCTTCAGCCACTCTTGTTAGGAAGATATAAGGGAAGAGAGCGAGAGACAGGAGGCAACTCAACGGCCAAACAGGTTTATTCACAGGAATAAGCCTGCAAGGAGTTCCAGTCAGGAGTCTGGCTGAGACCCTGATCGCTTACAAGCTGAGGCTTTTATAATATCGTTTCTATTGGGGAGAGGTCGGGAAGTGCTGGCTGATTGGGACTGTTGGGGACTTTGTTAGGCTATGTTACCTTCTGTTGAAGCTATGGGCAGGGTTAACATTTGCTCTGTTTCTGAGAACACAGTCATCATTGTTGTAAAATAGCATCACTACTGTTACTCCTCACAACTCTTAACTGGGATCAGTGAAAACCATTGTTGTTGAGAACTCTTATAGAATTTCTGAGCTCTTATCTAAATCATCTGTTGAGTCTTCACAATGATCTACCAGGCTGGTAGGAAACGGGAGCTCATAGAGATTAACCAAGGTCATACAGTTAGAATGCTGTGGGTCTAGGACTAGAATTTGATATTTACTCCAGGCCCCGTCTCTGTCCCCAACAATCTAACCACAAGTTAAAATTCCAAATTGTGGGCTGGGCGCGGTGGCTCACGCCTGTAATCCCAGCACTTTGGGAGGCCGAGGTGAGCGGATCACGAGGTCAGGAGATCGAGACCATCCTGGCAAACACGGTGAAACCCCGTCTCTACTAAAAATACAAAAAATTACCCGGGCGTGGTGGTGGGCGCCCGTAGTCCCAGCTACTCGGGAGGCTGAGGCAGGAGAATGGTGTGAACCCGGGAGGAGGAGCTTGCAGTGAGCCGAAATCGCGCCACTGCACTCCAGCCTGGGCGACTGAGCGAGACTGTTTCAAAAAAAAAAAAAAAGAAAAAAAGAAAATACTGTGTGTTCCTACAACACCTTTCCCAGACTGTGAGCAACTTGGGAACAATGATTATCACCTTAGTGTTCGGTGTGTTTTGTAGAGGAGGGCACTCACTAAAAACTGGTTTGTTGAATGCAACCACTTAAGAATTGGACATGCCGTGCCCAGCCCCTAAGGGGCGCTATGCTCGTTCGTCCAAGGAGCAGCGTGACCAGCGGGAGGGAGTAAGTCGACGTCCCCGGCATGTGGGGCGGGGAACTCCACTGGCCGGCAAGCGAAGCAGCAGGCGAAGACCACGCCCCCGCCGGCCGCGCTTGCGCAGCCTTCGCTAGCCCCGCCCCGTCCTATTCGGGCTCCCGCCTCTGTTCAGGTAGGAGGCGGTATGCGGGGGAGGGGAGTCACCTGAGGGCGGGGATCTCAGGTCTTGGGGAGCCATTGTTGGCGAACCCCAACTTCCGATACGACCCGGAGCTGTTCCTGCAGTTCCAGAGACAATTCATGGGTCTTGGGGCCACCGAGGCGCTGTCCCTGACCACCAGCACGAGACCCCTTTCTATCGCGCCAGTCCTGTGGTCTCCGCACCTCTCCAGCTCCTGCACCCCCGGCCCCCGTGGTTCCCAGCCGCACAGTAGCGTGTCCTGGGTAGCGTGAGGACCCACGGGGCTGGGCAGGTGCCACGAGCCCGCCGCCTCTTCGCCGCCCGCCGCCTCTCCTCCTCTCCCGCCCGCCGCCTGGCCCTCCCCTACCAGGCTGAGCCTCTGGGTGCCAGAAGCGCGGGGCCTCCGGGAGAATACGTGCGGTCGCCCGCTCCGCGTGCGCCTACGCCTTCTGCTCCAGTTGCTTTCCCAATTGAGCGGAAAAGCCGGGGCATGTTGCCGGGGCCCTGGGCGGGACGGTTGTGCCCTGCAGCCCGAAGCCCGCCGGGGCACCTTCCCGCCCACGAGCTGCCCAGTCCCTCTGCTTGCGGCCCCTGCCAACGTCCCACAGGTTGGAAACCAGACCCTGCAGCCCCCAGCTAGCCCGAAGGAAGCCCAGACTGACGTCGCAGGGTAATGGGGACCCAGAGGTAGCTCTGTGGGGCCCCATCAGGACCTCAGCCCTTAGCGGGGCTTTCTGTGTGACACCGTGGGACCTGAACTGGGGAGGTCCCCCTTGCACAGAATTACAAGGGGCAACTGTAGGAAACAATTAAATCTATTATGTGCTAAGTATTGAGAGTTCCACGGATTGAGGCCCTCTCTAGAAGGCTTAGAAGTGGGGTAGCCGGGGTATGTGTCTGACTTTGTGTTTTGGTGCGGTGGTGGTGAGTGGGTGTAGAAACTAATAGTGCCAAGTGCAGTGCCTGTCAACTAGTAAGTTAATAAACCTTCCGTGAATGAATGAGAAGGTTCTGTGACTGAGGGAGCAGGGCTAGAGAGGGCATCTCTGCTCATCCCACCCCTGCCTCCCCTGGGCTCAGGCAGACAAAAGTAATTAGGTTGAACCTTTAATCAAAGCTGGTTTCACAGGCAAGCAGACATGATAGAGGAGGTAAAGGCAGAAATCCTGGGGACACAGGGTGCTGGCCTGGCTCACAGGCATGCCTCCTTCCGGGACCTCCTCCACCCCCTACAGTTTGGCGCTCAGTAATCTCTTGTTTTCTTGTCTCCCTCAGGACACTGGGTCCCCTTGGAGCCTCCCCAGGCTTAATGATTGTCCAGAAGGCGGCTATAAAGGGAGCCTGGGAGGCTGGGTGGAGGAGGGAGCAGAAAAAACCCAACTCAGCAGATCTGGGAACTGTGAGAGCGGCAAGCAGGAACTGTGGTCAGAGGCTGTGCGTCTTGGCTGGTAGGGCCTGCTCTTTTCTACCATGGCAGCCCAGGGCTATGGCTATTATCGCACTGTGATCTTCTCAGCCATGTTTGGGGGCTACAGCCTGTATTACTTCAATCGCAAGACCTTCTCCTTTGTCATGCCATCATTGGTGGAAGAGATCCCTTTGGACAAGGATGATTTGGGTGAGCCCTGAAACAGCAGGGTGGTGGACCTGGGGACACAGAACCAGCCAGACACACTGGGTGTTTGTGTACAGGCATGTGGTGTGGGTGGATTGTCTGCACAGTAGAGGCCAGGGGCCAGTCTGCATATGCCAGATAAAGAAGCTCTGAGATCCATGGACATGGGTGCCTGCGGGGCTAAGGAGGGCTGCTTATTTGACGTGTGTGTGCATGCCCTGGAGGCACTGTTTATTCCGAGAGTGTTTGAGGGGCTTCTGAGCATGGTTTTCACACCTGTGTGGGTGCATGTGGAGGCTTCAGGGTGAGTGCTGGCTACTGACACTGTGAGCACTGGGAACTAAAAAGTTGGCACAACGACTTCATGTGGCCTGGCATGCTACCCTTCAGGAGGGACAAGGTCCCTGACTCCAATCCTGAGCCCTTTGCCCCATGTTGGGTGGTGGAGCAACAGAACTGCTAGAGGCCCGGGACTGGCATCCAGAGTGAGGTGGGAAATCCCATATGCAAATCCCAGGGAGGGGGAACTGCCACGTCCTGCTCCCTTTTTGTTCCCTGACAACTGTAGCTGAGAATCATGGGTCAGTCTGGGGCTAGTGCCGATGGTGAGGCAGGAGAAGTGGCCGAAGTAGTAGGGCCCCATGAGTGTCAGATTGCAGCACAGGCTCCTCCTGTTCCTCTGGGAAGTAACCTGTCTCACCCCACTGGGCACCCCTGCACACCTGACCCCATGCCTTCTTTCATTGCTCCTGTGTTTCTCCCCTGGTCCCTAACCCCTAAGTGTAATGTTCCCTGCAGGGTTCATCACCAGCAGCCAGTCGGCAGCTTATGCTATCAGCAAGTTTGTCAGTGGGGTGCTGTCTGACCAGATGAGTGCTCGCTGGCTCTTCTCTTCTGGGCTGCTCCTGGTTGGCCTGGTCAACATATTCTTTGCCTGGAGCTCCACAGTACCTGTCTTTGCTGCCCTCTGGTTCCTTAATGGCCTGGCCCAGGGGCTGGGCTGGCCCCCATGTGGGAAGGTCCTGCGGAAGGTGAGTGCTTCCAAAGAGCCTGTTTGGATTGTCATAGAGGATGCCTAAAGAGCATGTGGGAGCGCCCTTTCTTACCCACCACCTCCACACCCAACCCAGAGCAGGTTCCTGAGCAGTTCCTGGCCAGCTCCTATTGCTTGTCAAGATATTTTAGGAGGCTGAGAGTGGTGGGATCAGGTGGCAGAGGAGGAAACTGCCCTGCCAAACAGAAGCGCCCTCTCCCTCTTCCCTGTAATGTGAGCTTCTGGGGCTGCCCCATCTGACCCCACCCTCAACATGGGCAGTAGGCTGGACACCTACGTGTCGCCCTCTGCCCCACAGTGGTTTGAGCCATCTCAGTTTGGCACTTGGTGGGCCATCCTGTCAACCAGCATGAACCTGGCTGGAGGGCTGGGCCCTATCCTGGCAACCATCCTTGCCCAGAGCTACAGCTGGCGCAGCACGCTGGCCCTATCTGGGGCACTGTGGTGTGGTTGTCTCCTTCCTCTGTCTCCTGCTCATCCACAATGAACCTGCTGATGTTGGACTCCGCAACCTGGACCCCATGCCCTCTGAGGGCAAGAAGGGTGAGCCCCCACCCAGACCGACCACTGGGGCACTCATTTAGCAGGCAGATGTTTGTTGAAGACTAGGCGTTTGCCCGGTCCTGTGCTGGTCAGTGGATGTGGGGGAAGAGGTGGTGATGTAGGCTGCATGGGTAGCAAACACAAATCCATCCCAAGAGGCAGTCAAGTACTGGACAAGCGGCAGAGCCAGCAAGTGCTGTGACTCGTTATTTTCTGGCCCTTCCTCACAACAGCACAGACTTCCCTGTCCTGGATAGATAGAATCATGAGCTTTAGTGGCTTGGTCCTGTTTGTCTTTCATTCATTGAGCTTGGTCCTTAAGTGGCTTGGTCCTCCCTGGTCCTGTTTCTCATTCATTGACCTTGCAGCGGAGAGGGGGAGAGGAGAGCAGTGGGGTGAGGGAATACCCTTCATGCTGATCCTGGCTGTGCAGATGGACTCTGCCCCTGTGGCTGGTTAATGAATGTTGGGGGTTCAGGTTGGGGAGAGCAGTCAGGGCAGAGCCTGACGCCCAGCCTTTTCCCACCTCCAGGCTCCTTGAAGGAGGAGAGCACCCTGCAGGAGCTGCTGCTGTCCCCTTACCTGTGGGTGCTCTCCACTGGTTACCTTGTGGTGTTTGGAGTAAAGACCTGCTGTACTGACTGGGGCCAGTTCTTCCTTATCCAGGAGAAAGGACAGTCAGCCCTTGTAGGTAAGATGAGCATGGGGACAAGGGTGGGCATAAGGAGCAGGAACCAATGCAGGGGATGCAAATTCAGGCCTTGCTTCCATTTATCCTCTTTATTCGTTCCTTGAGGCCGGGCGCTACTCAGGCAGCTATGGCCAGTCACCTATGGGAACCCTGTACCTCTCCAGGTTTAAGCCATTGTGGGACAACCCCAATGTGTAACACCCTCCCACCCTTCCCTTCCCTCTTCCCACCACAACTCCCTACTGCAGGTAGCTCCTACATGAGTGCCCTGGAAGTTGGGGGCCTTGTAGGCAGCATCGCAGCTGGCTACCTGTCAGACCGGGCCATGGCAAAGGTGAGCGGGCAGAAGGGACAGGAAGGAGAAGGGTCCCTTTCAGTCTTCACGGCGTGGCTGGGACAGGCACTGGAGAGATGGGAGTCCCAGGGCACAGGCAGGTTGGCATCTGCTGGTTTAGACCGGGTGAAGAGGGAATGATTCCAGGCTGGTCTTAGCTTTCCTACGGTTGTGGAAGTAAGGCTCTTGGGTAGAGTTTTAACTGATGTGAAGGACAGCCAGAATATTTCTTAGCTTAGCTGTAGGTTGCTCCACAGCCCCAGGAAAATGGGCTGGGAACAGACTAGGTGCCCTCCCCAGCACGTGTCCTAGTCCTGCCTGACGGGGGAGGAGGGGATGTTGTAGAGTTTGGCCTCAGAATGTAATGAGCAGGTCCCAGGGCCTCCCAGAGCTGCCCAGGGCCAAGAACTGTGGTGGGATTGCCAAAGACCCGTCAGCAGAGGCCCTGCTGTGTCAGAGTCCAGGGGTGGGTGTTCTCTGCCCTGTTCTGAGGACGTGACATTGCCGGGACTGTATCCATAGGCGGGACTGTCCAACTACGGGAACCCTCGCCATGGCCTGTTGCTGTTCATGATGGCTGGCATGACAGTGTCCATGTACCTCTTCCGGGTAACAGTGACCAGTGACTCCCCCAAGGTAATTAAGAAAGGCCTGGCTCACGGCAGGGCACAAGGAGAGAACGCAAGGGCCACTGACTCTGTCTCCCTCTCCTGGCTTCAGCCTGGGCCAATCTTTTCTTCGCCTCTCAGATACCCTTTTCAGTTCTGATTGGACCGTTCCTCTGTGTCTGGGTTCTCCTCCTCCACTCTGGGCCTGGTTTTCTTTTCTTCCCTGTGCTCCTCTAGGATGTTGCTTTCTGGACTCTGGCTCTTCACCCTCTCGCGGAGCTCACAGGCTTTACAGAGCATGAGGTGCCTTAAAGATATCTCTGGTTTTTCTCCTGGTCTGTCTCACCTTTGTCCTACCCTTCTGCCTTACCCCTAGCCAATCCAGTTTGTGTAAATCCTGAGGACAGCCTCTAGCTCAGAGGGATGACTTCTGTACCTCCTTTCCTTGCCCACCTAGGTCCCTGGGTTTGCTCAATGTGGCATCTCCTACTCTAGCTCTGTATTGTCAGTTGTGTTGGGGAGTGGAAGGAAAAGAATCACTTACTTACTGTCCTTTTATGACTACTGTTTGTTTCTGGGGACCAAGCCTTCTTCTTGCTTTGGCAGGGGTGGGTAGGCAGGTCGGCTTTCCGACTCTGAATGCCACTCCACTCTGCCCTTGGCAGCTCTGGATCCTGGTATTGGGAGCTGTATTTGGTTTCTCCTCGTATGGCCCCATTGCCCTGTTTGGAGTCATAGCCAACGAGAGTGCCCCTCCCAACTTGTGTGGCACCTCCCACGCCATTGTGGGACTCATGGCCAATGGTAAGTGTTAACTTCTAGAGTCTCTCCCTCACCCCCACCTGTGCTTTGCATATAGACCAGTGAGAAGCTGGAGCTAGCACCACTGGCTTAGGTTCTTCCCTTTCCCCCTGACAGTGGGCGGCTTTCTGGCTGGGCTGCCCTTCAGCACCATTGCCAAGCACTACAGTTGGAGCACAGCCTTCTGGGTGGCTGAAGTGATTTGTGCGGCCAGCACGGCTGCCTTCTTCCTCCTACGAAACATCCGCACCAAGATGGGCCGAGTGTCCAAGAAGGCTGAGTGAAGAGAGTCCAGGTTCCGGAGCACCATCCCACGGTGGCCTTCCCCCTGCACGCTCTGCGGGGAGAAAAGGAGGGGCCTGCCTGGCTAGCCCTGAACCTTTCACTTTCCATTTCTGCGCCTTTTCTGTCACCCGGGTGGCGCTGGAAGTTATCAGTGGCTAGTGAGGTCCCAGCTCCCTGATCCTATGCTCTATTTAAAAGATAACCTTTGGCCTTAGACTCCGTTAGCTCCTATTTCCTGCCTTCAGACAAACAGGAAACTTCTGCAGTCAGGAAGGCTCCTGTACCCTTCTTCTTTTCCTAGGCCCTGTCCTGCCCGCATCCTACCCCATCCCCACCTGAAGTGAGGCTATCCCTGCAGCTGCAGGGCACTAATGACCCTTGACTTCTGCTGGGTCCTAAGTCCTCTCAGCAGTGGGTGACTGCTGTTGCCAATACCTCAGACTCCAGGGAAAGAGAGGAGGCCATCATTCTCACTGTACCACTAGGCGCAGTTGGATATAGGTGGGAAGAAAAGGTGACTTGTTATAGAAGATTAAAACTAGATTTGATACTGAACACTGTCAGTGATTCATTTTTTCAAAGTGAGACAGCTTCCTTGGGAAATATTGTCAATACCTGCTCTTTCCACCCCAAAATGGAAAGACTTCATTTCCCTGGAATGGGGAAGCTGAAGTGTAGATGGACTCCTTTAAAACTCATGCCTCCTCTGCCTTCACCTGAACATTGAATAGTTCAATGATTATTTTAGAGATAAAGCTATTGGGTTGTGGACAGATTAAATAACTTGATGGAGGGAAGAAGTGTAACAGTGGTTTACTGAGTGTGTAGCCAGAAAGCCTGGTTCAAACCCAGACTGTCAGTAACTAGCTTGGAAACTTTGAGGCAGAAAGTCTGCTAAATCTCTTATCTGTAACAGAATGTACCCCCTGGAGTTAGGGTGAAGATCAAGTGAGATAAAGCAGGAATGCCTGGCTGTAAGTGCTTGAAATATGTTCCATCATCATCATCATCATAACAGCCACCACCACTGCTGCCACCACCCCAGGACCCCAGGAAATCAGCAGCAATTCTGGGACTAGATCCAATGCTCATGCTTCAAAATCTTATGTTCATTTATTTAATGAACACATATTTGTTATGTTTTTTACTAGCACATAATCATCTTCCCAGAATTCCCTAACCATTTTTGACTCACTTCCTGTATCTTTCCCCCAAAACCATCGATTAAGACAGATTGCAAACACCAAGATCAAAGGAATATTTATTACAACATTTATGGACCTAGCTCCTCCATAAATAAATCTGTACAGAGTTGGAAAGTAAGACCATGGTATATACAGAAGGAAAGAGCACAGTGTTAAGGCTCAGGAATCAGTACAAGTCATCAGGGTCAGCATTCTCCCACTTTCAAGTGCACTAACAAGGCTGCTGGGATTTCCACTGGAGTGTCAACAGCAGTATTCTTGTTGCAGGAACTCTCAGAATTTGGGGGTCCATAACAGGTTCAGCCTATGACCCAGGTCCAAAAGTTCCAGCCTTCTCTGCCACCTCCAGAGCTAGCTTCAGGTTCTGGTCAAAGAGCTCACACCTAAGCCGGGCCCAGGGTGAGGAAAAAAAGTGTGAGGCCTGAGGCTTTCTCCCCACTTAAGCCAGGGGAAACTGCTTGAAGAACAACATATATCATGGAAGGCTGAGGTGGGCGGATCAGCTGAGGTCAGGACTTTGAGACTAGCCTGGCCAATATGGTGAAACCCTGTCTCTACTAAAAATACAAAAATTAGCCAGGCATGGTGGCAGGTGCCTGTAATCCCAGCTACTCCGGAGGCTGAGACAAAAGAATCGCCTGAACCCGGAAGGCAGAGGTTGTGGTGAGCCGTGATGGCACCATTGCATTCCAGCCTGGGTGGTTAAGAGTGAAGCTCAGTCTCAAAAAAAAAAAAAAAAAAAAAAACATCAACAAAAAAAACCCCACAAACAAACAAACAAAAATGACATAAACACCAAGGAAAGTCTGTTTTCTCTAAATAGTCACCCAGGCTGGAATCAGTGGCACGATCTCAGCTCACTGCAACCTTTTCCTCCCAGATTGAAGCGATTCTGCTTGCCTCAGCCTACTTGAGTAGCTGGGATTGCAGGTGCACACGACCACACCTGGCTAATTTTTGTATTTTCAGTATTTTTAGCAGAGATGGGGTTTCACCATGTTGACCAGGCTGGTCTTAAACTCCTGACCTCAAGTGATCCGCCCGCCTCAGCCTCCCAAAGTGCTGGGATTACAGGCGTGAGCCACTGCACCCAGCTACTGTTGTCTTATTTATTTAGAGACACGGTCTTGTTCTGTTGCCCAGGCTGGAATGCAGTGGCACGAGCATGGTTCACTGCTGCCTTGACCTTCCAGGTTTAAGCAATCCTCCCGCCTCAGCTTCCTTAATAGCTGGCACTACAGGTGTCCGCCACCACACCAGGCTAATTTTTTTTTTTTTTGTAAAGATGGGGTTCTATGTTGTCCAGGCTGATCTCAAACTCCTGGGCTGAAGTGATCCTACCCTCTCCGTCTTCCAAAGTGCTGAGATTACACACGTGAGCCACCGGCCTTTCCTTGTGTCTTACTTAAAAGTAATACTCGGCCGGGCGCAGTGGCTCACGCCTGTAATCCCAGCACTGTGGGAGGCCAAGGCAGGTGGATCACCTGAGGCCGGGAGTTTGAGACCAGCCTGACCAACATGGTGAAACCTTGTCTTTACTAGAAACATGAAATTAGCCAGGCGTGGTGGCACATGCATCCAATCCCAGCTACTCAGGAGGCTGAGCCAGGAGAATCGCTTGAACCCGGGAGGCAGAGGTTACAGCGAGCCAAGATCGCATCATTGCACTCCAGCCTGGGCAACAAGAGCGAAACTCCGTCTCAAAAACAAACAAACAAAAAAAGTAATACTCTACTATGCTTCAGCTAACTTTGGACAGAGCACACAGGGAGGGGCAAGGACGCTTTAAACAGTATCTGGGAAGTGGGGCCACTTACCTGATAGGCATTTCTAAGGAATAGAATGGATTCTTGAGGGCAAAGTCTGAGTAAATCTCATAAATCTTTCGGAGAAGAGAATCTATTCCAGCTTGCCTAGGATCTGCTAGAACCACAAACTTGATCCCTGGAGAGAGACCAAGAATGGTTACCAAAGCGTAGACACTGGAGCAAATAGTGTCATCCTGTATTTGTACAGCACTTTCAATTTTGCAAAACACTTTCATAAGCCTATTTTAATTTTATTCTTTTTACCACATAATGCAGGAAAGGCAAGACTTTGAATCTACCGATGAGACCAGAGAAGTGAAGTAACTTTGTTATGTCACCCACCTGATTAAGACCAGGCTTTGAGTTCTAGCTCTGCCACTTACTAACAGTTTTGGAGTCCCTCAGCAGAAACATTGCCAGGCAGGGGACAAAGTCAGGCAGTTTTCAATAAATGAAGAGGGTGAAGCAATGACACTGGCAATCCAAAGGTCATATCCATTTTGCTTTCAAATTTCATTTTGGAAAAACACTTAACACCTTCCAAAGTACACGCAACAGGAAATAGCATTAAGGTGAGTTTTATCTGAACACAAGATAACCTCTGCTGAACATGCTGGGTGGCATGGACAAAATCAGTTTCAGATTAAATATTGGTTTTGTATTCACAAAACAAACAAACAGATGTGTCTATAAAATTGTGCCAGGAAGGCCGGGCGCGGTGGCTCATGCCTGTAATCCCAGCACTGTGGGAGGCAGAGGCAGGTGGATCACCTGAGGTCAGGAGTTCGAGACCAGCCTGGCCAACATGGTGAAACCCCATCTCTCCTAAAAAATACAAAAATTAGCTGGGCGTGTGGCGGATGCCTGTAATCCCAGCTACTCAGGAGGCTGAGGCAGGAGAATTGCTTGAACCCGGGTAGTGGTGGCTGCAGTGAGCCAACATCGCGCCACTGCACTCTAGCCTGGGTGACAGAGCAAGACTCCATCTCAAAACAAGACAAAACAAAAAAACCCCACAAAAAATTAGCTGGGTGTGGTGGCGGGCATCTGTAGTCTCAGCTACTTGGGAGGCTGAGGCAGGAGAATTGCTTGAACCCAGGAGGTGGTGGCTGCAGTGAGCCAAGATCATGCCACTACACTCCAGCCTGAGTGGCAGAGTGAAACTGCATCTCAAAAAAAAAAAAAAAAAAAAGAACTGTGGGTCGGGTGTGGTGGCTCACGCCTGTAATCCCAACACTTTGGGAGGCGGGCAATCACCTGAGGTCGGGAGTTTGAGACCACCATGACCAATATGGAGAAACACCATCTCTAATAAAAACAGAAAAATTAGCCGGGTGTGGTGACACATGCCTGTAATCCCAGCTATTTGGGAGCCTGAGGCAGGAGAATCGCTTGAACCCAGGGGGCGGATCATGCCCCTGCATTCCAGCCTGGGCAACAAGAGTGAAACATTTCAAAAAAAAAAAGAATTGTGCCAGGAAAAGCACACCCCCTCTTCTTGCTTACCAAAGGTGTCTTTGGTCAACCCCCTCCTCCCACCTTCTCCACCACACTCCTCTGGCCCACCTGGAGATGCAAACTTATCAGTATCTCTTCCCCACCTTCTCCATCACACTCCTCTGGCCTCCGTGGAGATGCATACCTGTCAGTGTCTGGTAGCAGTGCAATTTGAATGTGTCTGTCTCCAGCATCTCAATGCCTGAGCTTCCCTGTTCAGGAGACAGCTGGGAGCCGATGGCAAAGAGCCTATATGCAAAGGAGGCAAAGTTGCTCTAAGGAAGGAGTGCTTCTCAAACTTCCACTGAAGTGTCCCTATTTGCTGAGGAGTTCACATTACAGCCTGGGACAGTCAGGAGAAGTAGTGTGAACTGACTGGCAGTAGTGTCAAAATTTCTAAGTTCATTTGAATTCTGTGAATATTTTACATTCATACTTTGTTACAAGACATTTTACATCTAAAACTTTGGGTAAAATGAATACTCTAGGAATATGTGCCACGCTTACTAAGCTTGTGTTTAAGCAAAGGCCGGCACATCTGATATCACAATTGAGAGCAGAAAAAGTTTAAAGGTCATTTAGTTAAACTGGCTTTCTTTAAATATGAAGAAACTAAGGCTCAGAGAAGAGAAGTTGACTTTAAGTAAGATGACACCTCGGCCGGGCGCGGTGGCTCACTCCTGTAATCCCAGCACTTTGGGAAGCCGAGGCAGGTGGATCACCTGAGGTCAGGAGTTTGAGACCAGCCTGGCCAACATGGCAAAACCCCTCTCTACTAAAAATACAAAAATTAGCTGGTCGTGGTGGCACGCGCCTGTAATCCCAGCTACTCGGGAGGCTGAGGCAGGAGAATCGCTTGAACCTGGGAGGCAGAGGCTGCAGTGAGCCGAGATCCCGCCACTGCGCTCCAGCCTGGGTAACTCCGCGGCCCCTCCCCACCCAGCAAAAAAAGATGACACCACTGCCGTTATTACCTAAAATCTAGATCTGGATCGGTTGCGTTTTTCATAACACCAGAACGACGATTTAAGAAAAGGTAGACAAATTACAAGCGCTGCCGTTCAGGAGACGGGGGACTTACGAGTGGAACATGGAGGCCAGCATAAGCTTCTCATTAGAAGTGAGGCGGGGCCGGCCAAATCGAATGGACACCGGGTAATTAGCAGGGTTACCCAGATACTCCAGCACCTCTTTCCCGTCGGCCGTGTACCTGCCATTCACGTCCATGCCATTGATGGCCAGCACTGCATGACCCACTGCAGAGGTGAAGCTAACGGTCAGCGAAGGTGCAGCCCGGGGATTCCGCCGAGGGGACAAGGGACCCGACACAACCCCTTTTCCCCCAACCCCGCACCTACAACCAGCCCACTTCTACAGCACTGGGGCCCTCCCACCCCCGCACCCGCCACGGGCCCGAGCCTAGCCCACCTCGGATGCCGTCCCGCTGGCCGAAAGCAACCAACACACGCTCATCGTGTAGCTTGAGCAGCAGATCCAGCGGATAACTGAAAGTTTTCTCAGCCTCAGCCCGTGGCGCGTAGCTGTCCAACTGGTAAATCAAGCCGCCAGCTTTGTTCACCACATACACACTAAAAATCGCCATCGCTGCCTTGCCGCTCGGAAACTGGTATTCAGCCTCTACCCGACGGCCCCTCCCCGGAACCGCATCACAGCACTTGCCGCCGGCCCCACCCCAGCCTCCTCCTCCTCCTCCTCCTCCTCCCGCGCCCCCCGTGCAGCCACCTGCTGCACTTGCGCACTGGGAGCGACACGCTCGGGCATAAGTAGTGCCGGAAAGTTAGCTGCCGAGACCTGGTGGATTGCTTTTCGTTTATCAGTGCAGGAAAACAGCGCTATAGTATGCGTCACAACTAGCGCAGACTCCGGCAGTATTTAGGCGGTGCGGCTTGGGAACTAGAATCCACTTCCTGTCTTCCGCCTCAGGCTAGAGGGCGAGCGCTTCGCCGTGGGACTTCTTCTGCCTGGCTCCGCCTTTTGCCCCGGAAGTACTCACAGCGGACGGTGGTTTTTGGGCCCGTTTCTGAGCAGCGCTTCCTTTTTGTCCGACATCTTGACGAGGCTGCGGTGTCTGCTGCTATTCTCCGAGCTTCGCAATGGTAAGCTTCAGGGGTGTGAAGTCGCCGGCGTTCTTGGGTTTGAGGACTCAGTGGGGAGAGCCTTCGGCGGGAGCGCTCCTTGGCCTGCCGGCCTCGGTTGCAGGGCGGGCGCGGTTATTGCTTGGCCCATGTGCTCTGGTGGTGGAGTTTGCGGGGGCTGAGGGCGCAGTATTAGGGGACTTTGGCGCTATTTGAGGACCTGGTTGCATTCCCGCTGCCCTCCTACAGCCGCCTAAGGACGACAAGAAGAAGAAGGACGCTGGAAAGTCGGCCAAGAAAGACAAAGACCCAGTGAACAAATCCGGGGGCAAGGCCAAAAAGAAGGTAGAAATAAGACCTCTCTGAAAGAGACTAGGGGTAACTCTCTCGTAATCCTCTAGTAATAGGTAACTTGTATAGTAAGTGGTTTTTCAGGTGTAGATTTCTAGAGTCAAAATGTGAGAGTTTATCTTCCCGTCACCACTCGTTCTTTTTCCCATTAGGATCATGAAAATGGGTCTGTTGTGCGAAGTGTCTGCCGCTGTGCCTGCTGTGTTATTTTTAACTGATCTAGTGGGGCTCGGCCCCTGTTTGAAGGCCAAAAACGTGTCGGTGTTTTTTTTTTGTTTTTGTTTTAGTAATGTGTAATTTATCCTTGATAACGGTGGAACAGATTTCTCTGACGCAGATTACTCGAGAGGGAAAGGGTGCTTCTGCCAGAAATACTAACTTGTTTCTGTTTTGTTTTGGTGAGCAGAAGTGGTCCAAAGGCAAAGTTCGGGACAAGCTCAATAACTTAGTCTTGTTTGACAAAGCTACCTATGATAAACTCTGTAAGGAAGTTCCCAACTATAAACTTATAACCCCAGCTGTGGTCTCTGAGAGACTGAAGATTCGAGGCTCCCTGGCCAGGGCAGCCCTTCAGGAGCTCCTTAGTAAAGGTGAGGGGTGTATCCTACATGTGTGTTTTTGTAGGTTAAATTGTCTTGACCATGTTAAGCATCTTCAGTGGTTTTGCTGGAAAAGCAGAATTAAAAAAAAAAAGCGTGGCTTGACCATTGGCTGTTAGTAATGTAATTCTGACGTCTTACTCCTGATCCTGAGATGAATTCTCAGGGTTCTTAGCCACTTTTGTGCCGTGGACCCTGTGGCAGTTTAGTGAAGCCCAAGGATCTTTTATGTTTCGAGTAAATGGATGCATAGAATTACAGGGACAACCGTTTTTGAAATAATTAGATTACTATTTTGAAACAACTTTGAAAATGTTTAAAACCTTTATGGTAAATATTTTGTTGATGTATTAAATTTTAAAACCAGAAATTTAGTACGGTCTACTCAGTAGTATGGTCTGATTACCATAATTCCACAATAATAAGGCTCAGCTAACTATAGTGACTGAACGTCTATAATTCTAGCACTTTGGGAGGCCAAGGCGGGTGAATCAACGGAGGTCAGGAGTTAAAGACCAGCCTGGCCAATATGGTGAAAACCTGCTCTACTGAAAGTTAGCTGGACGTGGGGGCACACGTCTGTAATCCCAGCTACTCAGGATGCTGAGGCATGAGGATCCCTTGAACCCAGGAGATGGAGGTGGCAGTGAGCCGAGATGACACCACTGCACTCCAGCCTTAGTGACAGCAAAAGACTGTCTCAGAAAGGGGGGGGGGGTGGAAGATAATGGAGCCCTAATTTAAAGGAAAAGTAAGGATAGATGATCGTTAAAAACTAGGATTCTCGGTTACCGAACGTCAGATTAAGCAATTCTGGAGCCAGGTGCAGTGGTACCCTTGTATTTCTAGCTACTTGGGAGGCCAAAGCAGGAGGATCATTTGAGCCAAGGAGTTTTAAGACCATTCTGGGCACCTCTGAGAGAACTCTGTCTTTTTGTTTTCCTTTTCTTTAAATAGAGATGCGGTTTTGCCATGTTGCCCAGGCTGGTCTCCTGGGCTCAAGAGATCCACCTGTCCAAAGTGCTGGGATTACAGGCATGAGCCTCTGCACCCGGCCAAAACAAACCTTACTAGAGTCTCATTCTGTTGCCCAGGTTGGAGTGCGGAGGGGCAGTCTTGGCTCAATGCAACCACCAATTCCTGGGTTCAGGTGGTCCTCACCTCAGCTTCCCAAGTAGCTGGAATTACAAGCATGTGCCACCATGCCCAGCTAATTTTTGTATTTTTGGTAGAGATGGGGTTTCACCTTGTTGGCCAGGCTGGTGTGCAACTCCTTACCTCAAGCTATCTGCCCGTCTCCACCTCCCAAAGCAGTGGGATTATAAGCATGAGCCACCGCGCCCAGCCAAAAACCTTACTAGTTTCTATTGTAGCATCTGTTAAGCATCTCATCGTGCTATTCTCTCCCCCTAGGACTTATCAAACTGGTTTCAAAGCACAGAGCTCAAGTAATTTACACCAGAAATACCAAGGGTGGAGATGCTCCAGCTGCTGGTGAAGATGCATGAATAGGTGAGTAGGAATGTGTGGGCTCATGGTGTAGGAGGTAGATACAAAGCTTTATGGTTCTGATTCTTTTAATTTTTTTTTACAGGTCCAACCAGCTGTACATTTGGAAAAATAAAACTTTATTAAATCAAATGAATGAGTATGTCTGTTTCCTAAGAAAGACAATGATAAAGAATTTGGTGGAAGGTATAATAGGGGTTTGTTGACTTTGCTTTTAGCCTCATGGTAGTTGGTAGAGAGCATGATTAGCTTTTTTCTGTATGTGACTGCTTCTTCATTGCTGCAGCTTCAGTTTTGAATTGATGTCTGAAAGGAAATAAAGGGTTAACACGATGATGAAGGGTGACATCTCCAAAAAGGAGGTTGGATGGGTAGGTTGGAGA
This sequence comes from Homo sapiens, assembly GCF_000001405.40. Lineage (NCBI taxonomy): Eukaryota > Metazoa > Chordata > Mammalia > Primates > Hominidae > Homo > Homo sapiens. The sequence continues at coordinate 119,015,460 of NC_000011.10, read as the reverse complement.
CCCGGCACTGAACACACATACCTGGACTGCCAGCGGCGTCCATTATTCCAGACGCGGCCAAAAGAGGGCAGCCAGCCTGCACTGGTCCTGGAGCTGTGATCAAAGTTGGCCCCAACTCGGTCTGGGGGGAGTTTTTTCAACTTCTGTTTTTCCTCTGTACAATGATAGGGAAACTTTTATTTTTCTTTATTGAAGAATATAGAGATGGGGTCTCACTATGTTGTCCAGGCTGTTTTCAAACTTCTGGGCTCAAGTGACCCTCCCACCTCAGCCTCCCAAAATGCTAGGATTATAGCCATGAGCCACCACACACAGGCAAGGAAACCATTTTTGAGTGTGAAGATTTAGACGATCCTCTCTTGAATTAGTTTACTTACTTTCTTTAAGAAATTCTTCATAGGATGGTCCTATTTCTTGGTTCCCAGCAATGTATTCTTCATCTTGGATCATCCAGGGAGGTGTGGCACCTGAAAAAAAAATTAAGGCTTTTTTTTTTTTTTTTAAGTCTTCAGGCTATTGTGAAACATGTCCTAGCTGTTAGCTTACCTCTCCTCATTAAGAGCTAGAAATGTCTAAAAGCAAAGCCCAGGAATTCTGGAGCTTTAGAAGGCCCTAGGCTAATTTAAAGCGACATACCCCATATGTGACAGTCATTTTAAAATGGCTTTGAGGCACAACTGACATAAACGATACACACTTAAATTTGGTGACTTTTGAGCGAAGCCATTACAATCTAGACCCCAAACATCCCCCTGTAAGTATCACTGCCCCCATTAAAATATTTTCATGTCCAGGCAATCGGTGATCTTTCAGTTGCTTTATTGGTTTGTATTTTTTAGGATTTTCTGTGTGTGGACATTGAGGTGGGGTCTGGCCTTTTGTTTTTTTGAGAGGAGTCTCGCTCTAGCCCAGGCTGGACACAATCTCAGCTCACTGCAACCTCCGCCTCCCAGGTCTCGGTTCAAACAATTCTGCCTCAGCCTCCCAAGTAGCTGGGATTACAGGCGTGCGCTGCGATGCCCAGCTAATTTTTGAATTTTTAGTAGAGATGGGGTTTCACCATGTTGGCCAAACTGGTCTTGAACTCCTGACCTCGTGATCCGCCTGCCTTGGCCTCCCAAAGTGTCGGGATTACAGGCATGAGCCACCACGCCGGCCAGGTCTGGACTTCTGAGATTCATCTGTGTCGTACGTATCAATAATTCTGTCTTCATCCTGGAATACTATTCCATTGTTAATCCATTTGCCTGTTGATAGACATCTGAATTGTTTCCAATTTGGAGCTGCTACAAGTGAAGCTGTTCTGAAGATTTGTGTACAAGTCTATGTAGACAGGCTTTCTTTTCTCTAGTTAGGGGTGGAACGGTTGGATAATGTGGTAGGTGTATCCCAAACTGTTTTCCAAAGTGACTGTACCAGTTTACATTCTAAGAGCAGTGTATGAAGGTTTGGTTTTTCTACACTGCCAAACACTTGGCATGATCAGTCTTTAATTTCTGCCATTCCAATACATATGTAGTGGTATTTCACTGTGGTTTTAATTTGCATTTCTCTAATGACTAATGTTGAACATTATTCATATGCTTTTATTGGGTTGTTTCCTTATCAAGTTGACAGTTCTTCATATATTCTGGATATAAGGCTTTTACCGATACATACGCTTTATCTTGGCCAACTTTATTTAAAAAAAAAAAAAAAGTCCGGGCACGGTGGCTCATGCCTGTAATCCCAGCACTTTGGGAGGCCGAGGCGGGTGGATCACGAGGTCAGGAGATCGAGACCATCCCGGCTAAAACGGTGAAACCCCGTCTCTACTGAAAATACAAAAAATTAGCTGGGCGTAGTGGCGGGCGCCTGTAGTCCCAGCTACTTGGGAGGCTGAGGCAGGAGAATGGCGTGAACCCGGGAGGCGGAGCTTGCAGTGAGCCGAGATCCCGCCACTGCACTCCAGCCTGGGCGACAGAGCGAGACTCCGTCTCAAAAAAAAAAAAAAAAAAATTAGCTGGGTGTGGTGGTGCACACCTGTAACCCCAGCTACTTGGGAGGCTGAGGCAGAAGAATCACTTGAACCTGAGAGGCAGAGGTTGCAGCGAGCTGAGATTGCGCCACTGCACTCCAGCCTGGCGACAGAACAAGACTCCATCTCAAAAAAAAAAAAAAATCTCCCAGGGTTTTAAAAACACTGCCCTGGACCTTACCTGAGTGGATGTTACCAACTCCTGGTATATCCTGTAGTTGGAAATGGGAAAAAAAGTGCTAGTTAAAGTCTAGGCATGATTAAAAAAAAAAATCCTAGAAACGATAGACAAAGCACACTTTAAAAGAGGTGGGTGTGACTGCTGCCACAATGCTAATTCTGCACCCCAGCTGATGTTAAACTTTGAAAGCACAGTAAGTCACTCTAAGACAACCCTGTCCTCAGGAAGCTCACAGTCATAACAGTGGAGATGTCTGTAAGTAGAGTGGCTATTACATGCCAGGGGAGCAAAACCTTGCCCTCACAGCATACATATAATTGGGGAAGAGCATTAAGCACAAGTTACGTAAATTACATTTGCAACTTTACATGGTGCTACATCCACTTGAAATAGAGATAACCTGTTCAGATAAGCCTTTTATGAAAAAGTGACATTTGAGCTAACAGTTGAAGGTAAACTAGGTGATGAGGGAAGGAAAGCAGGTTTTAGACAATGGCAACTGCAAAAGCCCGAAGCAACACAATACAGCTGAAGTGTAGAGTAAAATCATAAGTGGTACAATGATTTTCTGTTTGTGAGGCAGGATTGAAGGGGGAGTAGAAATTGCCCAAAGGCTGAATGGAGGCAGACAGGTTAAAATTGACCGCTTGTTGACAGGATATGGGAGATGGAAAAGGAAAGGATCTGCATCTAGTGATTGGAAATATAGGAGTGGTGGGGGTTAGTTTCAGATGCCTGTGGGATATTTAATGTCCTGTGTTGAGTTGGAACTATGAGTTCTACAGAGGGCAAGATTTAGGAGTTGGCACTCCTAAGTGTCAATACATGTGAATAGGATCGCTTTGGAGGGTGAGAAGAGGTCTGAGAACACTACTAGGGAACAGTGAAGGAAGAAGGAAAAGCCTGCAGTGGAGGCAGCAGTGGCTTGAATAGGTAGAAAATCAGGAGAAAGGGGTCCTGAGACCTGAGGGACCATTGGCCCTCTTCTGGCTTGCTTATCCTTTGTACCTGATGGCCAATGAATGTCAGAGATGGTCCTGTCTCCATCCAGTCAAGCTCTGGAGCTGGTGGCAGGTCCAAATTTGAGGGCTGCTGTAAGCTGGAAGCTACTTGGCTGAAAAACATGAGCCAGGCTGCCAGATGAGGTCCTTGAGCCATGAGGGTGGTAAAGATTAGATCTGTTTCCATTTCCCAGGCAAAAGGTTGCAGAATGTTCTAAGATGTCAAATTCCCAACAAGAGATTCCCTAATAGTCTTACCTGTTCATCCCTTTCCAGCTTCTAGGTGCTGAAGAGCCCTCTTCTGGGTCTGGCACTGCCTGAGGCTGAGTTTGATTCAGGAAAAATAAATGTGTCTGGGATGCTTAAGAGCCTGCCTAGGCCATGCCTCCACCCTCCAGACCCCAGTATCACAGGAAGGAAACAAATTAGCATATGGAAGGTACTGCCCATCTTTTACAGACTCTTCCCTCCCTCCCTCCCAGTCCTGTCCACATATTCACTGACTAGGCCTGCCCCCTGGCACACAGGTAAGGGAATTCAAGCCAAGCAGATGAGAATGCAGTCAGAGTTCTCTTAGAAGCACTGGTTCATGGCCGGGCACAGTGGCTCATGCTTGTAATTCCAGCAGGCTGAGGCGGGTGGATCACCTGAGGTCAGGAGTTCAAGACCAGCCTGGCCAACATGGTGAAACACCACCTCTATTAAAAATATAAAAATTAGCCAGGCGTGGTGGCGGCACCTGTAATCCCAGCTACTCGGGAGCCTGAGGCAGGAGAATCGCTTGAACCTGAACCTGGGAGGTGGAGGTTGCAGTGAGCCGAGATCGTGCCACTGCACTCCAGCCTGGGTGACACAGCGAAACTCTGTCTCCAAAAAAAAAAGAAGAAGAAGAAGCACTAGTCCATGAAATGCTGGACCTGGGAATGCCAGGGATCAGTGGATTTGGATACTGGTCTGGATCCTCCGAGGGAAACCAACCTCTAAGACAGACCGAACCACCTCCTGTCGGCTCTGCTCCACCTCACGGATCTGAGCTGCCATCTGTGGGAGAGAGGCTGCTTAGACAGGTACAGGATCATGGGGGCCAGTTTCTTCAGAGGCCTTTCCTTTAACTTGGGCCCTCCACCCCCAGGCGTGGACCAGTACTGGTCTGTGGCCTGTCAGGAAGCAGGCTGCAACAGCACTGCCGCCTGAGCTCCTGTCAGATCAGTGGTGGTGTTACATTCTCATAGGAGCACAAACACTATTGTGAACTGGGCATGCAAGGTATCTAGGTTGCGTGCTCCTTATGAGAATCTAGTGCCTGATGATCTGAGGTGGAGCAGTCTCATTCTGAAACCATCCCCTGCCTGGGTCCATCTGTGGAAAAACCGTCTTCCACGAAACCAGCCCCTGGTGCAAAAAGGGTGAGGGACTGCTACTTTAACTTACCTCCTTGATCACTTTATCCTCCTTTTCTTCATAGGAATCCAAACCTTTCACCATGGATTTCTTGAATCTAAAAAGAAAAGGGGCAAAACCACCCAGAACCCATTCCCCACCAGTTAAAACGAAAAGCTCCTCAGTAGATATTTTTTTAATTTTGAGAAATTCCAAATTCAGAAACAAAACAGTATAGTAAGCACCTATGTACCTCTCACCCAGAGTCCTTGTAAACATTTTGCCATACTGGCTCCACTTCTTTTGTACAGACACACGTCCTTTTTGCCAAAACAAAATAGGTTTAGACGTCAAACCCTATTTTCAACACACATCTCCCAAGAGGAGGAACATTCTATACAACCATGATACCATTACCACATTAAGAAAATTCTTCCTTTTAGTGTTCAAATATTTGGCTGGTTAGTATAGACATGGTTTACATGTCTTCAGACTTGAGTGTAGGCATACAGGCTATATTCACATTTCCCTCGTCTCAAAAACGTGCATTATGCCTTCTCTACTCTCACCTCCAATCCCAAAGTCCAACAAAAGATCACATGGAATCCAGCTATTAGGTCTCTAGTCTTCCCCTAGTCTGGAACAGTCTTACTGTTTCCATTACTTCACATCCTCAGAAGAATCCAGGCCAAATCTTGCATACTGTCCTAAATTTCTTTGTCTTTTTTTTGAGACGGGCTCGCTCTGTTGCCTAGGCTGGAGTGCAGTGGCACAACCTCAGCTCGCTGCAACCTCTGCTCAAGAGGCTCCCAGGCTCAAGAGATCCTCCTGCCTTAGCTTCCTGAGTAGGTAGGACTACAGGACAGCACCACTATGCCTGGCTAATTTTTGTGTTTTTTGTAGAAACAGGGTTTTGCCATGTCACCCATGCTGGTCTCGAACTCCTGGGCTCAAGCAATTCTCCTGCCTTGGCCTCCCAAAGAACTGGGATTACAGGCATCAGCCACTATGCCTGGCCTTAAATCAGTAATTTGTACTGTCACCTCCCTATTCAAATGCCTCCATTCCTTACTTGTATCTTCCTTTTGCCATAGTGAAAACCCTGGTTCTCAAAACCCTGGTTCTCAACACAAAGTTTCAGTATAATACCAATACCACTATCAACAGTGTTCCCTGAGAGCCTTGAATATATCCAAGGAGACAATGGCTTGAGCCACACCTTACCGAATTGTGGCTGAAAGGCTTGTTTAATCCTCCTGGAACACGAGGGTGGAAGGTCTGCCAGAAGCTGCTATGAGGCCATCTCCCACTTCCCTCCCCATCTCCCCTAGGAGGTTGTCATCAAATGGTTTCTCATCAACTCCCAGGTTCTGATGAGGTATGGGGCTTTCTGTTCCACCCCTCTCAGATTAAAATTGCAGAATATTAAGCCACTTAGTTTTAAAAAATCATTTAAGCCAGGCGCGGTGTGGCCCACGCCTGTAATCCCAGCACTTTGGGAGGCCGAGACGGGTGGATCAAGAGGCCAGGAGTTCAAGACCAGCCTGGCCAACATAGTGAAACCCTGTCTCTACAAAAACACAAAAAATTAGCCAGATGTGGTGGCAGGTGCCTGTAATCCCAGCTACTTGGGAGGCTGAGACGAGAATTGCTTGAACCTCGGAGGTGGAGGTTGCAGTGAGCCGAGATCGGGCCACTGCACTCCAGGCCAGTGACAGAGCAAGACTCTGTCTCAAAAATAATAATAAGTTGTAGGGAAAAGAAAGAAAGATCAGACTGTCACTGTGTCTATGTAGGAAGGAAAGACATAAGAGACTCCATTTTGAAAAAGACCTGTACTTTAAACAGTTGCTTTGCTGAGATGTTGTTGATTTGTAGCTTTGTCCCAGCCACTTTGACCCAGCCACTTTGACCCAACTTGGAGCTCACAAAAACATGTGTTGTATAAAATCAAGGTTTAAGGGACCTAGGGCTGTGTAGGACGTGCCTTGTTAACAAAATACTTACAAGCAGTACATCTGGTAAAGGTCATTGCCATTCTCTAGTCTCAATAAACCAGGGGCACAATGCACTGTGGAAAGCCGCAGGGACCTCTGCCCTTGAAAGCGGGGTATTGTCCAAGGTTTCTCTCCATGTGATAGTCTGAAATATGGCCTCGTGGGATGAGAAAGACCTGACTGTCTCCCAGCCCGACACCTGTAAAGGGTCTGTGCTGAGGTGGATTAGTAAAAGAGGAAAGCCTCTTGCAGGTGAGATGGAGGAAGGCCACTATCTCCTGCTTGCCCCTGGGAACTGAATGTCTCGGCTTAAAACCCGATTGTACATTTGTTCAACTCTGAGATGGGAGAAAAGCTGCCCTGTGGCGGGAGGCGAGACATGTTTACAGTGATACTGCCTTGTAGTCTTTACTCCACTGAGATGTTTGGGTGGAGAGAAACATAAGTCTGGCCTACGTGCACGTCCAGGCATAGTACTTTCCCTTGAACTTAATCGTGATATACATTCTTTTGCTCACATGTAATTTGTTGACCTTCTCCTTATTATCACCCTGCTGTCCTACTACATTCCTTTTTGCTGAAATAATGAAAAATAATAATCAATAAAAACTGAGGGAACTCAGAGGCCGGTGCCGGTGCAGGTCCTTGGTGTGCTGAGCACCAGTCCCCTGGACCCACCGTTGTTTCTTTATACTTTGTCTCTGTGTCTTATTTCTTTTCTCCGTCTCTCATCCCACCCGACTAGAAATACCCACAGGTGTGGAGGGGCAGGCCACCCCTTCAATAAGTAAAATTTAAAAACAACAAAAAAGCCACTTAGCTACTACAGTCTAGATTTGATTCCCCAGCAACAGAATATCCCACAACTCACACTGGGGTCATCCAGTCCTTTTTGTTTCAGTGTTGTCCTTTTTGGTGTATGAAACAAGGACCTGAGAAGCTGGCTCTTTGGTCTTCCTTTTCTTTTCACTGTCTATGTAAGAAACCATCTAAATCTAAAAGTGCCTCCTCCTATCTTTACCAGTCAAATCAACCAAACCTTGGAATTGCCTTGTGTGTGTATGTTTGACAATTTACAAGGTTCAAAAGTAAAAATTAGGCTGGGCACAGTGGCTCATGCCTGTAATCTCAACACTTTGGGATGCCAAAGTGGAAGGACTGCTTGAGCCCAGGAGTTTGAGACCAGCTCAGGCAACATAGTGACCCTGTCTCTACAAAAAATACAGAAATAGCCAGGTGTGATGGTGCACACTTATAGCCCTAGATACTTGGAAGGCTGGGGTGGGAGGATTGCTTGAGCCTGGGAGGTTGAGGCTGTAGTGAGCTGTCATTGTATCATGGCACTCCAGCTTGGACAACAGAGCAAGACTCCATCTCAAAATAAATAAATAAATAAATAAAAAGGCCAGATTAGGTGGTTCACATCTGTAATCCCAGCACTTTGGGAGGCCGAGGTGGGCGGATCATGAGGTCAGGAGTTTGAGACCAGCCTGACCAACATGCTGAAACCCCATCTCTATTGAAAGTACAAAAATGAGCCGGGCGTGGTGGCACGTGCCTGTAATCCCACCTACTTAGCAGGCTGAGGCAGGAGAATCACTTGAACCTGGGAGGCGGAGGTTGCAGTGAGCCAAGATCATGTCATTGCACTCCAGCCTGGGTGACAGAGCGAGACTCTCTCCAAAAAAAAGAAACGAAAAGAAAACTATATTTAGGTTGCCGGTATCTCCTGGCCACTGGCTGCCACTACAGTTCATTTATCTGGAACCTGGGCTCCTGAAGATGCAGCACTGGAGCAGAGAGATGATGTTGACAGGGTGTCTTAGTCCATTTTCACACTGTTGATAAAGACATACCCAAGACTGGGTAATTTACAAAGAAAAAGAGGTTTAATAGACTCACACAGTTCCATGTGGCCGGGGAGGCCTTATAATCACAGCAGAAGGTGAAAGGCATGTCTCATGGTGGCAGGCCAGAGAGAATGAAAACCAAGTGAAAGGGGAAACCCCTTATAAAATCATCAGATCATGTGAGACTTATTACCATGAGAACAGCATGGGGGAAAACGCCCCCATGATTCAGTTATCTCCCACTGGGTCCCTCCCACAACGTGGGAATTATGGGAGCTACAGTCAAAAAAATTTGGGTGGGGACACAGCTAAACCATATCACAGAGGTTGATGAATGACCCAGTCACATTAGAAATAGGTGGACTAAGCCAGGCGCAGTGGCTCACGCCTGTAATCCCAGTACTTTGGGAGGCCGAGGCGGGTGGATCACGAGGTCAAGAGATCGAGACCATCCTGGCCAACACGGTGAAACCCCATCTCTACTAAAAATACAAAAATTAGGCCGGGCATGGTGGCTTACGCCTGTAATCCCAGACTTTGGGAGGCCGAGGCAGGCGGATCACGAGGTCAGGAGATCAAGACCATCCTGGCTAACAAGGTGAAACCCCGTCTCTACTAAAAATACAAAAAATTAGCCAGGCATGGTGGCGGGCGCCTGTAGTCCCAGCTACTCAGGGAGGCTGAGGCAGGAGAATGGCGTGAACCCAGGAGGCGGAGCTTGCAGTGAGCCGAGATCGTACCACTGCACTCCAGCTTGGGTGACAGAACAAGACTCCATCTCAAAAAAAAAAAAAAAGGTTGGGTGTGGTGGCCTGTGCCTGTAGTCCCAGCTACTCAAGAGAATCGCTTGAACCTGGGAGGCAGAGGTTGCAGTCAACTGAGATCACGCCACTGTACTCCAGCCTGGCGACAGAGCAAGATTCCATCTCAAAAAAAAAAAAAAAAAAAAAAAAAAAAAATCCTGCCTACTCTGAAGGCCAAGGCAGGAGGATTGCTTGAGCCCTCAGGAGTTTGAGGCTGCAGTGAGCCATGATTGTACCGCTGCACTCCAGTCTGGGTGACAGAGCAAGACCCCATCTCAAAAAAAAAAAAAAAAAAGCATCTCAAATTATTTAACCAAATGGACTAAGCACATAATAATAATGGACTGTACAGACTGCCAGGTTTCTTTCCTATACTTTGTGCGATTATCACCAGGAAGTTTCTCTCTGGGTCTCATAATCCACAACACCTGAGTGTATCACATGAGTGTGCAGGACAATGAAGACACAGTGGAACACAACTAGACTTTCTGTAGACTAACCTGGAAGGCAGGTCTCTAATTTCCAAACCAGAAGTTCCTGGAAACTGAGTTCAAGGAAATAGAAGAAACTGATTAAAAAAAAAAAATTACAGTGTGGTTGAAGTCCAGAAATTTCTAGGCAGCTGGCTGGGCACAGTGGCTTGTCTGTAGTCCCAGCACTTTGGGAGGCTGAGGTGGGAGGATTGCCTGAGACCAGGAGTTTGAGACCAGAGGAAAAGAAAATGACAATGTGGAATTGTAAAAAAAAAAAATTTTTTTTTTTTTTGAGACGGGGTCTCACTCTATGTCGCCAGGCTGGAGTGCAGTGGCATGATCTCGGCTCACTGCAAGCTCCACCTCCTGGGTTCACGCCATTCTCCTGCCTCAGCCTCCCAAGTAGCTGGGACTACACACACCCACCACCTCGTCTGGGTAATTTTTTGTATATTTAGTAGAGACGGGGTTTCACCGTGTTAGCCAGGATGGTCTCGATCTCCTGACCTCGTGATCTGCTGGCCTTGGCCTCCCAAAGTGCTGGGATTACAGGCATGAGCCATCGTGCCCGGCCAAAAATTTTTATTTATTTGAGGACCAGAGAGAAGTTTTGTGCTTTAGCAGACTCCTCCGTGTTTTCTTCTTTTCACCCTGTTCAAAGTTTCCAGGTATTGGCTTTTTTTTTCTTGCTGTTTTTGAGACAGGGTATTTTGCTCTGTTGCCCAGGCTAGAGTGCAGTGGTGTGATCACAGCTCACTCCTGCCTCAACCTTGTGAGCTTAAGCAATCCTCCTGCCTCAGCCTCCCCAGTAGCTAGCACTACAGGCAAATGTCACCATGCTTGGCTAATATAATTTTTTTTTTTTAGAGATGGGGTTTCACTATGTTGTTCAGGCTGGTCTTAAACTCCTGGGCTCAAATGATCCTCTGTCTCAGCCTCCAAAAGTGCTGGAATTACAGTCATGAGCCACTGCAACTGAATTGCCTTTTTTTTTTTAAAGAGACATTCTTGCTATGCTGCCCAGCTGGAGTGTAGTGGTGGGATCACAGCTCACTGCAGGTTCAACCTCCTGGGCTCAAGTGATCCCTCAGGCTCAGGTGATCCCCCTGCCTTAGCCTCCAGAGTAAGTAGGACTATAGGCTAGCCTCCAGAGTAGGTAGGACTATATGCCCAGCTAATCCAGATACCCTTTTTATTAAAAATCTGAAAATCAGGCTGGGACCAGTGGCTCACACCTGTAATTGCAGCACTTTGGGAGGACAAGGTGGGTGGATCATGAGGTCAGGAGTTCGAGACCAGCATGGCCAATATGGTGAAACCCCATCTCTACTAAAAATACAAAAATTAGCTGGGCATGGTGGCGCATGCCTATAGTCCCAGCTACTCGGGAGGCTGAGGCAGAAGAATCACTTGAACCCAGGAGGCGGAGGTTGCAGTAAGCTGAGATCGTGCCACTGCACTCCAGCCTGGGCAACAGAGCAAGACTCTGTCTCAAAAAAAAAAAATCTGAAAATCATTATGGTATGTCATCTACCCTTATTATAATGCTAAAATGATTTCTGATAAAATAGTTCCTAACTCAACTAGAAAACTATAAAGAATGAAAGAATGAGCAGAGTACTCATGATGCCTTTGAGTAAAATCGAAACATCATAGAGCGTGATCTAATTTCCAAATCAATAGGCAGTATTGTAACATTAAAGGAAAGCTATTCCAATCACTTAGAAATACTTGCTAAGTACTGCTTTTTACAGTTATGACAACTGTTTCTATGCATATGAACCAAGCAACCAAATATCTATAACCATGGAAATATCTGATTAGAAATATTTCTAATTTGGGCCGGGCTCGGTGGCTCACGCCTATAATCCCAGCACTTTGGGAGGCCAAGGCAGGCGGATCACCTGAGGTCGGGAGTTCGAGACCAGCCTGACCAATATGGTAAAACCCCATCTCTACTACAATTACAAAAATTAGCCAGGTGTGGTGGCATGCACCTGTAGTTCCAGCTACTCGGAAGGCTGAGGCAGGAGAATCGCTTGAACTCAGGAGGTGGAGGTTGCAGTGAGCCAAGATCATGCCACTCCAGCCTGGGCAACAGAACAAGACTCTGTCTCCCAAAAAAAAAAAAAAAAAAGAGAGAGAAATATTTCTAATTATTGGCCGGGTGCAGTGGCTCACGCCTGTAATCCCAGCACTTTGGGAAGCCAAGGTGGGTAGATCATTTGAGGTCAGGAGTTCGAGACCAGTTTGGCCAACATGGTGACACCCTATCTCTACGAAAAATACAAAAATCAGCCCCTTTTCACAAGATGGCACCAAAAGCTAAGAAGGAAGCTCCTGCCCCTCCTAAAGCCAAAGCAAGGCTCTGAAGGCCAAGAAGGCAGTGTTGAAAGGTGTCCACAGCCACAAAAAAAAGAAGATCCGCGTATCACTAGCCTTCTGGCGGCCCAAGACATTGCGACTCCGGAGGCAGTGCAAATATCTTAAGAGCACCCCCAGGAGAAACAAGCTTGACCACTATGCATCATCAAGTTTCCTCTGACCACTGAGTCTCCATGAAGAAGACAGAAGACACACGCACTTGTGTTCACTGTGAATGTTAAGCCACAGCACCAGAGAAGCTCTATGACACTGATGTGGCCAAGGTCAACACCCTGATTCGGCCTGATGGAGAGAAGGAACATGTTCGACTGGCTCCTGATTACAATGCTTTGGATGTTGCCAACAAAATAGGGATCATCTCAACTGAGTCCAGTTGGCTAATTCTAAATATATGTATATCTTTTCACCATTAAAAAAAAAATTATCAAGGCATGGTGGCGCATGCCTGTAATACCAGCTACTCAGGAGGCTGAGGCAGGAGAATTGCTTGAACCTGTGAGGCGGAGGTTGCAGTGAGCCGAGATCACGCAGCTGCCCTCCAGCCTGGACAACAGAGCGAGACTCCATCTTGAAAAAAAACCTGAAATATTTCTATTGGATTCTGAATACAAAATTTCGCATGGGAGAAATCTTACTTCTTATGCCTGTTACAGTATAATTCCCAAATGTACCATCAGAAAAAAAAAAAAAAACCAACAGCTTATTTTTAAAAGTATACATAGAAATCTTGTTTCTAGGCCGGGTGTGGTGGCTCATGCCTGTAATCCTAGCACTTTGGGAAGCCGAGTCAGGTGGATCACTTGAGGTCAGGAGTTCAAGACCAGCCTGGCCAACATGGTGAAACCCCATCTTTACTAAAATACAAAAATTAGTCAGGCGTAGTGGCACAAGCCTGTAATTCCACCTACTCTGGAAGCTGAGATGGGAGAACTGCTTGAACCTGGGAGGTGGAGGTTGCAGTGAGCTGAGATTGTGCCACTGCACTCCAGCCTGGGCAACAGAGTGAGACTGTCCAAAAAAAAAAAAAAAAATCTTTTTTCTATTCCTATCAACTCTAAACATTTTTACTGACCCACAAACTGGGTCACACCAACTGGTTACACTAACTGATATGTGATCAGTTTCTTTTTTTTTTTTTTTTTTTTTTTTGAGACAGAGTTTTGCTCTTGTTGCCCAGGCTGCAGTGCAATGGCATGATCTTGGCTCAGTACAATCTCTGCCTCCTGGGCTCAAGCGATTTTCCTGCCTCACCCTCCCGAGTAGCTGGGATTACAGGCACAAACCAACACGCCCAGCTATTTTTTGTATTTTTAGTAGGGATGGGGTTTCACCATGTTGACCAAGCTGGTCTCGAACTCCTGACCTCAAATGATCCTCCCACCTCGGCCTCCCAAAGTGCTGGGATTACAGGTGTCAGCCACTGAGCATGGCCATGTGATCAATTTCATTAACTTCTCTAAAAAAAAATTCGTATTTCTTTTTAGAGATGGGGTCTTGATACACTGCCCAGGATGGCCTCAAACTCCTGGGCTCAAGCTATCCTCTTACCTCAGCCTCCTGAGTAGCTAGGACTACAGGTGTGCACCACCACATCTGGCAGTTTCATTAGTTTCTTGATTATCCTTTAGGCATTCCTTTTTGAGAAAATAAGCAAATACAGTTGACTCTTGCACAGCACAAGTTTGAACTGCACGAGTTCACTTGAAAATTTTTTTGGAGATTTGCAACAATTTGAAAAAACTTGCAGATGAACCACATAGCCTAGAAATATGGAAAAAATTAAAAAGGTATGTCATGAATGCATAAAATATATGTAGATACTAGTCTTTTATGATTTACTACCATAAAATACACAAATCCAGGCTGAAACGGGAGAATCGCTTGAACCCGGGAGGCAGAGGTTGCAGTGAGCCGAGATCGCACCACTGTACTCCACCCTGGGTGACAAAGCAAAACTCCCTCTCCAAAAAAAAAAAGTTAAAATTTATCAAAACTTACACACAGAAACACAGACTGTACATGGTGACATTCGCGGTCAAGAGAAATGAAAATAAATGTAAAGATGCAATATTACATAACTGTATAAAATTATAATCCAAACTACAACTGTCACAATTTTGTAGCCACCTATTGCAGTGAACTCAAGTGTTGTATCTGCTTAAAACACAGTAATGCTGATCATCTTGTAAGCAGTTGTCTCACCAGTAAATTGCATATTACAGTAAAAGTGATCACTCATGGTTCCTGCATATTTTTCAGTAATGTCATACCATTAACCTCAAATAGTAACGTGGGACCTATAGGAGGTGCCACTAGTGATGCCTGAAGCACTCCAAAGAAGCAGAGAAAAGTCATGACATTACAAGAAAAAGCTGAATTGTTTGATATGTACTGTAGATTAGGATCTACAGCTGCAGTTGCCCAGCATTTCAAGATAAATGAATCCATGCACATTGACAAAATCTATGTGGAAAAAAAAGGGTGAGGGGTAAGCATGGTGGCTCACTTTGGAAGGCTGAGGCAGGCGGATTGCTTGAGCCCAGAAGTTCGAGACCAGCCTGGGCAACATAGCAAAACCCCATCTCAATTTAAAAAAAAGAATTTTTTTTTTCCTTTTGAGACAGAGTTTCGATCTTTTGCCCAGGCTGGAGTGAAGTGGTGCGATCTCGGCTCACTGCAACCTCTGCCTCGCCAGGTTCAAGCGATTCTCCTGTCTCAACCTCCTGAGTATCTGGGATTATAGGCACCCACCACCACACCCAGCTAATTTTTGTATTTTTAGTAGAGACAGGGTTTTGCCGTGTTGGCCAGGCTGGTCTCAAACTCCTGACTTCACATGAGCCACCATGCCTGGACAAAAAAAATTTTTTTTTAAAGGCAAAGAAAAAAATAACTAAATCCAGCCTAAGGAACACTGTAAAAAAAAAAAAAAAAAAGGAAATTCATGAAGCTATCACTGCACCTATGCCAGGAGGCATGAAAACCCTGCATGCTTTGCACAATACCTTTTTATCTTCATATTGAAAACACAGCTTTTATGTGGGTACAGGGTTGTTATTAGAAAGTCCTACCTACAGCTTCTAATAGGATTCAAGAAAAAGCAAAATCATTACATGACAACTTAAAGCGAAAGGAAGGTGAAGGATCTAAAGCTGGATAATTTAATGTCGGCAAAGGATGGTTTGATAATTTTAGAAAGAAGGTTGGCTTAAAATATGTCAAAATAGCAGAAGGGGCAGCTTCTGCCAACCAAGAGGCAGCAGATGAATTCCCAGATACCATTAAGAAAATCATTGAGACCAGGCATGGTGGCTCACGTCTATAACCCCAGCACTTTGGGAGGCCAAGGCGGGTGAGTCACCTCAAGTCAGGAGTTAGTGACCAACTTGGCCAACATGGTGAAATCCCATCTCTACTAAAAATACAAAAATTGGCCGGGCGCGGTGGCTCACGCCTGTAATCCCAGCACTTTAGGAGGCCAAGGTGGGCGGATCAGGAGGTCAGGAGATCGAGACCATCCTGGCTAACACGGTGAAACCCCGTCTCTACTAAAAATACAAAAAATTAGCCGGGCGTGGTGGCAGGCGCCTGTAGTCCCAGCTACTCAGGAGTCTGAGGCAGGAGAATGGCGCGAACCCAGGAGGCAGAGCTTGCAGTGAGCGGAGATCGCGCCACTGCACTCCAGCCTGGGCAACAGAGCGAAAAATAAAAAGAAAAAGAAAAAAAGAAAAAAACGTAAAAACAAAAATTAGCCAGGTGTGGTGGTTTGCGCCTGTAATCCCAGCTACTTGGGAGGCTGAGGCAAGAGAATCACTTGAATCCAGGAGGCTGAAATTGCAGTGGGCTGAGATTGTGCCATTGCACTCCAGCCTGGGCGAAAAGAGCAAAACTCTGTCTCAAAAGAAAAGATAAAATAAAATAGAGTCCAAAACTATTAAAAGTAGGTACTGGCTGAGCAGCAGTTTCTTACAAACTATAAACAGCCTCTTCTAACGTTAGTATTCTCGGTGCCTCATATTTAAGTAGTTGATAACAGTCAACTTTTAGTATTGTTCTCTATTTGCTAAATCCTATCCCCCAACTAAACCTCAAGAACTGTCACATTTTTGTGTCCAATATAGTACCTAGAATAAGAAGTGCTATGAAGACAGCAGATTCTTCGTAAGTCCCTCCTGAACTTTCCAGTTAATAGAGTAAGCTCCCATACCTGACAAAGATCCAGAGAATTCACTCTGCTACTTCACGTTCCATACCAGTGACTCACCGCGCATAATCCTGGGGAGTGACCAGAAACTTCTCTTTCATCTGGACCTCAGCTTTGTTCTCCCACCAGAATTTGTTGGTTGCTTTCTTGTGCTCTGGGCTGAAAATGGAGAGGATAAGTAATCTCAGCTATAGATTATAAAATATTACTCAGATATTAAGCATTAGGTTTGTAATGCAAACTGACATCTGGGTTTCTGCCTGGGGCACGGCTGAGAGAGGAACACTGTTACCATCTCTTCAAGATCTCGTGTCTCTTCTTCCCATAAAATTGTGAGAATCTGAGGGGAGGTTAGGGGCGGTAACCAAGCGGGCTCTCGCAGCCAGACCACCAGCACCACTTGGGACCGTGGCAGCATATGACCCCTACCCTAACAAGGCTGGCAAAACCTGTGAAGTGACTCAATCCATCCTTCTTGATCAAATCACAAAAGCGTCCTTTTTCTCACCCACCCCAAACCCTCCTCCCGTATATGTATGCGTCTGTGCTGGAGCAGGCTCCTAGCTCGGCTCTCACCTGGCCAGATGCTCCAGCAGCCCCCCGTACAGCACCGTCAGGTTTCCATGGCTCAGGTGTTCCCGCACCTCACAGCCGCAGCACAGGCACCAGCAGCATCGCTCGTGTTCGGGCACATAGCGCTCCACCTGAGCGGCGCGGATGGCCTTGCGGGCCGCCTCCACCTGCCGCAGAGAGGCCAAGTAGAACCCCGAGGGGGACCCCCAAATCACACCCGCTCTGGCCTTCACTGACCTGCCCCGCACTCCCATCCCATCTCTAGCCTTGCCTCCGCACCTGGGGCAGGAGCCTCTCCAAAGCCTCCTTCAGCTGCCGCTGGTGCTTGCGGCTGTAAACGTGCCCGCGACCACAGAAGAAGGTCTGGCGGCACAGAGGGCAGCGCTGCGCCGGCGCCATAGCCCGGGTACCCGGTATCACCACCACCAGCGGCCGATCCTACGCCATCCGGCGGCCTCTGACCCTGACCCCTCGGGGTGGGGCTAACCCGGCGGCTCCCGCGGCCCTCAGCGCCCGGCAGGCGCCACTGCAAGCCCTTCTGCGGCTGCGCAGACTCCTCCCGGGCCTCTAGTCCCGCCCAGGCAACAACATCCCAGAGCTGGGCGGGTTAAGGAGGAGGATGGCGCCGTCCTGCAGATGTGCGGGGACGCGCGCCCGCCGCAACGTGAGGCTCATAGGCCACACGCAACTCTGAGCATTGGCCAGGACCTGTAGTAGCCAACAGGACACTTAATAACTGATGTATAGGTGCGCACTGTGTGTCCAGAGCTTTACGTTAACCACCTCACTGTGTCATCTCGCTGAGGTTGTGTGGTTTACTATTACTGCTATTAGCGCATTTTTAAGCGGGAAACCTGAGGCATGAGGAGGTAAGGAGCTTTGAGGAGGGTTGCACGGGTGTTAAGTAGCGCGGTCAGCACCTGATCCCCGTCACTCATCAGTACGGCGGTTGGAGGGGAATGCCTGCTGGAGGGGACCACGAACTAAACTCAATCGCCCCCACAGGGTGTGCTCGCCGTGGTTCCTATAAAGCTGTAAGGGAGGCTACACAGCGTGCAGCGTTGTTGCTGAGGGATCGCACACTTCCCGTAGATTTTGTTGCTAGTTCTGGTGCACTAACGTGGATGGACTGCTTGCTGTCTGTAGGGCCTGCCCACGGTCAGCGCTACAGAATTCAGGCCCGGCGTAGCTACTTCCAACCCTTCAGATCTTCACTTCCTGTTGGAACTGTCCTCTAGACTGTAGCCTCTGCCAGAAATAATTCATTTTGAATACCCTTGTAACACCCAATTCCTTGATCTCCTATCATTCCCCTGGCAGGGTCAGTCCTCGACCTTGTCCCCCCAAATTGCTTCGTCTCTGAATCCAGACTCTGAAGTTCGGCTCTGCCTACCACCTTAAGTTATCCGATGTGGCCTTACCGTCAGCCTAGTCTTTGACTACAGGAAGACCTCTCTTCCTGAAGAAGACGCCTCTTTTCATCCATTCACTCTGGAAATGATTCAACGTCTGCCTGCTGCTGATGCTTTACTCTCCACCAGGGGTTTTCGAAGTGTGCTTCCCCATTCCCCCTGGGCCTATAGCATCAGCATCAGGGAACTTGTCAGTAACGCACATTCTTGGGCCCCAACCCAGAACTACTGAATCAGAAACTTGGGGTGAGGGCCTGTCGTGGTGGCTCATGCCTGTAATCCCAACACTTTGGGAAGCAGAGGAGGGTGGATCACCTGAGGTCAGGAGTTGAGGACCAGCCTGGCTAACATGGTGAAACCCCGTCTCTACTAAAAATAGAAAAATTAGCCAGATGTGGTGGCGTGTGCCCATAATCCTAGCTACTCGGGAGACTGAGGCAGGAGACTCGCTTGAACCCAAGAGGCGGAGGTTGCAGTGAGCCAAGATTGCACCACTGCACTCTAGCCTGGGCGACAGAGTGAGACTCCGTCTCAAAAAAAAAAAAAGAACTCAGGGTGAGGCCCAGCCGGCTGTGGTTTTATGAGCTTTTCAGGGGATACTGATGCGGGATCAAATTTGAGAAGCACTGGTCTAGGTCTTAGATCCTCTTGCTTCAGTTTCGTCATTGGATCTCAGGAATGTTCAGCTGCCCTCTCAAGGCAACTTCTTACTTCACTTGACCTTCCAAGACCTCTCGTTCTGTCAAACCCCAATTTTGGATCAACCCAGGCATGCTTCCCTCATGTGTTCCAAAGCTGGTCAGAGTAGTCTACACCACTATCTGCTTCAACTTCTAGTAACGTCTAAGCCTTCAGCAGTTTTGCTTATGAAACTGCTTCACTGAAGTTCTCCACCACCAAGTAGTCAGCTGGCATCGGAATTCGGCTTGTGTCAAATGGAACTCAACATCTTCCTCTTCAGGACATCCCCTATTTTCATCCTCCCAGTGAATGACACCACCAAGTTAAAGCCTGGAGGCTGGGTGTAGTGGTTCATGCCTGTAATCCCAGTAGTTTAGGAAACCGAGGTGGGCAGATGGCTTGCGCCCAGGTGTTTGAGAGCAGCCTGGCCAACATGGCGAAACCCTGTCTCTACAAAAAAGTACTGCCAGGCGCGGTGGCTTACGCCTGTAATCCCAGCACTTTGGGAGGCTAAGCAGGCAGATCACCTCAGGTCAGGAGTTCAAGACCAGGCTGGGCCAACATGGCAAAACCCCATCTCTACTAAAAATACAAAAATTAGCCTGGTGTGGTGGCATGTGTCTAGTCCCAGCTACTCGAGAGGCTGAGGCAGGGGAACTGCTTGAACCCAGGAGGCGGGGGTTGCACTGAACCTGTTGCGCCACTGCATTCCAGCCTGGGTGGCAGAGCAAGACTCTTATCTCAAAAACAACCAAACACAAAACAAAAATTAGCTGGGTCTGGTGACATGTGCTTATAGTCCCAGCTACTTGGGGGGCTGAGGCAGGAGGATTGCTTGAGCCTGGGAGGTTGAGGCTGCAGCAATGAGCTGTGTTTGTGCCACTGCACTCTAGCCTGGACAACAAAATGAGACCTTGTCTCAAAAAGAAAAAAAAAAAGCAGGGTGCAGTGGCTGACGCCTGTAATCCCAGCACTTTGGGAGGCCGAGGCGGGCGGATCAGAAGGTCAGGAGATCGAGACCATCCTGGCTAACAAGGTGAAACCCTATCTTTACTAAAAATACAAAAACTTAGTCGGGTGTGGTGGCACGCACCTGTAGTACCAACTACTCAGGAGGCTTAGGCTGGAGAATCGCTTGAACCCAGGAGGTGGAGGTTGCAGTGAGCCGAGATTGCGCCACTGCACTCCAGCCTGCCAGCCTGGGCAACAGAGCGAGATTCTGTCTCAAAAAACAAAAACAAAAAAACCCAGAATAACTCACCCCAAACTTCCAGGTTTTTTTTTTTTTTGAGACGGAGTCTTGCTGTCGCCCAGGCTGGAGTGCAGTGGTTAGATCTCAGCTCACTGCAACCTCCGCTTCCTGGGTTCAAGTGATTCTTCTGTCTCAGCCTCCTGAGTAGCTGGGATTACAGGTGTGCGCCACCATGCCTGGCTAAATTTTGTATTTTTAGTAGAGATAGGGTTTCACCATGTTGGTCAGGCTGGTCTCAAACTCCTGACCTCAGGTGATCCACCCGCCTCGGCCTCCCAAAGTGCCAGGATTACAGGCGTAAAACTCCCATGCTGGGCTGGTCAAAGTGCTGGGATTACAGGCATAAGACAACGCACCTGGAACTTGGCTTGTGTCAAATGGAACTCAACATCTTCCCTTTTACTAAACCCCACCCAACATTCACTGCGCACAAGTTGTCTTATTCACTGGACTTCTAATATGTTTAAGGGGTCTGTCCCCATTTATTTTTTGAAACGGGGTCTTTCTGTGTTGCCCAGGCTGGAGTGCAGTGGTTGTTCACAGGTGCCAACCTACTATTGATCAGCATGGGAGCTTTGGGGTTTTAAAACAAATTTTTTAAGCCAGTCATATTTAGCAGTGGGGGGTTGTATACCAACTTTAGTGACACTAATGTTATTAAATTCTAATAACCCACTACCATCAGACCAGCCCAGCTTGGGAGTTTTGACCTGCTCCATTTCCGACCTGGGCTGTTTCACCCCTCCATAGACAACCTGGATAGTCCCCTGTCCTGGGAGGTCACCATGTTGAAGCTGAACTTAGTGTGGACACCCAAACTGCATAATGCATTACAGTCTAGAACTCCTGGGCTCAAGGGATCCTCCCACCTCAGCCTCCTGAGTAGCTAGGACCACAGGGTGCACCACCGCGCCCAGCTGTCTTCCTTTTTTTTTCTGAGACCGAGCCTCACTCAGCTGTCCAAGCTAGAGTGCAGTGGTGTGATCTCCATTCACTGCAACCACTGTCTCCCTGGTTCAAGCGATTCTCCTGTCTCAGCCTCCTGAGTAGCTGGGATTACAGGAACCTACCATCATGCCCGGCTAATTTTTGTATTTTAGTAGAGATGGGGTTTTACTATGTTGGCCAAGCTAGTCTTGAACTCCCGACCTCAGGTGATCTGCCCACCTTGGCCTCCCAAAGTGCTAGGATTATAGGCATGAGCCACCACGCCCAGCCCCCTACCCTTAAAAAAATTATATATATATATAATAGAGACAGGGTTGCGCTATGTTGCCCAGGCTGGTCTTGAACTCCTGGGCTCAAGGGATCCTCCTGCCTTGGCCTCAAAAGTGCTGGAATTACAGGCATGGGCCACTGCACCCAGCCTATCTTACATTTTTTTTAAACTCAGAGCATACCTCATTTCAATTTTCCTCCTCTCTTGCTTGGGTTCATGTAAAATCTTTCTAACTGGTTTCCAAGTGTCTGCTCTATTATGCTCCGTATATCCTCCATACTCTAGTCTGCTCCTACGAACTTCAGCATCTTCGGCCCCTCTGCCTGGAATTTACATCTTTCCAATCCTGCCTCACAAATTTTCTATTATATAAGGCTCCGAAATATGAACTAGAAGTAATTTCCGTGAAGCTGATGACTTTATCTGGCATATGGTAAGCTCTGAATCAATGTTTATTGAAAGAATGAAATGTCACCCCTTTGTGAAGCCTTCCAGAGTTGTCCCTGAAGAATTAATTTCTCAACTCCAAGGTCCTTTGCTCATCCTGTCATCATTTTTGTCTAGTAGTCAGTTGAAAACCAATAATTGAAAAGCTTGGCCGGACACGGTGGCTCATGCCTGTAATCCCAGCACTCTGGGAGGCCGAGGCAGGCGGATCACAAGGTCAGGAAATCAAGACCATCCTGGCTAACACGGTGAAACCCCGTCTCTACTAAAAATGCAAAAAATTAGCCAGGCATGGTGGTGGGCACCTGTAGTCCCAGCTACTCAGGAGGTGAGGCAAGAGAATGGGGTGAACCCAGGAGGCGGAGTTTGCAGTGAGCCGAGATCGCGCCACTGCATTCCAGCCTGGATGACACAGCGAGACTCTGTCTCTAAAAAAAAAAAAAAAAAAAAGGCTCCTCAAGTGCAGGGATTGTGTTCTATTCATGCCCGACTCTTAATTAACAGATGGCGGCTCTCTATGTACACTTGTCAAATTAAGTAGAAAACATCAAAACCCAGGCACCCTGAGGTTAAGATGCCCTTTAGTGGTGGGAGTTAGTGCATGGAAGGAGCCCAGGAAGCATGCAGCTAACAGCCTGCTAATTAGTAGTATCAAGCTACCAAATGGGCTCATGGGTAGCTTTCCTTAAAAATTGTAAAAAAATGGGCCGGGCATGGTGGCTCACGCCTGTAATCCCAGCACTTTGGGAGGCCAAGGCGGGTGGATCACGAGGTCCAGAGTTTGAGACCAGCCTGACCAACATGGTGAAACCGTGTCTCTACTAAAAATACAAAAATTAGCCAGGCATGCTGGCGCACACCTGTAATCCCAGCTACTCAGGAAGCTGACGCAAGAGAATCGCTTGAACCCAGAGGCAGAGGTTGCAATGAGCTGAGATTGCACCATTGCACTCCGGCCTGAGTGACAGAGCGGGACTTCATCTCAAAAAAAAAAATTGTACAAAATTTCCTTTATTAAAAATTGTAGCTCCCTCTCTCTCTCCCTCTCCCCCTCCCCCTCCCTCTCCACGGTCTCCCTCTGATGCCACCAAAGTTATGAAGGCCGAGGCTGGACTGTACTGCCGCCATCTCGGCTCACTGCAACCTCCCTGCCTGATTCTCCTGCCTCAGCCTGCAGAGTGCCTGGGATTGCAGGCGCGTGCCGCCACGCCTGACTGGTTTTTGCATTTTTTGGTGGAGACAGGGTTTCGCCGTGTTGACCGGGCTGGTCTCCAGCTCCTGACCGCGAGTGATCTGCCTGCCTCGGCCCCCCGAGATGCCGGGATTGCAGACGGAGTCTCGCTCACTCAGTGCTCAATGTTGCCCAGGCTGGAGTGCAGTGACGTGATCTCGGCTCGCTACAACCTCCACCTCCCAGCCGCCTGCCTTGGCCTCCCAAAGTGCCGAGATTGCAACCTCTGCCCGGCCGCCACCCCGTCTGGGAAGTGAGGAGCGTCTCTGCCTGGCCGCCCATCGTCTGGGATGTGAGGAGCCCCTCTGCCCGGCTGCCCAGTCTGGGAAGTGAGGAGCGCCTCTTCCCGGCCGCCATCCCGTCTAGGAAGTGAGGAGCGTCTCTGCCTGGCTGCCCATTGTCTGAGATGTGGGGATTGCCTCTGCCCCACTGCCCCGTCTGGGATGTGAGGAGCGCCTCTGCCCGGCCGCGACCCTGTCTAGGAACTGAGGAGTGTCTCTGCCCGATCGCCACCCAGTCTGCGAGGTGAGGAGCGTCTCTGCCCGGCCGCCCCGTCTGAGAAGTGAGGAGCCCCTCCGCCCGGCAGCCACCCCGTCTGGGAAGTGAGGAGCTCCTCCGCCCGGCAGCCGCCCCGTCTGGGAAGTGAGGAGCCCCTCCGCCCGGCAGCCGCCCCGTCCGGGAAGTGAGGAGCGTCTCCGCCCGGCAGCCACCCTGTCCGGGAGGTGGGGGGCAGCCCCCGCCTGGCCAGCCGCCCCGTCCGGGAGGGAGGTGGGGGGCGCCTCTGCCCGGCCGCCTCGTCTGGGAAGTGAGGAGCCCCTCTGCCCGGCTGCCACCCCGTCTGGGAGGTGTACCCGACAGCTCATTGGGAACGGGCCATGATGATGATGGCGGTTTTGTTGAATAGAAAAGGGGGAAATGTGGGGAAAAGAGAGAGATCAGATTGTTACTGTGTCTGTGTAGAAAGAAGTAGACATGGGAGACTCCATTTTGTTCTGTACTAAGAAAAATTCTTCTGCCTTGGGATGCTGTTAATCTATAACCTTACCCCCAACCCCGTGCTCTCTGAAACATGTGCTGTATCCACTCAGGGTTAAATGGATTAAGGGCGGTGCAAGATGTGCTTTGTTAAACAGATGCTTGAAGGCAGCATGGTCATTAAGAGTCATCACCACTCCCTAATTTCAAGTACCCAGGGACACAAACACGGTGGAAGGCCGCAGGGTCCTCTGCCTAGGAAAACCAGAGATGCTTGTTCACATGTTTATCTGCTGACCTTCCCTCCACTATTGTCCTATGACCCTGCCAAATCCCCCTCTCCGAGAAACACCCAAGAATGATCAATAAATACTAAAAGAACAAAAAAAAAAAAACAAACACAAAACAAAAAAACCCAAAACAACAACAACAACAACAAAAATTGTAGCCCAGGTGCGGTAGTTCATGCCTGTAATCCCAGCACTTTGGGAGGCCAAGGTAGGTGAATCACTTGAGATCAGGAGTTCGAAACCAGCCTAGCCAACATGTGGCCAACATAGCGAAACCTGGTCTCTACTAAAAATACAAAAAGCCAGGTGTGTTGGTGCTCACCTGTAGTCCCAGCTACTCAGGAGGTTGAGGCACGAGAATCACTTGAAACCAGGAGGCTGAGGTTGCAGTGAGCTGAGATCATGCCACCGCACTCAAGCCTGGGTGACAGAGCTAGACTGTCTCAAAAAACAAACAGACAAACAAAAACTATAGGCTGGACA